>NC_000018.10:14810799-15110849 GCF_000001405.40 Homo sapiens
ATTCCCATGCATGTTTAAATCATGTTACAACAGGCTGTGCATGGTGGCACATGCCTGTAATCCTGGCAATTTAGGAGACCAAGGTGGGCAGATTACTTAAGGTCAGGAGTCGCAGACGAGCCTGGTCAACACAGTGAAACCCCATCGCTACTAAAAATAACAAACAATAGCCGGTTGTGGTGGTGGGTGCCCGTAATCTCAGCTATTCTGGAGGCTGAGGCAGGAGAATTGCTTGAACCCATGAGGCAGAAGTTGCAGTGAGCCAAGCTTGTGCCACTTTAGCCTGAGTGACAGAGTGAGACTCCATCTCAAAAAGCAAACAAACAACCATAAATTCACAACATATGTGTGTGGTTCTGACTATGTGTAGAATTTGTTTTGACGTCTTAAATTTTCTTTTTTTTTTAAATTTTGATATGGCGTCTCGCTGTCTCGCCCATCTCGTTGTCTCGCCCAGGCTGGAGAGCAGTGGTGTGATCTTGGCGCACTGCAAGCTCCACCTCCCGGCTTCACGCCATTCTCCTGCCTGGGCCTCCCAAGTAGCTGGGAATCCAGGCGCCCACCACAACGCCTGGCTCATTCTTTGTATTTTTAGTAGAAACGGGGTTTCACCATGTTAGCCAGGATGGTCTTGACCTGCTGACCTTGTAATCCACCCACCTCGGCCTCCTAAAGTGCTGGGATTAGAGGCGTGAGCCACCGCGCCCGGCCCAGAGTCTTTTTACACTAGTACCATTTATTGCCTAGAAGTAACCAATATTCTAAACTACTTTTTAAAAGTATTCTTATGCATGTTTAAACATTTTCCAACATGTGTACGTGGTCATATTTAATACATAAAATTTTTTTCAACTTCTAATGCATAGGTGGTTGTACAGTGTAATTTTTGACAACATTCTGTTTTGATCAGCATTATAATTTTTAGAGACGTCCATAAAGGACACAATTAACTGTCTTTTTAAATGTCAGATTGTTTATAAAATTCCATTAAGTACACAATTATTATGCTGATAAATAAAAATGAAAACATGAAAATTTCAGAGTCTTTAAGTTAGTTATATCTACTGACTTTTTAGTTGTGAGAAATTAAAACTAAAATATTTAAAGTATTTCCTTGTGCAATCATACATTCCACTAACAATTCCAACTGCGACCCACAGATTATTAGAGCTATGCTACTGCAACACATTAGATCTCTGAAACGATCCAGGGTACACTTCTAAACATGAGTGAAAATGGTGGCATACCAAAGTATGATTTTAGTTTCTTGGTCCCTCTGCATGAAATGTGAACTTTAGGGATGCTGAGATTACATGTTAAATTTACTTTTAAAAACCAGATACACAGTTGATGGATGTCAAATGATAAACGTACCTTTAACGATGATACAGTCTTTTAGGCTTTAGTCGTGCATGTTTGCTTTTTTCTTTAACCTGATTCAAAGAGTTGTAATGTGTACTTTTGGTTGATAAACAAAGCTGAACGTTATTTTTGGTATAAATTCATTTTCTGTCTCATTGGCCTGAGAGCTCCTCAAGTCTTGTGTGGGCCTTGATTTTATCCTATAACATGTGGGGATGTGAGATTACTTAGGGCAATTATTTTTTCCTATACATTTCTGATGTTTCTCCTAGTTGTCACAAGCTGACTCTGAAGACATTGTTGAGTTAGGGGAGAACTATGTCATTGTAATTAAAGCAGTTCTTAATTTATATGCAATAAAAGTTTTTTAAGCTTATCTTCCTAAAACATATAGACACCCAAAACACACCCAATATACTGTCATGGCATATTGAAATGTAAAAGTGTTGGACATATAGTTTACTAACATCAGAAAGTTAATATCCCTAAAAAATCTTGTTCGTTGATAAATCATCTTTTTTGAAGAACTGTGTAATAGAGATTGCAGAGTCAATCAAACTAAGTAATACTAGAAAATAAAAATTTACAAAGAAGTGAGAGATGATAGGTAATTAAAGTTTTCTGAATGAACAGCAAGTATAGGACACACTGTGTTTCACGGGAGAAGAGGATGTAACTGCTTTGTGAAGAAATAACTCTACGAGTTAGTCAAATTTCTATTTTTCTGCATTCTAACGAATGATATAATGTTAATTTTCCGTTTTTTTAGATTTCATTTCTAACGGATTGACTATAGAAGTAGTGATTGTAATCAACAAAAAGAATATACGGGCTACAGAGGAAAAACCGCAGATTCGTGAATGAAAGTAGATTTATATATGTTTTTAAAGTTTATAGTAGAGAAATGTTCTCATGAATGTATCTGTGATTAACCTTTTATAGCTCAGATGTTCCCATCAGAATCCAAACAAAAGGATGATGAAGAAAATTCTTGGGATTTTGAGGTACTGTGTATTATTAATTTTCTTTAATACTAGTATTGCATGATACAAAAACATAAAAGCAGAGGCTTAGACTTTATTTTCTCACCTCTGCATATGTCACTCCCAAATTATTTTTGATATTTTTCAGAATACGCTTAATAGAGGATCTATGTGCTAAGTAGATGACTGCTTCGTAGTGAAATTCTGCTAATTTTCAGGCTTAATTTAAGAAGCCGGTGTGGTATAGTGTAAAAAATAAGGCTTAGAAGTCACTAGAAATTCACATGGGATCTGAAGCAAGTTTGTCTAAAAGCAAAAGAATTACACTGAGTCCAGCTGTGGGCAAATTTATGATTCTGTGGTGTATCTAGATGTGCAAAAGTTCTAACTGGATTCGTAGAGAGACAGTTTAAACTGCAGTATTGTAAAAGTTGGGACCTGAAAAGTTAATGCCTGGGACTTGAATGTATTGACATTTCTGTATTGTTCAGTATAGATCTGAGGGAACATTTCAGGAGAAAGAGGAGCATGAGGACTAGGAAACCTTGTGGGACTACAGTAACAAGAGTATTGGTTGAGTAATCTTTTGAAAAATATAAATTATTTTCACAAGTAGAACTCCTCGAGTCCCTTTGTGGCAGGCAGTCAAGCTGCAGCAGCATGAGTGTGAAATAATAGTGATGTATTTTAAGGTCACAACTGTGGAAAGACATAGAAAATATCTGACCTCTTAGAAACAAGCAGCTGCTGCCTGGTGGTAAGAGCAAAGGGTGGAAGTCAGTAGACAAGTAGATTTTATCTGATTTGTCGTCAGACAAAAAGACTTTAATATTTGTTGGCTTTCATTTAGACATGACATAATTTCTTTTCTTACTGCATTTACATTCTCTTCAAGCACTTTTTCTATCAGCATAAATTTTGTCAAAAACATGTTGCTTGTTTTAAGCCCCTGTTTACCAAAATAAAGCAACTTTTTAAACATTCCGTGCATGCATTATATGACAGACTCTAAAAGTTCTCTTCACGGCATGCATCATTTTTAACACTAAACAATCTATGATCATGAATATTTTAAATGTTTAATGCAGTACGTGTTATGGCTAGTAGCAAGTGTATTGTATTTTGTTTGAAATGGCGTATTTACTTTTAATGAGGACTACAACACAAGTTAGATATTTTTAAGAGAGTTACTTTCTGAAATATGCACGAGTGAATTCTTTCGTGAGTGTGATTTGTTTTTCCTGCTCAGTAACCAAGTTAATAGCCTCATGAACGTAAAGGTAAGTTGATGTGGAGAGTGTTATGTGAGGTTTTCTATCAGAATGTTTTGGGTTTCAACACATGTCTGCTCTTAAGTCGAATTCCTTATAAAGTAGGAAACTGTGTTTTTAGAAAAGATTTTAATTAGGAACTTTTGATACTCTTCATTATTGGGATTTCTCCATTGAAATTATTTATTGATATTACTTTTAACAGAGTTTCCTTGAGGCTCTCTTACAGAATGATGGGTGTTTACCCAAGGCTACACATCAAAAAGAATTCGATACCTTAAGTGGAAAATTAGAAGGTAAGAACCATATTTTATTTAAAAAGTCATTTGACCAAATGTTTCTCTGAACTGATGAGGAGGGATATCCCCTAATAGCTGAAGAAAATTACCTCCTGAATGCAAAGCATGGAAAAAAAGAGAAGTGAAATGGTGATAAGTTATACGTCTTATCATGTGTTGGCAGCAGACTACATAGAGAGTGCTGGAAAGGAACTGAATTATTAGTTTGAATTCAAGGTATTCCAAGAGCTGAGGAAAATGAGAAAATAAGAAAGGAGAAAGTAGTAAAAGAGGAAATGAAGATCGAGAAAGACAGAGAGTACAGAGAGGACGGGAAGGAACAAGAGGCAGGTTTATATAATGGAGGATGGTAAAATGAAATGATTCTTTAGGAAAAGATCGGGTATGGTTAGAAATTTGGGAAGAATATAAAGTGACTTTCCAGTGCCAAAACATACCAGAGAATTACAGCAAAAATATTCTGACTCTTCCTGTCTTTCTCACTGGTGGGAAGCCATTAGGGATGGAAGCAGCTGACCATGGAGAGCTGTGTTCTATTTGCAATAGTTGAGAATAAGCATATATGCACGGCCACACATGTATATAATTTGTCATATACACTCCGTATAGACCGTAAGTTTTCAAACTTTAGAAAACCGTCTGAAAACCTTGTTAACAATTCACACTGTGATTCAGCCGACTAGGGATTCTGCATTTTTAGTAAGTTGTCAGGCGATGCTGATGCTGGTGGTCCTTGGACCTCAGACTGAGTAGCAAGAGGAGAGGCCTTTCATGGGAAAAATGTGGAAGAAGAGTAATTGGATAGAGGGTCAAAAGGAGAGGCCTTTCATGGGAGAAATGTGGAAGAAGAGTAATTGGATAAAGGGTCAAGACAGAAAAGGTTAGGAGAAAGCGTTATGTTGCTCTTACTTTTGAGTATGTTTTTAGCCAGAGAAGAAGAAAGAAAATTCTGAATTTATTGCTTGAATACCTAAATTGTTCTTATTCATAGGTATTATAGTGATTTTAACATAGAAAATGTTATTAATATTTAATAAGTCTGTTGCAACTAAATTTAAAACAAATATGTCAATATTGAAAGCTTATTATATTTGCTATTCCTGATGAGTTTTGTACATCTTCCTCCATGAGTGGATCAAGGAATATTGAGATGGCTAAGCTACAAAGTACAAAAATGTTGGCATACCGTTATGCCATATGGGTGTGAAAATTAGTGGATATTTATATTTAGTATTATTCTCTAAGTATATATCCAAGCTGATCAATTCATAACACTTTCACTGCTGAGATGTCAGTTCTACATTCAGCTGAACTCTCATCCAAACTTTTTACCTTCTCAGTGACAGGACATATTAAAGAACATGGTGAATATTTGTAATGTAATGATATAAATTATTATAATGTGTTGCATTAAAGACACATGGTATAGCATTCTACGTTCAGCTTTTGCATTTATTTTCTCAGTGTCACGATTTGCTCCTCTGATTCAGGATCACTTATCTCCTCATCACTCAGCATATACACATTGGCATTAACACTTTTTGCAAAAATCACATATAAATGTTTGTAGAATGTTCTTGTCATTCCACAGTGATTTTTTATTTTTTTGTTCAGCGATTAGCTCGTTTTTCATTTATTTCAAGATTTCAGGCCGGGCACTGTGGTTCACGCCTGTAATCCCAGCCCTTTGGGAGGCAGAGGCATGCGGATCACGAGGTCAGCAGATCGAGACCATCCTGGCTAACATGGTGAAACCCCGTCTCTATGAAAAAATACAAAAAATTAGCCAAGCATGGTGGTGGGTGCCTCTAGTCCCAGCTACTCGGGAGGCTGAGGCAGGAGAATGTGAGAACCCATGAGGCAGAGATTGCAGTGAGCCAAGATCATGCACCTACACTCCAGCCTGGGTGACAGGGCCAGACTCTGTGAAAAAAAAAAAAAAAAAAGAATTTATTTATTGTGGCACTATTCACAACAGCAAAGACTTGGAACCAAACCAAATGTCCAACAACGCTAGACTGGATTAAGAAAGTATGGCACATATACACCATGGAACACTACGCAGCCATAAAAAATGATAAGTTCATGTCCTTTGTAGGGACATGAATGAAACTGGAAACCATCATTCTCAGCAAACTCTCGCAAGGACAAAAAACCAAACACTGCGTGTTCTCACTCATAGGTGTGAATTGAACAATGAGAACACATGGACACAGGAAGGGGAACATCACACTCCGGGGACTGTTGTGGGGTTGGAGGAGGGATAGCATTAGGAGATATACCTAATGCTAAATGACGAGTTAATGGGAACCTGCACATTGTGCACATGTACCCTAAAACTTAAAGTATAATATTAAAATAAAAAATAAAGAAAACATTTCTGACTGTGCATTTTTACTTTGCACTACGTTTAATTAGACTCTCTTCATGATGACTCAAAAGCAACATAAATATAATTACAGATGTCAACAAGGTTTTGTTTAAGTGTATGTCTTACTTCATGCTATATTAGAAATTAAAAGTGAAGTAATTAAAATGCAAGGATTCACAGCCATACATTTCAATAGCCATTACAAATGTGGCTCACTAATCTTTAGAGCCATGCCATGTGACCTGTCCTGACTCTAAAAAACTCCAGTGTACACCTTTATAAAAATAAAAGTAATAAAAAAATAACAAAGGCAGTATTCCCCTGCTTCCTTCCTCTGCATGGATTTTGAACTTCAGGGGTAATCAGATCACAATTTAGAACCAGAGTTTTCAACCATACATAGGATTCCTAAATGCCAAGTGATAAACGGTTCGTTGATGATGAGATAGCTCTGAATGTTTCATCTCTGCATGTTTTGCTTTTTTATCTTGTCTTAGAAAGGTCAAAGCCAGCTATTTTCTTCATAAAGGAAAATATTTTGGTTACATATTCATTTCCTATCTCATGACACTCTGCTTTCTTTGCACTTAGTGAGGATGTACATTTATCATATTTTTACCTAAAACAAACAGATGTATTAATGGTATCATTATATATGAAATTCTGAGGTTTCTTCAGTGCTTCAGAAGTAAAGTTTAAAGATATTAATGAATCGAGAATGACCTTCTCATCATAATTAAAGCAGGTTTTTATTTAAAGTGTGTTGAATACAATTTTAAGCACTTTTTTTATAAAACACCTACCTGCAATATGGTCATGTATTTAGCCTTAAAATGCTTGGACATAAATTTTTTGTGTTTTAGAGAGTTTATATCCCTGAAGTGTCTTCATTATTGATCAATCATCTCTGAAGGGAAACAGCATATATACTTGATATGTCTAAATATATTAAAGTATGTTGTACTGAGAAATAAAAAGTAGAGAAAAATGAGAGATTAAGCATGTTTTATTCATATTATTTGATGAAAGGAGATATATTTCTATGTCAAAGAAATGTCTGTTTTTTCTTGAAGCTAAGTTTTTTATAAGAGCTTTTTCATAACAGTGTTTTAGCAACTCGCATTGTATAACAAACAGAATTAGTTTTAGCAACAAAATAATAAAACTGTTATTTTCAGTAACCATTATTCTAACATTGAAATATGCAGGTTAATGATATATAAAAATTCTCTGGAAATTGACTTCTAATTTTTGATACTTTCATATTAGGTGTTTTTTCTTTTTTTTAATTATACTTTAAGTTTTAGGGTACATGTGCACATTGTGCAGGTTAGTTACATATGTATACATGTGCCATGCTGGTGCGCTGCACCCACCAACTCGTCATCTACCATTAGGTATATCTCCTAATGCTATCCCTCCCCCCTCCCCCCACCCTACAACAGTCCCCAGAGTGTGATGTTCCCCTTCCTGTGTCCATGTGTTCTCATTGTTCATTTCCCACCTATTAGTGAGAATATGCGGTGTTTGGTTTCTTGTTCTTGTGATAGTTTACTGAGAATGATGATTTCCAGTTTCATCCATGTCCCTACAAAGGACATGAACTCATCATTTTTTATGGCTGCATAGAATTCCATGGTGTATATGTGCCACATTTTCTTAATCCAGTCTATCATTGTTGGATATTTGGGTTGGTTCCAAGTCTTTGCTATTGTGAATAATGCTGCAATAAACATACGTGTGCATGTGTCGTTATAGCAGCATGATTTATAGTCCTTTGGGTATATACCCAGTAATGGGATGGCTGGGTCAAATGGTATTTCCAGTTCTAGATCCCTGAGGAATCGCCACACTGACTTCCACAATGGTTGAACTAGTTTACAGTCCCACCAACAGTGTCAAAGTGTTCCTATTTCTCCACATCCTCTCCAGCACCTGTGGTTTTCTGACTTTTTAATGATTGCCATTCTAACTGGTGTGAGATGGTATCTCATAGTGGTTTTGATTTGCATTTCTCTGATGGCCAGTGATGATGAGCATTTTTTCATGTGTTTTTTGGCTGCATAAATGTCTTCTTTTGAGAAGTGTCTGTTCATGTCCTTCGCCCACTTTTTGATGGGGTTGTTTGTTTTTTTCTTGTAAATTTGTTTGAGTTCATTGTAGATTCTGGATATTAGCCCTTTGTCAGATGAGTAGGTTGCGAAAATTTTCTCCCATTCTGTAGGTTGCCTGTTCACTCTGATGGTAGTTTCCTTTGCTGTGCAGAAGCTCTTTAGTTTAATTAGATCCCATTTGTCAATTTTGTCTTTTGTTGCCATTGCTTTTGGTGTTTTAGACATGAAGTCCTTGCCCATGCCTATGTCCTGAATGGTAATGCCTAGGTTTTCTTCTAGGGTTTTTATGGTTTTAGGTCTAACGTTTAAGTCTTTAATCCATCTTGAATTACTTTTTGTATAAGGTGTAAGGAAGGGATCCAGTTTCAGCTTTCTACATATGGCTCGCCAGTTTTCCCAGCACCATTTATTAAATAGGGAATCCTTTCCCCATTGCTTGTTTTTCTCAGGTTTGTCAAAGATCAGATAGTTGTAGATATGTGGCGTTATTTCTGAGGGCTCTGTTCTGTTCCATTGATCTATATCTCTGTTTCGGTACCAGTACCATGCTGTTTTGGTTACTGTAGCCTTGTAGTATAGTTTGAAGTCAGGTACTGTGATGCCTCCAGCTTTGTTCTTTTGGCTTAGGATTGACTTGGCGACACGGGCTCATTTTTGGTTCCATATGAACTTTAAAGTAGTTTTTTCCAATTCTGTGAAGAAAGTCATTGGTAGCTTGATGGGGATGGCATTGAATCTGTAAATAACCTTGGGCAGTATGGCCATTTTCACGATATTGATTCTTCCTACCCATGAGCATGGAATGTTCTTCCATTTGTTTTATCCTCTTTTATTTCATTGAGCAGTGGTTTGTAGTTCTCCTTGAAGAGGTCCTTCACATCCCTTGTAAGTTGGATTCCTATTTATTTTATTCTCTTTGAAGCAATTGTGAATGGGAGTTCACTCATGATTTGGCTCTCTGTTTGTCTGTTATTGGTGTATAAGAATGCTTGTGATTTTTGTACATTGATTTTGTATCCTGAGACTTTGCTGAATTTGCTTATCAGCTTAAGGAGATTTTGGGTTGAGACAATGGGGTTTTCTAGATATACAATCATGTCGTTTGCAAAGAGGGACAATTTGACTTCCTCTTTTCCTAATTAAATACCCTTTATTTCCTTCTCCTGCCTCATTGCCCTGGCCAGAACTTCCAACACTATGTTGAACAGGAGTGGTGAGAGAGGGCATCCCTGTATTGTGCCAGTTTTCAAAGGGAATGCTTCCAGTTTTTGCCCATTCAGTATGATATTGGCTGTGGGTTTGTCATAGATAGCTCTTATTATTTTGAGATACATCCCATCAATACCTAATTTATTGAGTGTTTTTAGCATGAAGGGTTGTTGAATTTTGTCAAAGGCTTTTTCTGCATCTATTGAGATAATCATGTGTTTTTTGTCTTTGGCTCTGTTTATATGCTGGATTACATTTATTGATTTGCATATATTGAACCAGCCTTGCATCCCAGGGATGAAGCCCACTTGATCATGGTGGATAAGCTTTTTGATGTGCTGCTGGATTCATTTTGCCAGTATTTTATTGAGGATTTTTGCATCAATGTTCATCAAGGATATTGGTCTAAAATTCTCTTTTTCTGTTGTGTCTCTGCCCGGCTTTGGTATCAGAATGATGCTGGCCTCATAAAATGAGTTAGGGAGGATTCCCTCTTTTTCTATTGATTGGAATAGTTTCAGAAGGAATGGTACCAGTTCCTCCTTGTACCACTGGTAGAATTCGGCTGTGAATCCATCTGGTCCTGGACTCTTTTTGGTTGGTAAACTATTGATTATTGCCACAATTTCAGATCCTGTTATTGTTCTATTCAGAGATTCAACTTCTTCCTGGTTTAGTCTTGGGAGAGTGTGTGTATCGAGGAATTTATCTATTTATTCTAGATTTTCTAGTTTATTTGCGTAGAGGTGTTTGTAGTATTCTCTGATGGTAGTTTGTATTTCTGTGGGATCGGTGGTGATATCCCCTTTATCATTTTTTATTGCATCTATTTGATTCTTCTCCCTTTTTTTCTTTATTAGTCTTGCTAGCGGTCTATCAATTTTGTTGATCCTTTCAAAAAACCAGCTCCTGGATTCATTAATTTTTTGAACGGTTTTTTGTGTCTCTATTTCCTTCAGTTCTGCTCTGATTTTAGTTATTTCTTGCCTTCTACTAGCTTTTGAATGTGTTTGTTCTTGCTTTTCTAGTTCTTTTAATTGTGATGTTAGGGTGTTTTTTCTTTTGTTGAGACAGAGTCTCACTCTGTCATCCAGGCTGGAGCGCAGTGGCACGATCTTGACTCACTGCCACCTCCGCCTCCTGGGTTCAAGTGATTCTCACAGCTCCGGCTCCCAAGTAGCTGGGGTTACAGGCATGTGCCACCATACCTGGATGATTTTTGTATTTTTTGTGGAGACAGGGTTTCGCTATTTTGGCCAGGCTGCTTTGGAACTCCTGGACTCGAGAGATCCGCCCTCTTCAGGCTTCCAAGGTTCTGGAGTTACAGGCATGAGCCATGGCACCTGGACTGTATTAGTTTGTTGATGGGTATGCTTTGACTTTTCTGTATAAGTGGATCAGGAAATTTTAAGAAGACTAAACTACAGAACCCCAGAAATATAAAAATACTCGTATTTCACAGAGGTTCAAAAATAAATATATTTATAAACTTTCATTCTATAAGTAGATATTTATGCTGTTGAATTTAGAACATTCTCTGCAATGATAAGTAAATTGTACCTTTGAATTCTCATCGGAGCTTTGCAATTCTTAAATTACAGGACAAATTGAAGAACATAATAGCTACTTGTAGTATATTGACATAAGTGATTCTGATGTGTTTCTTTAATAATATGTCATAGCATTCTACCATTAGCTTGGACATTTATTTATTTATTTTTGGTGGAGGGGTCATGTCTTGGTCATCTTACTAAATTCAACCTCTTTCCTTATATGGCAGCTTACTCTTACTGGTATTAGGATTTTCTGCTTTAGTTAATGTCACTTGAAATATATTTTGACTGTTGAAATCTTCACAGCATGTTTGAGGAAATTTATTTTTTAAATTTTCTTAGGTATATTTCTGTCACTCTGGCATGTTAACAAACACAATAACCCAAAAGACCCCAAAACCTAGTGTAATCTCTTTTCAATCCAAGCATGAGGATTCATCTTCATATTCACACTGCATGAATGTTTGGTAGACTTTGACAGGCTTGCGTATAATCAATTATATATGTCCCTTTTCTTTTAGAGTCTCCTGATAAAGATGGTCTTCTGAAGGTAATAACTTTTATATTTTTATCTTGAATATTAACTACTTATTTTATGAAGTATACATTATATAGTAATTATTGTGTTTCCAAACCCATTTAGCCTACCTGTGGAATGAAAATTTCTCTTCCAAATAAAGCCTTAGAATTGAAGGACAGAGAAACATTCAAAGCAGGTAAATTTTGTAATTTTAATTTTACTGTGGAATTAAGAACATTAAAATATTTGAAGTGCCAAGAGCCTTTTTATTCCCAATGTTGTTTTCTTTTCAAAATTGGATGGGAAAATTTGACACAAATAATGCCAATGTTAGTATTCATGTTTGAGAAAATGCCATTTACAAGCGTAAGATTTAGAGATTTAAAAAAAATTCTACTGTACCTCATGTGGTTCTTCTTTAATATCCTGATACTATAAAGTTTCCAATTTGCAATTTCTATACGTGCTTGGTTTTTTTTTTTTTTTTTTTTTTTTTTTTTTTTTTTTTTTTTTTTTTTTTTTTTTTTTTTTTTTTTGAGACGGAGTCTCGCTCTGTCGCCCAGGTCGGACTGCGGACTGCAGTGGCGCAATCTCGGCTCACTGCAAGCTCCGCTTCCCGGGTTCACGCCATTCTCCTGCCTCAGCCTCCCGAGTAGCTGGGACTACAGGCGCCCGCCACCGCGCCCGGCTAATTTTTTGTATTTTTAGTAGAGACGGGGTTTCACCTTGTTAGCCAGGATGGTCTCGATCTCCTGACCTCATGATCCACCCGCCTCGGCCTCCCAAAGTGCTGGGATTACAGGCGTGAGCCACCGCGCCCGGCCACGTGCTTGGTTTTAAGGCAGGTGAATTTTGACACTGTGAAATATTTGCAGTGGTTCAAATGCTGATTGGAATTCTGATCTTTACTTTGAATAAAGTTTCACTTGCTGACATGACAGTTGTGAGTGTTGTCACTCTGAGAATCTAAAGAAAATCGGTTTCTTGTTTTTCTGATTAGGTGATTGTGTGTGTGTGCGTGTGTGACTTATAATTTTTAAAAATCATTACTTGATGACTCTTTGCTAGACACGGTGTTTTAGAAGCGTGACTCTAAAGCACTTGGCCTTAGTATCTTTTTATGCTACTGTAATTAATTGCCTAGAGGTACAAAACAGCCTGAATTAGCTTTTGTTGTCATTCCCATGCATGTTTAAAATATGTTACAACAGGCTGTGCATGGTGGCACATGCCTGTAATCCTAGCATTTTGGGAGACCAAGGTGGGCAGATAACTGAAGGTTAGGAGTTCCAGACCAGCCTGGTCAACATAGTGAAACCCTATCTCTACTAAAAATAACAAACAATAGCCGGTTGTGGTGGTGGGTGCCTGTAATCTCAGCTACTCTTGAGGCTGAGGCAGGAGAATTGCTTGAACCTAAGAGGCAGAAGTTGCAGTGAGCAAAGATCGTGCCACTCCAGCCTTGGTAACAGAGTGAGACTCCCATCTCAAAAAGCAAACAAGCAAACAAACAAAACCCCAGAAATTCACCACATATGTGTGTGGTTCTAGACTATGTCTAGAATTTGTTTTCATGTCTTAAATTTTCAATAAATAGTTGTACACTGTACATATTATTTTGGAACTTCCTTTTTTTTTACTTATCTTATATTTTAGGTGTACTCAATACAGTTAGCTCCGCTTTGATTTCAGGCTTCATAGTTTGCGATTTTAACTCTAAAACACATTTAATTAGGCTGTCTTTCATAGCCACTGAAAGTCAACATCAAATGATAGCTTATATCAGAGAGCTTTTATTGAAGTGGGAATATTTACTGCTTCAACTAATATTAGAAATTAAAATGAAAATATTTAAAATACTGGAATGCATTTTAAATATTTGTGTTTTTGGAGATGGAGTTTCCCTCTTTCGCCCAGGCTGGAGTGCAACGGTGTGATCTTACCTCACTACCCCCTCTGCCTCCTGGACTCAAGTGATTCTCCTCCATCAGCCTCTGAGTACAAATACTCATTTGTAAACCAGTCACTAGAAAAGCAAATGTTCTTACTGTGATTAGCTTAGAATAATGATTTCTCATTTTGTAGATGAGATGGGAGTAATGGAATAATAAATATGTAAATAAACTTGTGTTTCTGCTGTAAGAAAGAAAAAATAATTTCTATGCATTGGAAGCCAGCAATGTTTTCTGCACAGATTCATTGGAATTATTTGAGCAGGGGAGTCCCAAGATTAGATTTAAGTATCAGAGCATTCTGGTCATGGTATAAACCAGACATTGGCAAACTTTTCTTGTAAAGTGCCAAACAGGAAATATATTAGGTGATGTGGTCTCTATCACAGCTTTTCAACTCTACCATTGTAGCATGAAAGCAGTCATAGATAACATGTGAAGAAATAGGTGTGATTGTACTCCTATAAAACTTTGTCTAAAATCCATTTGGTAAGCTGAATTTGGAATTCCATAACCATGGGTTGTGGAATACAACAGTTTGCATTGTGTCCCTTAATTGAGGGACCACGATACCAAGTCTCCACTAGCTTTAAGCAGCTTTTTCAATACTTTCATATACTGTTTCTTTTGTGCTGATAATTGTTGTCCCATGATGAAACCCTCGCCTGAACAATTTCCCCCGAACCTGGAAATCCTGAGCAGGCACCAATGACTTACTCGCTGCCTGTGCAGTTCTTTTCACCTTCATATTTGAGGGTTCCATCACGATCCTTTTGCATAGTTTGTCTTGCCACCTGCCGGGTCCATCCCATGGACACTGACCTAAGTGACAGATGAGAGACATATACTGAAACAGATTTTTTGCCTGTCAGTGCAGCTAAGGGGTTCTGCTGCCTGAGTCTGCATTCTTGGCCTCGATAAGCCTGCAAAGTTCACATTTATTTAGTACAGATTAAATGACAAAACTGTTGAGTAAACATCACTAGAGGGTAATTAAGATTGCCAACCCCCAGTACAAAGCAATCATGCACCCTCGGATGATCAAACTTTTGTCTTAGGACCACGTGAGTAAACAAGGTATTTAGATAAACTCCTCCACATTCCCTAGATATTTGCTCTATTGCTACCAACTCAAAGTAAAGAAGATTAGGCTGTTTTCAGCCAAATCATTTACTGAAGCTATGCAACCCCCCGGCCTTCCAAGAAGGTTTGTGTCTATTTCCTATAACTATCTTTATAATTTTTTTAACCACTTTGTCCGATCCCCTACAGGTAGGGTTGCTTTTTTCCTGTGAAAGCCATCAGTTAAGAGGCCATGTCTAACTAGGAAATATAAATATAAAATAAATAAGTTTGTATTTCCAGTGGCAATGGAAAGATAAAGCAAATGCAGAAAAGAGGTACAGTTAATATGATTTAGTGATTATTGATTTGAAAAAGCTAGGGGAGAGAAGAAATTTCAGGTCATTCATAAGTTTCCACATGGGGAATGCTCATGGGGAAGGAGTAAGAAATTGTCAGGTCAACAGAAAAGTGCAAACAGTCATGGGACAGACCAACCGTTTTCTTTACATATTGAGTTCAATGAAACATTCATGTGGGATATTTTCAGTAGGTAATTGGTTTATACGTATTTCTAGCTGGAGATAGAACTCTGGTTGGAGATGCAGGCTTAGAATAATTTTATTATAATTATTAAGCAAAGCCATAGATCTCACTGAGCTTATCCATGATGCAGAAGATGTAGAATAAGAAGAAAGCCATTGACAAAATCCTGGGAGTATCAACATTTCACAGAGTCACAGGACTTGGTAAAGGAGACTGAGCAGTGGCTAATGAAAAGTAGGAGAGGAGTCAGAGAAAGTGATGTTGCAAATTTCTTTTAAATATGAGAATTTCAGCAGTAAGATTATAACTGAAAAGTCAATTGGATTTAACTTACAAGTTCTACAGTGGTAATCTGTTCAAAAGAATTATTTTAGAGTTGTTAGGTATAATGTTGATGTAGTTAATATTTCTGGAGTCCAAGAGGAAATCTCCCAAGATCCTACCTAACTTTTTGCAACTAAAGCAGCATATATACACAGGGTCTAGGAAATTGTCTAGACTGGGGAGTACACATGCCAGCATTTTTCCAGAATTGTCAAAACCTAAGGGTCATGTGTGAGGAAAAGTGTTGTCTTTTTTATCTGCTTCTTGTGGAGAGTGGAGATCTGTATTGTTTCTCTCTCTCTCTCTCTCCCCCTCTCTCTCTCTCTCTCACACACACACACACACACACACACACACACACAAGTACAGTAATTCATCCTTATCCAAGGCGTGTATTTTCTAAGACACCCATTGAATGTCTGAAACTGTGGATAGTATGGAACCCTATACATCCATGCTTTTTTTCTTCTATAAGTGCATATTTGTGATAAAGTTTAATTCATAAATTAGGCACAGTGAGAGATTAACAGGAACTCATAATAAAATATAACAATAACAATATATTGTAATCTCAAAGTTAGGTGAATATGGTCCCTCAAAGTGTCTTGTATTGTACTCGCCCTTCTTTTTCTTGTGATGACTGTGAGATGATATAATGCCTATGTGATGAGATGAAGTCAGATGAATGAGGTAGGAGTTGTCATGTGGTGTTAGGCTACTAATTATTTCTTGCTGTCTGACCACACATCAGAAGGAGGATCATCTGCTTCATGTGACCCTGGATCATTGAGCCATGATAATGTTGATGGTTGGGATACAGGAACAGACCATTTTGATGACTAATGGGCAGATAGCATATACAAAGGGATGATTCATGACCTGGATGAGATGGAACAGGATGCCTTAATATTTCATTGTACTCCTTAGAATGACACATTATTTAGGACTTATGACTTGTATATTTCTGGAATTCCACATTTAATATTTTTGGACTATCATTGACCATGAGTAACTGAAATCACAGAAATTAAAGAGACCCAGATTTGCAACTGGTGTGTGAGGGAAGTCTTGTGAGACTGAGCACTCAGTCTGTGGGATCTGAGACTATTTCTAGATAGACAGGGTTGGAATTAAATAGAGGACAGTCAGCTGTTTTTTTCTACAGAATTCATTGCTTATTTGTTGGTGGAGAAAATCCTCCACACATTTGGTCGCAGATGTCTTCTGTTTTAATGATTTTGGTATGAGAGCAGAGGGAAATCATGTTGTGTGTGTTTCTTTCTACACATACAGCAGATAAGAGACTACTGTATACTCTGTTCTAACTGCTTCTAGTCCATTTGTCTAGAAATTATACTTTCTAAGTTTGACACTGTCCACTTATACTAATTCTGCTAATAATACAGTTTTCTGTCAGTCTTATAGGGTTCTGTTTGGATGATGACTATTGTACACTGTAGTTCACTTGCAGAGATCAAATTGTGATAAATTCCATTTTTCCTTGCATTTGAGAACTACAAAGGAGGGGAAATAAGCATTCTTAATGCATTAATTTCCTACCAATAGTATACTTAATAATAATTTTACTATAGTCTCAACGTATGGTCCCAAAAGAATGCTTTGTAACAAATCATCTGAGTCTTTGTAACAAAGTGTCAGAGTATTATGCTTTTTAAACCAAGACCTTAATCATGCATGAAAGTGTGCGTGATTCTTTTAAGTTAAGTTGAAGTCTTGCAATGTCTCCCAGGCTGCTTTCAGACTCCTGGACCTCTCAGATGATCCTCCTGCCTCACCTTCCCAAGTAGCTGGGATTACAGGCATGTGCCATCGTGCCCTCTTATGTTTTTAATATTCTGTATTTTTTATTTATATTTGTTGATTTAATGTATTTTACTCTTTTCTTTAATAGAGGATGTGAGTTCTGTAGAGTCCACATTCAGGTAAGACTTTGCGGTTTTTTAAAACGTATATGTTAACTCAGAAAATATAGAGAAAAGAAATCACTATCTGCTGAGTATTCTACTCTGGGCTAGACAACGTATTATGTGCTTAATATTTATCATCTCACATAGTCATCACACAGCTTTGCAAAGCATCTGTGCTACTGTCACCTACTTTGTATTAATCAGGCAAATGTGATTCAGAGAGGTTGATTAATTGGCCTATGATGTCATAGCTAAAAAGTAGCTGACCCTTGAGTTTGCCATCTGCTTACCTTGCTCCCTAATCCCTTCCCTTCCCCCTTGGCATAGATTGATGGAGACCTGTGGATCACTAGGATCAAGGTACAGGACCAGATGGGATCAATTCACAAAGTCACATTTTGTTATATGTTAACTCTTTTTAGAGATTTCCCATAGAACATTGATTAATCCAAGACTTTGTTCTAACATGTTTAACCGTTAAAGTGGTAACCAGTACCTTGTTTTTATCACCAACGTTTTTAGAGCAGATCTTACTTAGCTGTGGCCACAAGACATAGGCTTTTGTTTCATATGCAATACCAGGTAAATCCTATAGATGGATTATTTCACTCTTAGTGGAGAATATCTACATATAGATATGTTAATCATATTTAGAGGCTATTTCTTATAGAATTCTCTATTTACTGACTTCTTAGTTTAGTTCTTCTTCAAAGCAGTCCCCTCTTAGTTGCATGCACTCTTCATTTTCTTTTCTAGAGTCTTTTCTCTTCTTTCATGACTTATTTATAATCTTTTCCTGATTACTTTCTTCTCTGCTTTCCTTGGTGTTCTTTTCTTCTATTATTTTATTTCTTTCTGCCAGCCCCATTTTTCTATAGCTAAAATTAAAGCACATGGAATTTTAGGATTTTAAGGACTCTTGGAGACTAATCAAAATACTTTCATATTTTAAACTCTATTTAATATCCTGGAAAAATTGTTGTTCACATGGAGAATCTGAAACTCAAAATGACTTATTTAAATATAAGAGGTAGCAGAAGTAATATTTAAACTCATTTCAAAGCCCATTACTCTTGTTTTTATATCATCATGTAAGTGAGTGTTTGAATAATAGAAAGGAAAAGGGGATGGATCTGATTAAACAAATGGAAAAGAATAATGGAATTAGCTGGAAAACCCAGTAGAAGTAGATAAGAATGGAATTATCAGGGAAAGGCCAAGTTTGAAGAGAAACAATCCCAGGATTGGTAGGAGTAAGGGTTTTACCAAAGAGATCAGAATATTGGATCTTATGACAAGTTTGATGAAGATAAATTAGAGGACCAAAAACACAGAAGACATTGGGAGTTATCTAGAAAGGCATACTAAAATAGGGTTCAAAGAAGTCCTGAATAGATTGCTGCTTTTTTTGCTTGTTTAATTGGAGGAATGGGCAAACTTCAAGATTTCTATTGAAAGATTTAGAAAAAAAGACCAACTCAGAAAAGTCTCCACAATCAGAATAGAAATGTCCTATTCTGTTCTTTCACCCCAAATCTCACAGGAGTGGCTTAGAGCCCCTTCAGTGCTAGGGGATTGAAGGTTGCTGAATTACATAGATCTGTGGCCTAAGGCAGGTGTCCCCTCCCGTTTGCCTCTTTTTCCAAGCCTCTGATGTCCTACCCATGTACATGTAAAGCAGGGGGAAGATTGGCTGTCAAATTAGTCATGGAGCTTCAGTTGGGTTTTTGGTAACATGACTGAGACTCTGTTTAGTTGTTTTTCAGGAACAGGTAAATACAGAGCTTATTGGTTGGTCATTGAGTTTATCTTTTCAGTAATCTGTGCTTAGATGAGCTAAATATTTAAAGGTTGGAGACTGCCATGAAGCTCTGCAGAAGAAAGATCTGGAAGTGGGAGACACTTTCACTATATATAGTGGCTCCCACTTCCAGATCTTTCTCTCTGTATATATAGTACTTAGAGAAATCCAACTATCAGGACTCAGTTTTTCTAGCAGTCTCTCTCCTTGGGTATAAGTACCTACGAAGATTTTTAAGGCTTTGCTAGTTTATGTAGACCTGAACAAGGAAGGAAAAGTATAAAATAAGTAGTTAGACTTTCTTACTTTTAATGTTTCAATTTTTGTGAGAAAAATATTCCCAATAACAAATATAGATTTGTATTTTGACATTTGTAGGTTCAGCTTTTCAACATTTCAGATATTTCAGGGCACTCTCTTGTAGCGTTTTAGGGTGAAGGGAAGCAACAAGGCCTTTTTAAGTGGTTTTTATGCTGAAAAACAAAGAATGTCATTTTCCAGTGACACAGATTAGTCTTTGAATCAGAGATAGACAATGGATAAGGGACAAGGTAACTGTACCTTTCTTCCTCATTTTAGGTTATCAAGTTTGTTCCAGTTTAGATATCAAAAGTTATGTCAGCCATTAAGTACATTTTCAGTTCATCATAGAGGACAGCTTGTGAGGACTAATTATACTCAGGGTATGCCAATTATATTGGCGGTCACTATTTTTTATGGAACTAAGAGTGAGTGTTCATTGGATGTTACAGGTTGGAGAGATAGAGTCAAAAATAGGTAAATGCAATCTTTTTTAAAAACAGAGGGGCCGGGCGCGGTGGCTCACGCCTGTAATCCCAGCACTTTGGGAGGCCGAGGCGGGCAGATCACGAGGTCAGGAGATGGAAACCATCCTGGCTAACACGGTGAAACCCCGTCTCTACTAAAAATACAAAAAATTAGCCGGGCGCAGTGGCGGGCTCCAGCCCCAGCTACTGGGGAGGCTGAGGCAGGAGAATGGCATGAACCCCGGGAGGCAGAGCTTGCAGTGAGCAGAAATCGAGCCATCTCACTCCAGTCTGGGCGACAGAGCGAGACTCCGTCTCGGAAAAAAAAAAAAAAAAAAACGAAAACCAGATGGCATATTTTAATTATGCCAAGAAACATGATTTAATATATTGAGGACTGATCTTTCCCCAGATTTTGTTTTTTGTTCTCATTTTTTGGAGTGAGCACTAAGATATGAACTGGCAGGTTTTCTTTTTAAATATATGAATTTGCTCATTTTTGTTTTATCTTTTTTCTCTAGTCTTTTTGGCAAACCGACTACTGAAAATTCACAGTCTACAAAAGTTGAGGAAGACTTTAATCTTACTACCAAGGTAAAATAGTCTCTTGTTAAATTGATTTTCTCAGTTGGAATCTAATTCTGTATAGTATTTACTTTTCATGTTTAGCAGTGGTGTATGTATCATAATTTCATGTTGGTAATATAAAGTTGGTCACATAAAAACATTTTATAGAAATATGAGTAGTTGATTTAAACAGTTTTTTTTTTGTTTTTTTGTTTGTTTGTTTTACTTCAGTAAATAACAAATGATTGGTAAATACTCTGAGGGTGTGAGGGCCAAAAACCGGAATGGGCTGTAGAAATACATAGTGACAGGAACATTATATTAGAAAAAACTTTTCCACAATAGAGAATATATAAAATCTGGTAAAGGTTTCTTTGCATAAGTAAACTTACTGTGACTTTTAAAATTATTCTATTGTAACTTTAAAAACACCTCATCCTTAAAATTATCTTTAATGGATCCAGTTACTTATTACAGTAATCAAGGAATCTGTCTGATAAACTTCAGTTCTGAAACTGTGCCACATAGCATATAGGTTTTTTTGGCGCATATTATTTTGATATCATGTAGTTTTTAGGAGAGAGCTTTTTATCAGTTTCTCTTCTTGGTTCTTTAATTAAACACCAAAATAATATTAGAAATTGTGAAAATTTATTTGGGCATGATGGTGCATGCCTGTAGTTCCAGCTACCAAGGAGGCTGATGCAGGAGGATTGCTTGAGCCCAAGAGTTTGAGACCAGTGTGGGCACATAGCGAGACCTTATCTCTAATTTTGAATATAATTTAGAAATTTAGAAATGTAAATTCTCTTTCTCAGAATCTGTATTATTAAGGCATGTGAGGATGTTTTCTAAGTTATTTCATTAAAAGTATACTTTAAATTCTTCAACTAAATGAAGAATGCAGGTTTCACCCCAAGTAAAAAACCAGTTCTGGAAGCAGAGACTCTTAATAAGCATATGGTAAGATTTTAATTTCAGAGTTTTTAAATTGCAGTTTTTAAACATATTGTTCAAAGATCTTTGATCACATTTGAAAATTTTAAATTTCAGAAGATTTTGTATTTAGTTATTTAAATAATCGTTTTGGAGCTCTTGCATCACTATGAGATACTGCAGGTTAGAAAACATACTTGTGTGCATCCTAGTGTACCCAGAATACAGTCTTGCCTGTAAAAAGCATTTTAAGCGGTTTTCAATGTGAATAAATAAGCAAATGAATTTTTATGTAATGGAATGTTACAAGTAAGATAATATGCATAATATACCTTATAATTAAATCTAATGCGTTTCTAAAATATGACTTAAATTTATATTTTCTTTTAATATTTAGAATGCATAAATTAATGTGCGTTATCTTGAGAAAATATGTCATAAATAAGAAGACAATAAATCAGAGATATGTAGTAAATAGGAAAGAAGATTACACTATATTTTCTAGTATCCCCAAGTGGAGTTCAGATTTTAAAAAATTTAATATATTTTAGTCTCAACTCATGTTTTGTTTGTTTGCTTTTTGTTTTTTTGAGATGGAGTCTTGCTCTGTCGCCCAGGTTGTAGTGCAGTGGCGTGATCTCGGCTGACTGCAACCTCTGCCTTCTTGGTTCAAGTAATTCTCCTGCGTCAGCCTCCTGTGTAGCTGGGACAGCAGGTTCATGCCACCATGCCCAGCTAATTTTTGTATTTTTAGTAGAGACAGGGTGTCACCATGTTGCCCAGGATGGTGTCGATCTCTTCACCTCGTGATCTGCCCTCCTAGGCCTCCCCAAAATCCTGGGATTACAGGCGAGAACCACCGCGTCCAGCCGAAACTCATGTTCTTTTTTTTTTCTTTTTTGAGACGGAGTCTCGCTCTGTCGCCCAGGTTGGAGTGCAGTGGCGCCATGTGGGCTCACTTGCAAGCCCCACCTCCCGGGTTCACACCATTCTCCTGCCTCAGCCTCCAGAGCAACTGGAACTACAGGCATCCGCCACCACGCCCAGCTAATCTTTTCTATTTTTAATAGAGAGGGGGTTTCATCGTGTTAGCCAGGACGAAACTCATGTTCTATTAAACATATCTTTTCAAGGAATACATTACTCTAAAATTCTGATTACCAATACTTTCTTCAGGTGAAAAGTTTATGAAACATTCATTTTTAAATTTTTTCTCTCTCTGTAGTAAGAATATTCTCGCTTTTAGGTGTTGGCTGAAGACCATGTTTAACTAATTGTCTTATTATGTAATATTAAAATTAAAATCTTTATTACACAAGTATTAACAAAATAACAAATTGTAGTGTAAATACTGATCAGCAATATTATTAACAAAAGTCTGTATTATTTGTATTTCATCACATGTCTTAGGGTAGCTGTTTCTCCTTTTCTTTCACGACTGAAGCTCATGATTGACGCATCATGGCTCTTGTTTGTTTCTTCCGCCTCCTTCACCTTTTAAAAAATGATTTACCCCAGACTTTTTTAATCACAGAATACATTTCTTCAGTGTCTGCTTTTGAGGGCATCTCTGTCTCAATTGTCAGCATATTTATTTACAGGTCTCTATTTAGTTGCTATGTATGATTTTCATTACTCAATCATTGCCCCCCGCATGATTTATTCTTTTTTCTCTGTTTCTTGGAAGAAGCAGAATTTATACGATTATTTATTCTTAGCTTTTTGCCACACAGAATAGAAACAACCTATACCATTTCAATGCAAACCCAGTTAAATAAGGTACTATTAAAAACTAAACTCTCACATTTTTCCATACAAGAGGTAATTAATACAACTGTAAATTGTGAAGAGATATTTCAAAATATAACATGTAATTTTAAAATTTTAATTATTTCTACAGTACTATAAACTGTGTAAGAATAAATTTTTGTCGTAGGTAATTTTGATTAAAAAAAATCTAATGGATACCAACATATTTGTATAATAATAAATTAGATGAAGGGGATAATAGGAAATAATTCATTGAAGAAGGGTAAGATAAACACAGAGACTACATGAGAGAGGATGAGACAGATTCTTATAAAAGCACAGCAAAAATAGTGGTTTAAATGAGAGCAGGAACTCTCTAGAATAAAAGATATGATATAAATTATTTAAAATAAAAATTAAGAAAACATAGCCAGCTAATAAAAGATAGCTCAGGTGTTTTTGAGTGACTTATAGCTGATTTTAATAAAAAGCTGACAGAAAATATAAGGACGAGTATAGGTAGGAGCAATTTGTTGTACTCTTTAAAATACCTAGTAGAGAATAATTTGAATGTTTCTAGCATAAAGGAAAGATAAATACTTAAGGTGATTAATATCTCAATTATTCTGATTTGATTATGTGAATGTATTAAGTGATAATATGTACCCCCAAAACGTACATTTATAGTGTGTCAACAAAAAAATTATAAACAAGGAATGAAAATTTAATTCTTACTTCTTTTAGTAACTTTATGTCTTATATTTAATCTAGTCATACTTATAATTTTGTAGAATGCAAAGTGAAATCTGTTTTAGGCCTTGCCAACTTTATTGTGAATTATTACTTTTTGATTCTTTGGTTTCTGGTTTAAGATTTCTAACTTAATATTTGACATATTCTTAGGTTATTTAACTAATTTATCTTACTCTTTTATATAACCTTGGTAGCTGTTTTGAATATTTTTGATAATAGAGTATAAATAAGCATTTTATTTAAACTTGTTATTAAAATTAAAGTTTCTGATCATATGAACATGGTTCTTAATCTGTCTCTTAAAAGAGAAGAATCACTTTTAAGCTACAACACTGTCAAAGAAATGTAGAAATTATTAATCTCTAGAAATACTCTGACATTTTTGCTCATAATATAGGTATGTAATGGTATTATATACACACATCAAATGAATGTAATCAGTATTTGTCAATTGTTTTAAAGTAAAGTACCTATTATCATAGAATCATACGTAAGGGAAGATTTAACAGAGTAAACAAACTTATCATTGGAAGAATACTTTTTACACTTAAAAGTATCTCTTGCAATGGGGATATTTTATATTATTTCCAGGAAGCCTTATTAACTTTAGTCTTCATAACTATTACACCTTGCACATATATTTGTTTATTTCTAAAACTCAGGAATCTTGTTGACTTGAACTTTTTAGTTTCTTTCTTCACTTCTCCTATGAATACTGAATTCTGCTTGACAATCATAGATATATGTAAAAACTATTAAATCATCAACTTGAATAATTGTTGCTTAATTTTCTTTATATGAAATCTTTTCTCCAATTTTAAACTACCATCCTATATGGTGTAAATAGGCAATTTGAGCTAGTATTATATTGTTTCATAAGAAAAGCATGTGAATTTTAAAACAGAGTTTCACATTTCTATCTCACTTTATAGTAGTACTTAAAAATGCCTTATAATTCTATGGGTAAGCATTTCTCTTGTACAATTAAAAATTTCAAGGTTTTTATAAAGGTCATTTTGCAGAATCTTGTTTTAGAATTAAATGTTTTCATTCAATTCAAAGATGCATATTGCAAAAAATATTTCAGAAATAAATATTTACCTATATAAATAAAATTATATTCTTGAAATAAATTTGGAAATATATAACTGAGAAACTTAATCCCATGTTTTTCTCTCTCCTTTGATTTCATTTTCAAAATTTCAGCAGTCTGCATAGATTTGTGTTGCTTAATTCTACCCATTTAGTCTATCTTATAAATATTTATTTTCTAATCACTATGTAATTTTCCTCATGTAGGTCATCTACTCATACTCCAAATGTATTTATCTAGATCTTTCTTCTAAGCCCCATAGATGCCTCAAATCTTATAGGTCTCAAACTGAAAACATCATTTTTATTTTTTTCTGACTCTTTTCTGACTCTTTGTAATCTACTCTGTCATCTGGTTTCCCCATCCTAGTAAATAACAACTAGGAAGTAGCCATGAAATGCTCAAGCACTTCAACCGGCACTTCAACCGTCCCCTACATCCTGCACTTCAACCCTTCTCCATGTCACCCATCCAGTCACACACCTAATTTTGTATTTTCTGCCTTCTTATAATTTTCCATATCTTATTACCATAATTAACTCTCTACCTATAATTTTGAAGTACTCCTTTCTAGTTTTGCCCCATCTCCCCATGTTCATCTTTACATCACTGGAAAAGTCACCTTTCTAAAATATACTTGTAATGATGTAACTCATCTGCATATTGAGTGGATACCCATTACATGAAGGGGTAAGTTCACATTCTAGGGTGATATATATCTTATATGGTTTGGTCTCATTTTATCTCTTTAACTCATTTGCTCTGACTGTGTTCCAGTTTTACCACATCACTCTGGCATCCCTCAGTGGCCATGTTGTTTCATGCCTTATTATTTTGCACATGCTATTGCACCTAGAGTCTTTGTATCCTGACTCTGCACGTTGTCTGTCCTTCCCAATATGGCCCCATTATGGCAGCATTTTCTAAGCTTTTCAGGTAAAACTGATTTTTCTCTCCTTTGTGCCCTTATGTATTTTATTGACTTAAATTGTAGAACTGGTGAATTTTACTTTTCTGTTCTTATTTGTTTTCACATATCTCTACCATTTCTTGAACATAAGCCAGAATCTATCTTCCATGTATATTTTCTGCTTCTCCCAGGATAGTGCCTATGATTTGACAGATACAAAGTATGTTTTTTGTTGTTGTTGTTGTTTGTCTTTCTGACAAATTGATTGAGTGAGTGAATAAATACAATTTTTTTCTGAAGTTTTTTTTTTGTGTTTGCTTTCTGTGTTTTGTTTGTAATAGGAGGGAGCAACAAAGACAGTAACTGGACAACAGGAACGTGATATTGGCATTATTGAACGAGCTCCACAAGATCAAACAAGTAATGACAATTTTATTTTTTATACCAAAATAATAGAAATGGTAAATTAGTGAATATCTCTGAAAATTTTTCTATGTTTAAATGCTGTTATATAGAAAACAATTTTTTAGCCCAAAATACAATGTCTACTTAAAAAAGTACATTTTGATATCTTTCTTCATACTATCAACTCTTTTTTTTCTGAACCTGCTTCAATTCTGAAATTCTATTTTTGCTATTATTTTTATTTTTGAAATACTCATAAATGGAAATAGATTTGTATATAGTTTTATGATTTACAGTAATAAACATTCTCATATACATGTCTGTGAATAACATTTTGTAGATAAGATGCCCACATCAGAATTAGGAAGAAAAGAAGATACAAAATCAACTTCAGATTCTGAGGTACTGTGTATTGTTGTTGTTGTTATTTTAAAACTTAAGTACTCAGTAATCTTAAAACATAAAAAGATGATTTGACTTTATTCTCTCACCTCTGATTATGTCCATAAGGCGGGTGGATCACGAGGTCAGGAGATCGAGACCATCCTGGCTAACATGGTGAAATCTCGTCTCTACTAAAAATACAAAAAATTTAGCTGGGCATGGTGGCGGGCACCTGTAGTCCCAGCTATTTGGGAGACTGAGGCAGGAGAATGGCGTGAACCCAGAAGGTGGAGCTTGCAGGGAGCCCAGATCATGCCACTGCATTCCAGCATGGGCAACAGAGCGAGACTCCATCTCAAAAAACAAACCAAAAAAAAAGAAATTATTTTCTGACATTTATCAGAACATACTTTATAATCATGTGCCAAGTAGATAACATCTGCATAGTGCAATTCTGCTAATTTGCAGGATTAATTTTGAAGCCAGTGTAGAATAGTGCAAAACAAAATAAGGCTTAGAAGGCATTAGGAATCTACTTGAGTTCTGAAGTTAAGTTTGTCTAAAAACTAAATGATTTCTCCACATTCATTTATGAGCAACTGTATGATTCTGTGTATATCTAGATGTACAAAAGCTCTAACTGGATTCG
Organism: Homo sapiens; assembly: GCF_000001405.40. Taxonomy (NCBI): domain Eukaryota; kingdom Metazoa; phylum Chordata; class Mammalia; order Primates; family Hominidae; genus Homo; species Homo sapiens. The sequence goes on from NC_000018.10 coordinate 14,838,308, forward strand.
AGGAGAAAGAGTTTAAACTGTAGTCTTAGTCTTACTCAACTTGGAACTTGAAAAGATAATTCCTGGGACTCTGAAAGTATTGGCATATTTTGATTATCCAGTATAGATCTGAAGGAACATTTCAGGAGTTGGATAAACATGAGAAATAGGACACCTGTAAAACTATAATAACAACAATTTGGTTGAGTAGTATTTTAATAAGTGGACATTTTTTTTTCACAAATAGAACTCTTTGAGTCCATTTATGGCTGCCATGTTTGCAGCCACATAGGTATCAAATAATAATGATGTATTCCAAGGTCACAACTGTGGATGTGGAAGAGATAGCAAAGGCCTCACCAGTTAGGTAGAAGCAGCAGCTGCATAGTGGTAACAGCAATGAGTGGATGTCAAAAGATAAGTCTGTATTTGGTTCTGTCACTTACTAGCTATGGGAACTTGGAAAAAAATCGTTTAATCTAATCAAATACCAGTAACTTTGTTTATAAAAATAGCGCTCATATCTACCTCTTAGTTGCATGTGATGAAATAATGTTGTAACAAATGTGAAAACATTTTTTAAACTGGAAAGTCTGTATACAAATGTAAGACAAAATGATTAAAGTGGCATATATGTGAAAGCAGTATTGTTAGCACAAGAATGGGGAGTAAGAACAGGCATGTGGATTTCTAATTTTGGGTAAGGGGATGGTAACTTTCAGCAGGCTACTACTGCAGATTTTCCATATATAGCAGTTTGGAAAGTGAGACTTTCCTGATGAGATTTTCAATGTTTTGACCTGGAGTAATTTCTTTTTGAGTACCAACTGTGTGCTAGGCAGTGAGTCTCTGAATATCCAAGATGAAAGATTATGCTGCAGTAGTAGGAAGAGAATAACAAATGAAAAACACTTATAAATTACTGTAACTTTTTCTTTAAAACAAAACAGAGAATGTTCCTTAAGAGAAAATTGAAGAACTTTATAATTAGCACGCGTATGGGAGTGGCAGTGGAATTCCATGGTCAGAGTAGATCTTTCTGCAACTGCCATTTAATCTCCCATCTCAAAGATGAGGAGTAAGCCATATGAAAGTCTAGGAGGAAGACATTCTGAACAGAGAGGGCAGTGGACCATATTTGTTCATCATTTTGTTCTTAACAACCTCGAATGACTAGCATGCAGAAAGTGGGGTAACCACCAATGTCATCGTCATCCTCATTTTTCTAAGGTGAAGAAAAGTCTGCAAATATGTGTCTGGCATATGTTAGATGTTTCACGAATACATGTTTTTATTTTTCTCTTTATATGAAGGCTTGCTCTACTTTTCTGAAGTTATGCCTTAAGAACGAATTGCATACTTTATCTAATGATTGTTTGCTTTCATTTAAAAATTACATAAATATAAATTTTCCTTATGAATCTTTCCTTTTATTCAAGCAGTTCTGTATCAGCAAAAAAGATGTAAAATTATTTTCATTATTTTAAGCCCTTGTTTTCCTAAATGAAACAGCTTTTAACAGAGTTCTGTTCCTACTTCGCACGACATACTCTGAAAATTCTCTTCATGCCATGCATAGTTTTTAACCAAAAAAACTATAATTATGCATATGTCAAATGTTTAATCATATTGTATTTTGTTTGAAATGTCCTATTGTTTTTGGTGAGGACTACAGTGTAAGGCAGATACTTTGAAGTAAATTCCTTTTAAAATATGCACGAGTGAATTTTTTTGTGAGTATGATTTATTTTCCTTGCTCAGTAACCTAGTCAATAGCCACATGAAAATAAAAGATAAGCTTGATCTACAGAGCATATTTGAGGTTTTCTCTTGAAATGTTTTGGTTTTCAATATGTGAACAGCCTTAAATCTAATTGCCTTTAAAGTTAAAAAATGTGTTTTAAAAAAGATTTTTAATAAAAAATGTGATGCTTGTCATTATTATTTTTAAATTGAAATTATTTATTGAGGCAGGCTGTGGTGGCTCACACCTGTAATCCCAATATTTTCGGAGGGCGAGGTGGGCAGATCACTTGAAGTCAGGAGTTTGAGACCAGCCTAGCCAACATGGTGAAACCCTGTCTCTATTAAAAATACAAAAATTTAGCCAGGTGTGGTAGCTCATGCCTGTAGTCCCAGCTACTCGGGACACTGAGGCAGGATAATTACTTGGTCTTTGGAGCCAGAGGTTGCAATGAGCCAAGATCATGCCACTGGGCAACCCTGCGAGGCTTCATCTCAGAAAAACAAAATTAAAAAATAGTAAAAAAAGAAATTATTTATTAATATTATCTTTAACAGATTATCTCTGTGAGTGATACACAGAATTATGAGTGTTTACCTGAGGCTACATATCAAAAAGAAATAAAGACAACAAATGGCAAAATAGAAGGTAAGAACCATTTTTTATTTAAAACATCTTTTGTCCAAATGTTTGTCTCAAAGCATGAGGACTGATATACTCTGACAGCCAGAGAAAATTATTTTTTAAATGCATAACATGGAAGAACAAAGGCAGTGAAAGTTATGTGTCTTCTCAGATGTTGGCAACAGATTATATTGAGAGTGCCAAAAAAGAGCTGAATTATTAGTTTAAATTCAACATACTCTAAGACCTGAGGAAAGGAGTAAAACAGGGAATGAAGACTGAGGAAGACAGAGAGTACAGGGAGTACATGAGGGAACAAGAAGCAGGTTTACATAATGGAGAATGGTAAAATAAAAGAACTCTTTAGAGAAAGATAGAGCATGGTTAGAAAGCTGGGAAGAATATAAAGTGACCTCCCATTACCAAAATTTGGCAGAGAATTACAGCAAACATGTTGACAGTCTTGTCTTTCTCACTGGTGGGAAGGCATTAGGGATGGAAGCACCTGACCATGGAGAGTTGTGTTTTATCTGCAGTATGTGAATATAAGCATATTTTCACAGCTGTGCGTGTATATAATTTGTCATATACACTCAGTATAGACGAGAAGTTTTCACACTTTAGAAAATCAGCTGAATACCTTGTTAACAATGCACGCTGTGACTCAGCAGACTTGGGATTCTGGCATTTTTAATAAATTCTCAAGTGATGCTGTTGCTGGTTGTCCTTGGACCTCACTCTTAAGTAGCAAGGGAACAGCCTTTCCTTTGGAAAAATCTGGAAGAAGGGCAGTTGGATAGAAGTTCAAGACATAACAGGGTCAAGAGAAAGCATTATATTGCTTTTATTTCTGAGTATGTTTCTGACCAGAGGGGAAAAAAGAGGTAAAGAAATAGTAATTACAGATGTCAGATACTACCCTAATCAAAGAGAAAGAAAGTGTTAGGAAAATTGATTTTAAAAGATATTGAATGGGAAGAATCAAGACCACAGATGTGGACATTATTTTGGCTAAGGAAGAGGGATTGTGAGGCATGAAATGCAGCAAGAAAGAAGATAGCCAGCCAACTTTGGAGTTTCTGAAAGGAAATTTGAGTGAATTCACTTCAGATGCATTTACAATATTTGCACTCCAGAAGATTAGATTGTGGGTACTCCAGAGACTACCGGAAGCGGGAGGATTACTAGAATTGGAGTAAACCATGGTGACTCATTAGTTTTCTCTATTACTATCAGGCATAAAATGTTTATATTTTGTTGATATTAGCTATTCAAATGAGAGATATTTGAATCTAAGAGCATTAGCTTTATTTTTAATGAAGCAAATTGTTTTGGTAAAATTGTTGTTCTATAAAAATCTATTAGACACTTACCATAATAAACAAAGCCAACTAATTTTTAGAAACAAAAAATTACAGAATTTATTACTTGAATTCTAAAATTGTTTTTTAAAATAAATATTGTCTGATTTAAAAATATAAAATGTTATTTATATGTGATAAGTATGTTGCCATAAATTTTCAAATAAACATATCAATATTGAAAGCTCATTATGCAATATTTTTTAATGAGTTTTATAGTATTTTTTGCATGAGTGAATCAAGAAAATTTCTGAGGATAAACTAGAGGATACAGCAATGTAGGCATATGATTACACTGCAAGGATATGGGAAACAATGAATATTTTATTTAGTATTATCCATTAAGTAAATATCCAAGCTGATCAATTTGTAACATGTTCAGTGATGAGATGTCAGTTCTGCATTCAGCTGAACTCTCATCATAACGGTGTACCATCTCAATTGTAGGACAAATTAAAGAACATGATTAATGTAATGATATAAATTATTCCAGTGTATTTCACTGAATATATGGCGTAGGATTCTATATTCAGCTTTGACATTTATTTTTTCTGGGTCATAATTTGCTCCTCTGATCAAAGATCATTTCTCTTTTCATCACTCAGCATATACATATTAATATCAACACATTTTGCATGCACAACACATTCTCACTTTTGAAGTCTTAAGTGCATGTTTGATGAAGCCTAGATTCCTAGTTTCTTCAGTGTATTTCTGTCATGTGATTGTCCTAAAGAAACATACCGAAAGAAAACCCCCTAAACCTAAAGGAATCATTCTCAAAGCTGAGAAAAAGGACTTAGATACTATCACTGGATTCATTTGTGGCTGGTTTTGTCATATTTACTTATGACTGATAATAAATCTCTTTTGCTTTTTAGAGTCTCCTGAAAAGCCTTCTCACTTTGAGGTATTGAGTTTTATAATTTTATCTTGCATTATTTATTAACTATGTATTTTGTGAAGTACACATTCGTTATTAATCATTTTTCTTCCAAACCCGTTTAGCCTGCCACTGAAATGCAAAACTCTGTTCCAAATAAAGGCTTAGAATGGAAGAATAAACAAACATTGAGAGCAGGTAAATTTTACAGTTCAACTATATTAAAATGAATATTTCAATAGTTGACATATTAATAGTCTCATCTCCCCAATGTTTATTTTTCAAATATTATGGAAATATTTGAGTTAATAATGTCAATAGTGGTATCCACATTTGAAAAACTGATTACTTACAAGAACACGAATTTTAATTAGTTTTTTTAAAAAGTAGCTTTAATTTCAGGTGTTTCCACTTTCACGTCCTCATACTGTAATGTTTTGTATTGGGAATGTCTGTATGACTTAAAGATTCAAGAAGGTGTATTTTTAAACTCTAATATTTTTTTCTGTTCAAAAATTGATTCAAATTCTACCCTTTACTGCAGGGAAAGCTTCAATTTTGACATGCCAATTGTGTTTTAACATTGGTTACCTCATGGGACTGTAGTCATTTGAAGCATCCTAAGGAAATCTGTTGTTCTGATTAGCTTACTTTCTGTGTGTGTGTGTGTGTGTGTGTGTGTGTGTGTGTGTGTGGTGTGCACGTTTGTGCCTGTGTGCATGTATATGTGTGTTTGTGTGTGGTACCCTTAATTTTTAAAAACTGGGAGAAGTAAGTCCCAGCTACTCGGGAGGCTGAGGCAGGAGAATGGCGTGAACCCTGGAGGCGGAGCTTGCAGTGAGCCGAGATGGCGCCACTGCACTCCAGCCTAGGGGACAGAGCGAGACTCCGTCTCAAAAACAAACAAACAAACAGAAATAATAATAATAATAAATGGGAGAAGTAATCATTTCTTTATGATCATTTTGGTAAAACTGTGATTCTGAAGCATTTGGCTTTGTGTCTTTTCATTGTTTAGAGGTAAACAATTGTCTAAACTGGTTTTTTATATTATTCCTATGCATGCTTAAAAATTATACAACATATGTGCACGGTCATAGATAATATGTAGAATTTGTTTTCAACTGCTAATATGTAAATAATTGTACATTGTGTAATTTTCTGTAACATTCTTTGTTTGATCAGCATTATATTGTTAGATCCATCCATAATGTGTAGAATTAACTTTGGTTTTGTTTATATTAGGTTCTTTATAGAATTCCATTATATAACTGCACCACAACTAATTAAAATTTGTTTATGCAAAAAACAAATATATGAAAATAAAAACAAATGAGATATCAGTCTTCATTTAAGTTGGTTTTTACCTACTGATTTTTGATATATTAGAAACTGAAACTAAAATATTTCAAGTATCACTATGTACAATCTTCTACTTTAATAAAAGTGAAAACTGTGACCTATGGACCATTAAAGCTATGCTGTTGTAACACATTATTTCCCTGAAACAGTGCAGTATAGACTTCATAGTACATATGAACTTCATGGTACATATATGACACATTTTCTTAATCCAGTCTATCATTGATGGGCATTTGGGTTGGTTCCAAGCCTTTGCTATTGTAAATAGTGCCACAATAAACATATGTGTGCGTGTGTCTTTATAGTAGCATGATTTATAATCCTTAGGGTATATATCCAGTAATGGGATCGCTGGATCAAATGGTATTTCTAGTTCCAGATCCTTGAAGAATTGCCACACTGTCTTCCACAATGGTTGAGCGAGTTTACACTCCCACCAACAGTGTAAAAGTTTTCCTATTTCTCCACAGCCTCTCCAGCACCTGTTGTTTCCTGACTTTTTAATGATCGCCATTCTAACTGGTGTGAGATGGTATCTCATTGTGGTTTTGATTTGCATTTCTCTGATGGCCAGTGATGATGAGCATTTTTTTCACGTGTCTGTTGGCTGCATAAATGTCTTCTTTTCAGAAGTGTCTGTTCATATCCTTCACCCACTTTTTGATGGGGTTGTTTGATTTTTTTTTAAAACTTGTTTAAGTTCTTGTACATTCTGGATTTAGCCCTTTGTCAGATGGATAGATTGCAGAAATTTTCTCCCATTCTGTAGGTTGCCTGTTCATTTTGTTCACTCTGATGGTAGTTTCTTTTGCTGTGCTGAAGCTCTTTAGTTTAATTAGGTCCCATTTGTCAATTTTAGCTTCTGTTGCCATGGCTTTTGATGTTTTAGTTCTGAAGTATTTGCCCATGCCTATGTCCTGAATGGTATTGCCTAGGATTTCTTCTAGGCTTTTTATGGTTTTAGGTCTAACATTTAAGTCTTTAATCCATCTTGAGTTAATTTTTGTATAAGGTGTAAGGAAGTGGTCAACTTTCAGTTTTCTGCATATGGCCAGCCAGTTTTCCCAACATCATTTATTAAATAGGGAATTCTTTTCACATTGCTTTTTTTCCAGTTTTGTCAAAGATCAGAGGGTAATTTTCACATTTCAATGAATTTGTCCATTTTGTCTAAGTTGTCATGTTTATTCACATAAATTTTATAATATTACCTTGTATTTTTAAGTATCTGTAGAATCTAAAATAATGTCACATTAACTCATTTCCAAAGTTAGTAATTGTAGCTTTCTCTTTTCAAGAGCTAGTTTGGCTAGATAGACTTTTGCTTTTATTGATCCTCTCAAAGTGTTTGGTATTTTTCAACTCTTCCATCATTTTTGTGTTTTATTAGTTCCATCTCTGATGTTTTAGTTCTCTTTGCCTAGTATTTAAAAAATCTATAGTTGGGAGCTTATCAACAACATAAATTGAATTCTCACAATTTTGGAAGCTGCACAGTTCAAGATCAAGTTATCATCAGATTTGATGTCTGAAGAGGTACCACTTCATGATTCATTGATGCATTCTTTTTCCCTGTGCCCTCACATGGCAGAAAGGGTAAAGAGGCTCTCTGGGGTTATTTCTGTCAGAGCATTAATCCATTTATGAAGGGTTGGCCCTCATGACCTAATTACATCCAAAAACTCCTACCTCCTAATAACGTCACCTCTGTGATTTGATTTTGGCATATGAAAATTGCAAGGACAAAGACATTCAAACCAATACGAATATTTATCCTTTCCTCTGCTTCCATTGGATTTACTTTCTTATTTTTTTTTTTTTTTAGCTTCTTCAGGTAAAAGTCGAAGTTATTTACTTGAGAGTCTTCTAATGTAGACATTCAATGCTGAAAAGCTTTATTTAAGTGCTGTTGTAGATGCATTTTACAATATCTAATGTGCTGTGTTTTCATTTGAAGTTAGTTCAAAATACTTTCTAATTTTTCTTTTTACTATTTTTGGAACCAACCCAGGGTTATTTGGATGTTATGTTACTTAATTTCCAATAGTTGTGTTGTTTCAGGTACATTTTTATTATTGATTTTTAATTTGATTGCTTTTGGGTCAGGTAACATGTTTTGTATGACTTAAATCCTTCTTAATCCTTTTACTAAGATATAATCTAGAATATAGTCCTTGAGTACTTCTGAAGAATGGTGTTAAGTCTACCATATTCTTGCTGATTTTCTGCCTCCTTATTCTACCACTTGAGCAAGGGGTTTAGAAATTTTAGACTATACTTAGGCATTTGTCCATTTCTTTTGCAGTTCTATCTATTTTTGTATCATGTATTTTGAAGCATTTATGTTATTATCTACATAAATATTTAGGACTGTTATGTTTTCTTGATTAAGTGAACCCTTTGTCACTATAAAATCACCTTGTTTATTGCTGGTAATGTTTTTGCTGTGAAATGTACTTTGGTATTAATACAACCACTCTTCCTCAGCCTTCTTTTTTCAAGTGTTAGTGTGGTATATCTTGTTTCATCTTTAACCAATTTTTGTCTTTATATTTAAAGTTTATTTCTTATAGGTGTTATACAGGTAGATCTCACTTGTATATCCGTTCTGACAATCTGCCTTTGAGCAGAGGTTTTTAGACCAGTTTAATTTATAATGTAATTATTGATGTGATAAAAGTTGTCTGTCACCATGCTGTTTGATTTCTGTTAGTCCCAGATCTTCTTTGCTCTGTTTTGTTCTTTTATTGCTTCCTTCAGACTAGTTTAGTAATTTTTATGATTTAGTTTTATATATATATATATATATATATATATATATATATATATATATGTATAATGTTTTTTAGTTATTGATCTGGTTGTATATTTCTTCATGATTTAGTCATATCTTTTTGTGGTATAAGTTTATTTGGCTATTAGGTATAACTCTTTGCTTTGCTGTCTTAGTGGTTGTTTTAGGATTTATAGTGTATGGATTTACCTCATCACAACTCACCTTCAAGTAATATTATATCATATCATAGATGGTATAAGAAATTCCAATCATATATTTTCATTTCTTCACTTCCAGCCAGATACCAGCCTGGATCTGTGGGATTGTAGCATTTGTTAAGTTTAGAATATATTTAGCCAATTTTTCTTCAGATGTTTTTTCTGTCTCTCCTTCTACCTCTTTGTGGACTTACATATTACCTGCTGGGAGTTTGCTCATAGTTCTCTAGTATCTCAAATTTGTGAATCTTTTCTTGCATAGATGATGGCAAATCAATCTATGCTCATATCTACTCAGTGTAGCTTTCATCTGCAGCATTGTAACTTGTATCTCTAGAAGTGCAATTTAGTTTTTAAAAGTATCTTCTATTGCTTTACTTATCTTCTTGATTTTTATTGTAGAATAGAGTTGAGTTACTTATAAACAGCTTGATCCTTTTCATTTTTGCTTTTTATGAGCTGACTCCCCACACCTGAGGCAAGGCCTTTCAGACTATTCATTTTCCTGTGAAGTCTGAGTCTTCCCAGGCAAATCTATAAAAATAGACACTCTTCTTGGCACTATGTGAGCACCAGGTGTGATTTTCTCTAATTTTATAAGTTCCGCCCTGACCTGGCTTGGTCTTAGGTAGTTTTCTGGCTTACATGCAATCTTCATTATTTTGCTAAATACTGGGAGGCAATTTCCAGGGGTTTCTTGCTTTTGCTTCTGTATCTCTGTCTCCTCTTCAGTGTTCTGTTCTATATTGTCTGTCTCCTTTGGTTTTACCAGACTCTAAGATTTATCACTGTAACCAAGAGAGTCTGGTAGGTTCCACCTCAGTTTTTGTTTCCTGTGTCAGGTCTTGGAATTTCTGTCAAGGCAAGAAGCTGAAACATTCATAAGGTTTGCTTTCCACTTTTTTTTTCTGTTTTTCAGGGACTATCATCTTCTTTGCCTAATGTCCACTGTCTAAAAAATTGTTTAGTGTATTTTGTGTGTTTTATTTTTAGTTATTTTAGCTAAGAAGAAAAATCAATACCTGTTGTTCTCTCTTGGCTGGAGGCAGACTACACTAGAGCTTCAGCACATGCCACACACTGGCTAAAATGCTTTTCTTCCCCCCTTGCTCAACTGCTTCCTTTTCAATCTTTGTTCCTCAGTGTAGCCATACATTCCTCGGGGGAATTTTCCGTGGGCCTAGTACAGATCCTATTCTTAGCAATCTATTTTCTTACAGTATCTATCTGAATTTATAATTGTAACTTTTCTGGGGCTTTGCTTTTCAGTATATTTTAAGCTAAACAAGAGCAGAGTTTTTTTTTTTCTGTTTAATCTGCAGAGCTTAGTATAATGCCTTCCACATGGTAGGCAATCAATATATATTTGTTGAGTGTATGAGTTAGTGATTGTTAAAATATGCAGCCCTTTATATCCCAAAAGTACTAATATATTTTATTTCTATCTCCTCCTTGAGACAGATTCAACTACCCTATCAAAAATCTTGGATGCACTTCCTTCTTGTGAAAGAGGAAGGGAACTTAAAAAAGATAACTGTGAACAAATTACAGCAAAAATGGAACAAACGAAAAATAAGTTTTGTGTACTACAAAAGGAACTGTCAGAAGCGAAAGAAATAAAATCACAGTTAGAGAACCAAAAAGCTAAATGGGAACAAGAGCTCTGCAGTGTGAGGTATGACATCCTAGTTTTAAATAAATATTTCAACTATTTATACTAAAAGTATGTAGGATACTTTTTGTAAAAGCTGACTTACCTTCTGAGATTTAACTGGAGAAAAAAATCTGTCTTGTAGAGTGTCAAATTCTTTTAAATAATAAAAGTTCTTAAATGTGAATACTTCCACTGATAATTAATGCATATTTATTTAAATCACAATTTTAATGGCTATATAGAAGGCCATTATTTGGAAATACCATTACTTAGCAAATTAATTTTTTTGATTTTTAATTTTTTGTATTATAAATGCTACAAGACATAACTGCATGTAAATCTTTTTCTACCTTTCTAATTATTGACTTGGAATAAATTCTTCAATATAGAAATATTTAGTTAAATTATAGGAATTTTTAAAAAGTTCTTTGTTCATTACTTCTAAATTGTTCTCAAGAAAATTTATATTCATTTACAGTTCAACAAAGACAGTGTGAAACGGCCATTCTTCTCTCTCCAAGAATCAATTTCCTTTAACTATACACTTTTAATCTTAATGTGCATGGAATATAAAGAAAATATAATTTATGATTAGTTTATTCAACATCTCTCGCTCTCCTACATAAATAAAATTAATTCAGAGTTCTAGGTTAAAAATACATATTATTTTTAGTCTTTAATTAAATATTTATACTTTTTCTTGTTCTAAAGGAGATTTAAAATTTGTTGAAAAATATATAATACTCAACAAGATATGTTTAACTCTTACTCAAAAAAGAAACAAAAGGCATATGGGATGACACATATTAGACTCTTTAATCTAGTCTGAGATCATAATATTCAAATTATTTTTAGGGATATTTGCCATATTTTATAAGTAGAAATATTTATGTCTAATAAATCTGTAAACTTTTTTTATAAAAAGTAATGTCACTTTAATCAGTTAACTCTAAATGATCTGTCCTCACTGAGGACTAATTTTGACTGTGTGATATTTTTAAAAAATAATTTTCAACTTATAAATTTACTAGATAGCTTCCAATATTCTTTTCCATAACAGTTGTCAAAGTTACTAGTAACAGAAACTTTCTAACTAGAAGAAGTTTTTTCTCACTATTTTTCAAGTATGTATGTCATTTGGAAGAGGTTACGGAGTAATGAATACCAGAGAACTAGAAAGAAAAAAAAAATTCAGGAATATAGGAATTTTATTGGAATAATAAACCAGTATAGGAAGAAGTAGATCTCAAAGTGAATTCTATTTTCTAACAAAATGAATTTTAAGATAAGTATGTTTAATGGCAGATTGACTTTAAATCAAGAAGAAGAGAAGAGAAGAAATGTCGATATATTAAAAGAAAAAATTAGACCCGAAGAGCAACTTAGGAAAAAGTTAGAAGTGAAACAACAACTTGAACAGACTCTCAGAATACAAGATATAGAATTGAAAAGTGTAACAAGTAATTTGAATCAGGTAAATCAATCTCTGGCAAAAATTTTATATTTCTGACTTTATTTCATCAGTATTACTTTTAACATCCCTTTGATTTAGTATGTGTTATTCAGGTCTAAATCAAAGAAAAGTATTGTCTTAAAATTAACTATGACTTTTGTAGCTACAGGTATTTATTATAAATTATGGCATGCAAATAGTATCTTATTTCAGTACAAAGAGCTTTTGAAAATAATGATAATCCCTACCATATACTTAGTGATAATTTATTGGTAAGTATTTTATTCCTAGCAACATAGATTAGTGTATTTTTCCTAGTTAACATTTAATACTGACTCAAACATTATCAAGAGGAAGCAAAAGTTAGTGTCGTAGTAAATAAGCTCATGGTTTTCTAAGTAGGGCTCTCTAGATTTTATCTTCTTTACCACTTTTGTTTTGAAATAGAAGACTTCTTTTATATTTACGTATTTACCCAGTAGAATTAACTGAGATTTGGTGGAGAAGTCCTGGATGTAGACTCAGAAGACTTGGAGAAAATCCTACAACTTGATTATATTTTTAATCTTTTCCTTTCAGAATTGTGATAACTAAAAGTGCTTGTTACAATGTCTCAACTTATCAAACATTCATAAATATAATTCTTACAATTAACTATATTTTTTAGAAACACAGAATATCTAGAGAATATTCTCAGGAAAAAGGAACTGAAAGAGCTTCCAGAAATTTTATCTGTCTAAATATATGTAGCACTAAGGCTCTTAGTATGGGATGTTGTATAGGTTAGACATCAGAGTGTAAACCCAATTTTTGTATGTAGTCAAATTGATTAATCTTTTATTTTATGCTTTTGAGCTTGTTGTAATTCAGGGAAAGTTTTTTTTTTTTTTCAATTCTGAGGCTCTTAAAAATTCTCTAGTCGTTTCTCTTTTACTTTCATGAATTCGTTGTCTCCAAATAAATGTTTGAACTTTGGGGAATTTATGCTCTATAGTATTTGAAGTTTTGATTCAATGGTTCTTCAACTGATACCTACTTATAAAAACCCTTTCATTGTATAAACGTACAAGTTGTTCTTTAATTTCAGAGGAACTATGATATGCCATTTTATTGAGTGCTAGTTAAATTTTTATTTTGTTTTATTTAGGTTTCTCACACTCATGAAAGTGAAAATGATCTCTTTCATGAAAATTGCATGTTGAAAAAGGAAATTGCCATGCTAAAACTGGAAGTAGCCACACTGAAACATCAACACCAGGTGAAGGAAAATAAATACTTTGAGGACATTAAGATTTTACAAGAAAAGAATGCTGAACTTCAAATGACCCTAAAACTGAAACAGAAAACAGTAACAAAAAGGGCATCTCAGTATAGAGAGCAGCTTAAAGTTCTGACGGCAGAGAACACGATGCTGACTTCTAAATTGAAGGAAAAACAAGACAAAGAAATACTGGAGACAGAAATTGAATCACACCATCCTAGACTGGCTTCTGCTTTACAAGACCATGATCAAAGTGTCACATCAAGAAAAAACCAAGAACTTGCTTTCCACAGTGCAGGAGATGCTCCTTTGCAAGGAATAATGAATGTTGATGTGAGTAATACAATATATAACAATGAGGTGCTCCATCAACCACTTTATGAAGCTCAAAGGAAATCCAAAAGCCCAAAAATTAATCTCAATTATGCAGGAGATGATCTAAGAGAAAATGCATTGGTTTCAGAACATGCACAAAGAGACCGATGTGAAACACAGTGTCAAATGAAGAAAGCTGAACACATGTATCAAAATGAACAAGATAATGTGGACAAACACACTGAACAGCAGGAGTCTCTGGAGCAGAAATTATTTCAACTAGAAAGCAAAAATAGGTGGCTTCGACAGCAATTAGTTTATGCACATAAGAAAGTTAACAAAAGCAAGGTAACAATTAATATTCAGTTTCCTGAGATGAAAATGCAACGTCATCTAAACGAGAAAAATGAGGAGGTATTCAATTATGGTAACCATTTAAAAGAACGTATAGATCAATATGAAAAAGAGAAAGCAGAAAGAGAAGTAAGTATCAAAAAATATAAATACTTTTCAAACTTCCTGAAAGAAAGTGGCCTTGGCTAAATGCTGAATCTAGTTGAATATATATATATATAAATAGATGATAAATGTACTTACTATATCAGCTTAGAAACATGCCTCATTTCCACCAAATGAAAGTGAAAGCTAAGAGACGTTTTACTTTGAGTAAAGGTATTGTGTCACTGATGAAATTATAAGAGTTTAAGTTAAAGATTTTTAATAGATTAACATTAATGACATTGGCTTATACTGCTGAAATAAAGGTTTTAATGTCTCTTTGTGGCCACATTTTTTGACTACAATGAAGCAGAAAAATGGGAATGCCCATATCAGCAATTAGTATTTTGAAATTAAGATTCAGTTCAGCAATTTACATTGACAGTTAATTCTAAATTTTCCAGAGGAACAGAAGTGTATTTGAAGTATATTTTGAAGTGTACATTTCTGCATCTTGTAATAACACTTTTTAAGTAGCTTTTTATATATTTTATTTGGTAGAATTTTATTTTCATTTATGTCAATTTGACTTAATCTGAACATATTTGAATCTGAAATTATGTATTGTTAAAACCTCTCAATTTTTTAAAGGCATCTGTGTTTTGTTAAATAATACCTTAGGACAAATGTAGTGGATTTTAGCAATATCAAATTTGATTTAATCACCCCACTGGTATTCATAATTTATTTTGAATATTGTTACAAATCATTTGCTCATAATTTCTATTTCAAGGCTCAAAAACTATCATGTGGATAGAACTTTGTCCCACAGAAAGATGATTGTAGCTATCTGTGATTTATTAGCTTTGCATTGGATCCCCATTTTTCAATTCATAAGGGGTGGCAAGGTTCATGTATAGTACAAAAGAAGTGAGTAGAGGAGAGAAACATAGGAGCTGAGGTCAGGAGGGATGTGGAGACCAGGTTACCAAGGGCCTGTAAAGTTTGAAATAAAATTACTTTTATTCTGAGATAAAAATCTATTGGAAAAATTTCAGCAGGTGATTGAATATGTGAGGAACTTTGATGTTGATTTGTGCTTCTAATACAGAAGAAGGAAAGAATTCCACTGTTTAGAATTTACCACCACTAGTCCTGCCTTTTTTTTTTTTTTGAGACTTCAGTAAGTTGTGAAGAATTACAGATTCATTAAGGGAAGAAATTACCAGTGAGATGAATCTTGTGTCTAGTAAGACAGTACCAATTTGGCAGAAAGATTACACCTTCTTGTGTCCTTAAGTAAATTCACTAACAAGCAGCAGTGTGCACAAATGAAGAAAATAAACTGAATCAATATATTTGGGGATCTTTTTGAAAGTAAATATTGTTAATTTGATAAGATGATTCACAAAATCAAAAACATGTCTTTTCAGGTCATTGTGAGACAACTTCAAAAAAAATTGGCGGATCTTAATAAACAGTGTGAGGCTTCACTAAAGGTTACATCACATTCTCACTCTCTGAGGCATCAATAGAGGCTACATCACATTATCACATTAATCTCAAAGGTGAGATACAGGATTTAATGAGGAAATGATTTCAAATCAAAAGTCAAGTGTGTGTTAAATGTAACATGCCAACAGTGAGTCTATAACTGGTTAAATAATATAAATTGTTTTATGATACTAATATCCACAGGAAGACTTCTTTTATATGTTCATTATAATTAGTTTTATTACAATTTTATTATCTTTATAATGTGCTTATTTTTAAAACTGTGGCTATCATTCTGCAATGTTTTTCTTTTTTTTTTCAGATTAAACAGTAAAGTTTATTGTGAACATTTGCTTCTTTTTCCATTTTAAAGTTAAACAAGAAGAAAAGGTAAAATGAAAAGAAATAACCAAAAATTTACTTCCCAAGATAGGATGTACAGAACTAAAATGATAAAAGTCATATAACAATGGTACCCTAAACCACCCACCTCACAGCATAGTGCAGAGATGTCCTGGCAGTGCTTCTGGTGTGTGGGATGGGGGTAGAATCCCATGCATGAGAAGGGGACAGGTCCTTTCTTCACAAGACCAGTCTTTGCTCCAGAAATGAATCCTTATCATGAATCCCTGACACGTTCAGTGTTTTCAGTTATTTTTCTTGGCTGTAGGAATGTCACAATGGACTGCAGAGTGTCATACATAGTTTTCAGTAAAATACTGGACAATAGAGTTTATAGTCTCCCATTTAGGTACAAGCCTAGACAGACAGGAACACTTTTTTATAATTATAAAAACACAAATTTCCTTGTTTTGTGGAAATAAATCCCAACTATTGAACCTTCTAGTTAAGAGATTGACAACTCTATACTTGGTTCAGGATACTTTCTCCCCTCTTTTCTCTCTTCCTGTCCCAAGACTCCAAGTTCCTGTCTTATGGTTAGCTAGGAGAAACTATCCACGAACACACACACACACACACACACACACACACACACACACACACACACACGCTCTACCCTTGGGGTGATGCACTATGCTTTTTTTATTATTATTTATTGATCATTCTTGGGTGTTTCTTGGAGAGGGGGATGTGGCAGGGTCATAGGATAATAGTGGAGAGAAGGTCAGCAGATAAACACGTGAACAAAGGTCTCTGGTTTTCCTAGGCAGAGGTCCCTGCAGCCTTCCATAGTGTTTGTGTCCCTGGGTACTTGAGATTAGGGAGTGGTGATGACTCTTAATGAGCATGCTGCCTTCAAGCATCTGTTTAACAAAGCCCATCTTGCACCGCCCTTAATCCATTTAACCCTGAGTTGACACAGCACATGTTTCAGAGAGCACGGGGTTGGGGGTAAGGTTATAGATTAACAGCATCCCAAGGCAGAAGAATTTCTCTTAGTACAGAAGAAAATGGAGTCTCCTATGTCTACTTCTTTCTACACAGACACAGTAACAATCTGATCTCTCTTCCTTTTCCCCACATTTCCCTCTTTTCTTTTTGACAAAACTGCCATCATCATCATGGTCCGTTCCCGATGGTGGCTGTCTCTTCGAAGCTGTTGGGTACACCTGCAGAAAGGCTGTCACTTCACACTTGGAAGATTGCACAACGGCCAGGCAGAGGTGCTCCTTACTTCCCAGATGGGGCGGCTGGGCAGAGGCGCTCCTCACTTCCCAGATGGGGCAACCAGGCAAGAGGTGCTCCTCATTTCCCAGATGGGGCGGCTGGGAAGAGGCACTCCTCACCTACCAGATGAAGGGCAGCCAGGCAGAGGCACTCCTCACATCCCAGACGATGGGCGGCCGGGCAGAGGCACTCCTCACCTCCCAGACGGGGCGGCTGGGCAGAGGTGCTCCTCACCTACCAAGGGGGGCAGCCAGGCAGAGGGGCTCCTCACCTCCCAGACAATGGGCAGCCAGGCAGAGGTGCTCCTCATTTCCCAGACGGGGTGGCCAGGCAGAGGCACTCCTCACCTCCCAGACGTCGCGGCCAGGCAGAGGTGCTCCCCACTTCCCAGACGGGGCGGCTGGGCAGAGGCGCTCCTCACCTCCCAGATGAGGCGGCCTGGCAGAGGCGCTCCTCACCTCCCAGATGATGGGCAGCTGGGCAAAGGCGCTCCTCACCTCCCAGACTGGGCGGCCAGGCAGAGGTGCTCCTCGCCTCCCACATGGGGTGGCCGGGCAGAGGCGCTCCTCACCTCCTAGATGGGGTGGCCGGGCAGAGGCGCTCCTCACCTCCCAGACGGGGAGACCAGGAAGAGGTGCTCCTCACTTCCCAGATGGGACGGCCAGGCAGAGGCGCTCCTCACTTCCCAGATGGTGTGTCATCCGTGAAGAGGCGCTTCTCACCTCCCAGATGATTGGCAGCCAGAGAAAGGTGCTCCTCACTTCCCAGATGGGGCGGCCGAGAAATGCCACTCCCCATTCCCAGATGGGGTGGAGGTCAGGCAGAGGCGCTCCTCACCTCCCAGATGGGGCAGCCGGGCAGAGGCGCTCCTCACCTCCCAGATGGGGAGGCTGGGCAGAGGCGCTCTTCACTTCCCAGAGGGGGTGGCCGGGCAGAGGCGCTCCTCAACTGCCAGACCGGGCGGCCGGCCAGAGGAACTCCTCACCTCCCAGACAATGGGCGGCTGGGGAGAGGTGCTCCTCACCTCCCAGATGATGGGCAGCCAGGCAGAGGCGCTCCTCACTTCCCAGATGGGGCGGCCGGGCAGAGGCGCTCTTCACTTCCCAGATGGCGCGGCCAGGCAGAGGCGCTCCTCAGTTCCCAGATTGTGTGTCGTCCATTCAGAGGCACTCCTCACCTACCAGATGATGGGCAGCTGGAGGGAGGCACTCCTCACCTCCCAGATGGGGCGACTGGGAAGAGGCGCTCCCCACTTCCCAGACAGGGTGGGAGCTGGGCAGAGGCGCTCCTCACAACCCAGACAGGGTGGCCGGGCAGAGGCACTCCTCACCTCCCAGACAATGGGCAGCCAGGCAGAGGCACTCCTCACTTCCCAGATGGGGCGGCTGGGCAGAGGTGCTCCTCACTTCCCAGATGGGGCAGCTGGGCAGAGGCGCTCCTCACTTCCCAGATGGGGCAACCAGGCAAGAGGTGCTCCTCATTTCCCAGATGGGGCGGCTGGGAAGAGGCACTCCTCACCTACCAGACGAAGGGCAGCCAGGCAGAGGCACTCCTCACATCCCAAACGATGGGTGGCCGGGCAGAGGCACTCCTCACCTCCCAAACGGGGCGGCTGGGCAGAGGTGCTCCTCACCTCCCAGGGGGGGCAGCCAGGCAGAGGGGCTCCTCACCTCCCAGACAATGGGCAGCCAGGCAGAGGTGCTCCTCATTTCCCAGACGGGGTGGCCAGGCAGAGGCACTCCTCACCTCCCAGACATCACGGCCAGGCAGAGGTGCTCCCCACTTCCCAGACGGGGCGGCTGGGCAGAGGCGCTCCTCACCTCCCAGATGAGGCGGCCTGGCAGAGGAACTCCTCACCTCCCAGATGATGGGCAGCTGGGCAAAGGCGCTCCTCACCTCCCAGACTGGGCGGCCAGGCAGAGGTGCTCCTCGCCTCCCACATGGGGTGGCCGGGCAGAGGCACTCCTCACCTCCTAGATGGGGTGGCTGGGCAGAGGCGCTCCTCACCTCCCAGACGGGGAGACCAGGAAGAGGCGCTCCTCACCTCCCAGATGGGGCGGGCTGGCAGAGGCGCTCCTCACCTCCCAGATGATGGGCAGCTGGGCAAAGGCGCTCCTCACCTCCCAGACTGGGCGGCCAGGCAGAGGCGCTCCTCGCCTCCCACATGGGGTGGCTGGGCAGAGGCGCTCCTCACCTCCTAGATGGGGTGGCCGGGCAGCGGCGCTCCTCACCTCCCAGACGGGGAGACCAGGAAGAGGTGCTCCTCACTTCCCAGATGGGGCAGCCAGGCAGAGGCGCTCCTCACTTCCCAGATGGTGTGTCATCCGTGAAGAGGCGCTTCTCACCTCCCAGATGATTGGCAGCCAGAGAAAGGTGCTCCTCACTTCCCAGATGGGGCGGCCGAGAAATGCCACTCCCCATTCCCAGATGGGGTGGAGGTCAGGCAGAGGCGCTCCTCACCTCCCAGATGGGGCAGCCGGGCAGAGGCGCTCCTCACCTCCCAGATGGGGAGGCTGGGCAGAGGCGCTCTTCACTTCCCAGAGGGGGTGGCCGGGCAGAGGCGCTCAACTGCCAGACCGGGCGGCCAGCCAGAGGAACTCCTCACCTCCCAGACAATGGGCGGCTGGGGAGAGGTGCTCCTCACCTCCCAGATGATGGGCAGCCAGGCAGAGGCGCTCCTCACTTCCCAGATGGGGCGGCCGGGCAGAGGCGCTCTTCACTTCCCAGATGGCGCGGCCAGGCAGAGGCGCTCCTCAGTTCCCAGATTGTGTGTCGTCCATTCAGAGGCACTCCTCACCTACCAGATGATGGGCAGCTGGAGGGAGGCACTCCTCACCTCCCAGATGGGGCGACCGGGAAGAGGCGCTCCCCACTTCCCAGACAGGGTGGGAGCTGGGCAGAGGCGCTCCTCACAACCCAGACAGGGTGGCCGGGCAGAGGCACTCCTCACCTCCCAGACAATGGGCAGCCAGGCAGAGGCACTCCTCACTTCCCAGATGGGGCGGCTGGGCAGAGGTGCTCCTCACTTCCCAGATGGGGCAGCTGGGCAGAGGCGCTCCTCACTTCCCAGATGGGGCAACCAGGCAAGAGGTGCTCCTCATTTCCCAGATGGGGCGGCTGGGAAGAGGCACTCCTCACCTACCAGACGAAGGGCAGCCAGGCAGAGGCACTCCTCACATCCCAGACGATGGGTGGCCGGGCAGAGGCACTCCTCACCTCCCAGACGGGGCGGCTGGGCAGAGGTGCTCCTCACCTCCCAGGGGGGGCAGCCAGGCAGAGGGGCTCCTCACCTCCCAGACAATGGGCAGCCAGGCAGAGGTGCTCCTCATTTCCCAGACGGGGTGGCCAGGCAGAGGCACTCCTCACCTCCCAGACATCACGGCCAGGCAGAGGTGCTCCCCACTTCCCAGACGGGGCGGCTGGGCAGAGGCGCTCCTCACCTCCCAGATGAGGCGGCCTGGCAGAGGAACTCCTCACCTCCCAGATGATGGGCAGCTGGGCAAAGGCGCTCCTCACCTCCCAGACTGGGCGGCCAGGCAGAGGTGCTCCTCGCCTCCCACATGGGGTGGCCGGGCAGAGGCGCTCCTCACCTCCTAGATGGGGTGGCCGGGCAGAGGCGCTCCTCACCTCCCAGACGGGGAGACCAGGAAGAGGCGCTCCTCACCTCCCAGATGGGGCGGGCTGGCAGAGGCGCTCCTCACCTCCCAGATGATGGGCAGCTGGGCAAAGGCGCTCCTCACCTCCCAGACTGGGCGGCCAGGCAGAGGCGCTCCTCGCCTCCCACATGGGGTGGCTGGGCAGAGGCGCTCCTCACCTCCTAGATGGGGTGGCCGGGCAGCGGCGCTCCTCACCTCCCAGACGGGGAGACCAGGAAGAGGTGCTCCTCACTTCCCAGATGGGGCAGCCAGGCAGAGGCGCTCCTCACTTCCCAGATGGTGTGTCATCCGTGAAGAGGCGCTTCTCACCTCCCAGATGATTGGCAGCCAGAGAAAGGTGCTCCTCACTTCCCAGATGGGGCGGCCGAGAAATGCCACTCCCCATTCCCAGATGGGGTGGAGGTCAGGCAGAGGCGCTCCTCACCTCCCAGATGGGGCAGCCGGGCAGAGGCGCTCCTCACCTCCCAGATGGGGAGGCTGGGCAGAGGCGCTCTTCACTTCCCAGAGGGGGTGGCCGGGCAGAGGCGCTCAACTGCCAGACCGGGCGGCCAGCCAGAGGAACTCCTCACCTCCCAGACAATGGGTGGCTGGGGAGAGGTGCTCCTCACCTCCCAGATGATGGGCAGCCAGGCAGAGGCGCTCCTCACTTCCCAGATGGGGCGGCCGGGCAGAGGCGCTCTTCACTTCCCAGATGGCGCGGCCAGGCAGAGGCGCTCCTCAGTTCCCAGATTGTGTGTCGTCCATTCAGAGGCACTCCTCACCTACCAGATGATGGGCAGCTGGAGGGAGGCACTCCTCACCTCCCAGATGGGGCGACCGGGAAGAGGCGCTCCCCACTTCCCAGACAGGGTGGGAGCTGGGCAGAGGCGCTCCTCACAACCCAGACAGGGTGGCCGGGCAGAGGCGCTCCTCACCTCCCAGACAATGGGCGGCCAGGCAGAAGCACTCCTCACTTCCCAGATGGGGCGGCTGGGCAGAGGCGCTCCTCACTTCCCAGATGGTGTGTCATCCATGCAGAGGCGCTCCTCACCTCCCAGATGATGGGCAGCAGGAGAAAGGTGCTCCTCACTTCCCAGACGGGGCAGCTGGGCAAAGGCGCTCCCCACTTCCCAGATGGGGTGGCGGTCAGGCAGAGGTGCTCCTCACAACCCAGACGGGGCAGCCAGGCAGTGGCGCTCCTCACTTCCCAGACAGGGCTGCCGGGCAGAGGCGCTCCTCACTTCCCAGAGGGGGTGGCCGGGCAGAGGCGCTCCTCACCTCCCAGATGGGGCAGCCGGGAAGAGGCACTCCTCACCTCCCAGACATTGGGTGGCCAGGCAGAGGCACTCCTCACCTCCCAGATGGGGTGGCTGGGCAGAGGGGCTCCCCACTTCCCAGACAAGGTGGCCGGGCAGAGGCGTTACTCACCTCCCAGATGATGGGCTCAAACAAAGGGCCAAATTACCTATAAAGTAAATTAGATTAACAACTGACTTATCAGCAGAAACCCTGCAACCTAGAAAAGATTGGGGCCTAGCGTTAGTCTTCTTAAAGAAAAAAAAATGCCATCCAATAATTTTTTTTTTTTGGAGACAGAGTCTCACTTTGCCACCCAGGCTGGAGTGCAGTGGTGTGATGTCAGCTCACTGCAACCTCTGCTTCCTGGATTCAAGCAATTCTCCTGCCTCAGCCTCACCAGTAGCTGGGATTGCAGGTGTGCACCACCACACTTGGCAAATTTTGGTATTTTTAATAGGGAGTTTCTTCATGTTGGCCAGGCTGGTCTTGAACTGCTGACCTCAGGTGATCTGCCTGCCTTGGCCTCCCAAAGTGCTAGGATTACAGGTGCGAGCCACTGCACCCAGCCAGTGCAAGAATTTCATAACCTGCCAGACTGAGCTTCATAAAGAAAGGAAAATAAGGTATTTCCAGACAAGAAAATGCTAAGGGAAGTCGTTACCTCCAGACTGACTCTAAAAGAAATGTTTAAAGGAGTTTGGCTCGTGAAAATAAAAGAATGATACTTGCTACCATAAAAGCATACATGAATACAAAATGTACAGAACCTATAAAGCAATTAAACAATTGAGACTACAAGGTAACTAGCTAACACTATAAAAGGAAGAAAACCTAACACATCAATATTAAGCTTGATTGTAAATGGCTGAAATGCTCCACTGAATAGACACAAAGTGGCAAACTGGATAAAAAAAAGAAGACACTTCTGCTGCCTTTGAGAGACCCATCTCATGTGTAATGATACCAACAGGCTCAAAGTAAATGGATGGAAAAATATTCATCACATAAATGAAAAACAAAAAAGGAGAGGTATTGCTATTCTTGTATCAGATAAAACAGACATTAAACTAACAACAGTAAAAAGAAATACAAAGAATGACATTATATAATGATGGAGTGTTCAATTCAACGAGAAGACTTAACTGTCTTAAATATATATGCAGCCAACATTAGAGCACCCAGATTTTTAGAATAAATATTACTAGACCTAAGAAAAGAGATACACAGCTGTACAATAATCATGGAGGACTTCAACACCCCACCGACAGCAGTAAGCAGATTAGTTAGGCAGATTATTAGGCAGAAAACTAACAATGAAACTGTGGACTCAAACTGGGCTCTTGACCAAACAGACCTAATAGATATCTACAGAATACTCCACCCAGAAACCACAGAATGTACATTTTTCTCATTTGCACATGGAACATTCTCTAAAATTGACCACATGCTCAGTCATAAAATAAGCCTCAATAAATTTTTAAAAATCACAACTATATTAAGTGTCTTCTCGGACCACTGTGGAATAAAATTAGAAGTCAATATCAAGAACTCTCAGAACCACAGAGGTACATGGAAACTAAACAATCTGCTCCTGAAAGACTTTTGTGTAAATAACAGAATTAAGGCGGAAATTTAAAGAAATTCCTGAAACAAATGAAAATAGAAACATAACATACCAAAACGTCTGGGATACAGAAAAAACAATGTTAAGAGGAGAGTTTATAACACTAAATGCCTACATAAAAAGAGAGAAAGATCTCAAATTAACAAGCTAAAATAGCCAAACACACTAGAAAAGAACAAACCAAACCCAAAGCTAGTAGAAGGAAATAACAAAGGTTAGAGAATAAGTTAATGAAATTGGGACCAAAAAAACCATACAAGGAATCAGCAAAATTAAAAAGTTGGTTCTTTGCAAGGACACATAAAAATGATAGATTGCTAGTTAGATTATACAAGAAAAAAGAAGATTCCAATAAGCACAATAAAAAATTACAAATGAGACATTGCAAAGGATACCACTGACATAAAAAAAGATCCTCAGAATATGTTTGTGTGCATAAACTAGAAAACCTAGAGAAAATGGATAAATTCCTGGAAACACACAACCTTCCAAGACTGAATCAGAAAGAAACCAAAAGTCCACTAGGGCAGTGCCAACAGGAAATATGGGATTGAAGCCTCCACACAGTCCCCACTGGGGCACTACCTACAGGAGCTGTGGGAATGGGGCCGCCACCTCGAGATCCCTGAATGGTAGAGCCACGGGAAGCTTTCATCCTGAGCCTAGAAATACCACAGGCACTCAACTCTGATCCAAGACAGCAGCCATGGTGACTGTACACTGCAAAGCCACAGAGGCAGAGCTGCATAAGGTCTTGGGAACCCACCCCTTGCACAAGTGTGCCCTGGATGCGGGACATGAAATCAAGAATTATTTTGGAGCTTGAAGGTTTTATGTTTGCCCTACTGGGTTTCAGATTTGCCTGAGGCCTGTTGCCCCTTTCTTTTGCCCAACTTCGCCATTTGGGAATTGGAATATTTACCCAACACCTGTACTGCATTGAATATTGGAAGCAAATAACTTGGCTTTGATCTTATAGGCTCACAGATGGAGGAACGTACCTTGAAGTTCAGATGAGATTTCGGACTTTTGAGTTGATGCTGAAACAGCTTGAGATTTTTGGGGACTACTGAGAGATGATAATTGTATTGTGCAATATGAGAAGGACATGAGATTTGGTGGGCATAGGTGTGAAATGACATTGTTTGGATGTGTTTACCCTCCAAATCTCTTGTTGAATGTGATCTTAAACGTTGGTGGTGGGCCTAGTGGAAGGTGTTGAATCATGGGGGTGGACTCTTCATAATTTGCTTAGCTCCATCCCCTTGGTGATGAGCAAGTCCTTGCTCTGTTGTGTCACATGAGAGCTGGTTGTTTAAAACAGCCTGCCGTGTTCCCCTTCTTGCTATTCATTTCTCTCTTGACACGTGATACACTGGCCCTCACTTTGCCTTCCTCTGTGATTGGATGCTTTCTGAGGTCTCACCCAAACCTGAGCAGGTGCTGGTCCCATGCTTCTACTGCCTGCACAACTATAAACCAAATAAATATTTTTTCTCTATAAATTTAAAAAAAATCTGAATAAACCAGTAGTTAATTATGAAATTGAATTTGTAATAAAAATATTTATCAGGCAGGAGAAGCCCAGGACTAGATGAATTCACAGCTGAATTTTACCAAGCATACAAAAAAATAGATGGTATCAATCTTACTGCAACCATTCTAAAACATTGAGGAGAAGGAATTCCTCTCTAACTCATTCTACAAAACCAGTATCATCCTGACACTAAAATCTAGCAAGGAAACAACAACAACAAACTACAGGCCAATATCTGATGAACATAGATGCAAAT
This sequence comes from Homo sapiens, assembly GCF_000001405.40. Taxonomy (NCBI): domain Eukaryota; kingdom Metazoa; phylum Chordata; class Mammalia; order Primates; family Hominidae; genus Homo; species Homo sapiens. The sequence continues at coordinate 14,863,850 of NC_000018.10, forward strand.
ATCCTCAACAAAATGCTAGCAAACCAAATCCATCAGCATATCAAAGATGTAATTCATCATGATTACATGGGTTTTATTCCTGGGATGCAAGGACTATTTAACATATGCAAATCAATAAATGTGATTTACCATATAAACAGAATTTAAAACAAAAATCATATGATTATCTCAATAGATGCAGAAAAAAATATTCAATAAAATTCAACATCCTTGCCAGGTGCGGTGGCTCAAACCTGTAATCCCAGCACTTTGGAAGGCAGAGGTGGGCCAATCAACAGAGGTCGGGACCAGCCTGACCAACATGGAGAAACCCCATTTAGAACTAAAAATGCAAAATTAGCTGGGCGTCGTGGTGCATGCCTGTAATCCCAGCTACTCAGGAGGCTGAGTCAAAAGAATGGCTTGAACCGGGGAGGTGGAGGTGGCAGTTTGCCAAGATCACACCACTGCACTCCAGCCTGGGCAACAGAGCAGGACTCCGTCTCAAAAAACCAAACCAAACCAAACCAAACCAAAACAAAAAAAACCCTGAAATCATATCAATTATTTTTTCTGAGCAGAGTGGAAGAGTATTAAAAAATCAGTAACAGGAGGAATTTTTTTCCTGACCGTCTTTGGCTCCCTCTCTCACCACCCTTTTTCTTCCTCCATCTACCCCAAAACTTTTTCCCCACCATTTTTTCCCCACTGTCTTTTTGCAAAGCCTTCTATACTTTACCGCTCACTTCCATTTTCCCCACCCATCTACCCCAAAACTTTTCCCCAACGTCTTTTCTCCCTCTCCCTGGCCAGCCTTTTTTCCACCTCCTGCTCTCATCATCCTCTTTTGCTCCTTCAACTCCCAAAAACATTTCCCTCATCTTTTCCCAAAGCCTTCTCCCCACTCCTGCTGCTCGCCACCCTCTCTTTCCCCTTCCATCTACCCAAAAACTGTTTCCCTATCATCTTTTTCTCCCATCCTCCTTGCCACCCTTTCCCTTCTCCATCTACCAAAAACATTTTCCCGCCGTCTTTTTGCAAAGCCTCTTCTCTCCTCCTGCTCACCACGCTCTTTTAACCCATCTACCTCCCCAATTTTTCCCTGCCACCTTCTCACAAAGCCTTCCCCGCTTCCCGCTCACCCTCTTCTTTCCTCTGTCCTGCTTGCCACCCTCTTTTTGCCTTCCATCTACCCCGAACTATTTTCCCCATCGCCTTTTTCCCAGTCCTCTTTCCCCACTCCCTCTGGCCACACTTTCTATTCTCCTCCCACTTGCCACCCTCTTCTCCCCCTCCATCTACCCAAACACTTTTTACCCACTGTCTTTTCTTTCTACACTTTCTTTTCTGCCTATCGTCTTTTCGCAAAACCTTTTCACTTTCCTCCTCGCCACCCTCTTTATCCTTCTCCCACTGGCCACCCTCTTTTCCCTCTCCATCTACCTAAAAGCTTCTCTCCTCACTGTCTTTTCACAAAACCTTCTCTCCCTCCTGCTTGCCACTCTCTCTTCCCCCTCCCTCTCTGCACCCTCTTTTCTCCTTCCACTTGTCACCCTTTTCCCCCCTCCATCTACTCAAAATCTTTTTACCTACAGTCTTCTTTCCCTTTCTTCTCTCCCCACCGTATTTTTGCAAACCTTCTCTCCTTCCTGCTCATCCCCGTTCCCCACTCACGACCCTCTCTTACCCCCTTCCATCTACCCAAAAACTTTTTCACTACCGTCTTTCTGTGAAACCTTCCGTCCCTCCTGTTCACCACCCTGTTTTTCCCCCTCCATCTACCCCCAGTTTTTTTTTTCCCAACATCTTTTCCTCACCATCTTTATGCAATGCCTTCTCCAGCTCACCATCCTTTTTTCCTTTTGGCACTAACCACCCTCTTTACCCTTTCATCTATCCCAAAACTATTTTCCCTTTCCTACCGCTCCAGCCACACTACAGTCTCTGTCACCACCAACTGCAGGGAGGCCAGCCATGGTGCCACAGGCTACAGCCTCCAGTCTGTCCTGGTCCTCTAAGCCGGGCTCAGAGCAGCTCGGTGAGCAGATACAGAAGAACCTGGAATAGCCTGACTCTTCTTCAGCACCATTTATGTACTGAGGTTATGAATATGCCTTTCCTGGACTACACGTTCCAGGATTGGATAAGAGAAAGCCCGGAGGCCTACTCTGATTGGACTTTGTTATCATGTTCTGATTGGATGAAAGAAAGTCTTAGGACAACCAATCAGAGTATGAAAATAAAGTCCAATCAGAGAAGGCCTAGAGGTTTTCTCTCACCCAATCGGAACATGTAGTCCAGAAACCATGTGCGTAACCCCACGTGCATGCTGAGGAGGCCTCATGCCAGTTTAGGCTCTCCAGTATCTCCAGCCAAGCTACTCTGTTCCCGGCTTAGAGGACCAGGAGAAGGGGGAGCTGGAGGCTGGAGCCTGTAACACTGTGGCTCGTCTCACTCTAGATGGTGGTGGCAACAGAGATGGCAGTGTGGCTGGAGTGTTAGGAGGGTGGCCTGAGTGGTAGGAGGGTGGCCTGAGTGGTAGGAGGGGGGCTGGAGCAGTAAGATCATGGCCGGAGTGGTAGGCGGGAGGCTGGAGCAGTAAGATGGCAGCCGGGGCGGTAGGAGTGCAGCCTGAGCTGTAGGAGGGTGGCTGGCAGCTGGAGCTGCTCTTGACCAGCTAGAGGTCTAGGAGAAGGTGGGGACCGTGCCCAACGCTGGCAGCTGGAGCCTTGGCCACCATGGCTCGCCTGGTTGCGGTTGGTGGTGGCAACGGAGACTGCATCTCTGTTAGAGTAGTAGAAAGATGGCAGGGTAGGTGCGCTCTCTGCAGCTGCACTGCCCGCTTGTGGGGTGGTGGTGGGGTGGGTTGGGTGTGCTTTTGGGGCTGCACTGCCTGCCGCAGGGGGCTAGTGGGTGGCGCTATCGGGCGTTGAATTGCTGGCAGTGGGGCAGGTTCACTGCGCTATCAGGGTCTACACTGCCTAAGGTGGCAGGCGGTTGGAGGCAGGTTGTGTGCGCTGTCGTGCACTACCAGCGGCGGGTGGCAGGGGGTTAGGGGAATTAGCTGCTGCACTGGCCAATGCAGGGGGCAGGTTGGGTTAGCTACCATGAGCTACAATGTCAGCAACAATGCCAACTGGCAGGCAGTCCGGGGGTGCTTTAGGGGAGCTGTCAAATGTTGCATTGTCCGTGGGGGAAAGGGGAAGGTGGGGTCGGGGGGTTGGTTGGGTGCAGTACCCCGGGCGTTCACTGCCTGTGACAGGAGCAGATTGGGGGCGCTATCTGGGGCTGTGCTGCTTGTGGTCCGGGTGGGGGGCGGGTTTGATGGGGCACTATTTGGTGCTGCAACACCCGTGGCAGGGATGGGTTGTGGACACTATCGAGTGTCCACCACGGGTGGTTTGGGGGTGCTATCAGGGTAACACTGCCTGCAGCAGTCTCTGGGTGTGTTGTGGGCACAATCTGGGGGCTAAGCTTGTGGGGAGGGGGGGCAGGTTAGGGGTGGTATGGGGGGAGGCTGCACTGCTGCTGCCAGCAGCAGGTTGTGGAGGTGGCCATGACAGTGGTGGCCTCTGAGGAAGGGGCCCTTCTCCTCTTCCTGGACTCAAGGTTCTAGAGGGTGAACAACTTCTGCTCGTGTTGGAGCGCAGAGGGTGCACAGAGTTTTCACGGCAATCCTCTGACCACCGCAGGGCCTTCGCACCCACCATGGTTACCCGGCCCTTGCCCTCTTGCTCTGTGTTGTGGAGACCATCTGGGAGCCCCAGGCATGGAGTAGTGGGCACCACGGGGGCTCAGGGTCCTGTGGGTGGAGGAGTCAGGAATGGGAACTGGTACTTGGGTGGGGAGGACTGGCTGGGTCTGAGTTTCTGCTATTCTTGCTCCCCAGGGAGCCCCGGGCACTGTGGTGTCTCCAGTCCCCACCCCAGGTCAGGAGGCCAGCTTGGTCTAGGAGGAGAGGCTGGACTTTGGAGGGTGGGTGTGAGAGCCTTCGCCAAAACTGGCCCCAGCCACCCAGTGGCCAGCATGACAAGGTGAGGCTCTAACACTGTCACTTTCTGCATCCTGTTGTAGGTTTTTCTGGCATTGTCTGCCCAGCTGCTCCAAGCCAGGCTGATGAAGGAGGTGTCCCCTGTGGTGAGCTGGAGGTTGGAGCCTGAATATGGCACAGCTCTGTGATTCATCTCCTATGGTTGTGGCAGCCATGGTGATGGAGACGGCAGCTCAACAGGAGCGGTAGGAGGGTACCTGTGGAGGCCAAGTGGTAGGAGCCTTGGAGGGTGGGCAGGTGCATGGAGGGTGACAGCAGCGCTGGTTCCTTTGGCGTCAGTGCTAATGGTGGCAGCAGCAGCAAGTCTAGGGGCCAGGAAGGGGGAGTAGGAGGGCTTTGGGGCCTGGCCCAGCCTGGGATGTGTAAGAAGCTGCTGGTTCTGTACCACAGGCCTCAGTGATGGTGGAGGTGCAGCCAGGGCAAGGAGGAGTCCTCCCCCTTCTCCTGCAGTCTCTGGAGGGTGCCCTCCTTCTGCTGGCATCTGAGCCAGGTGTGAGTGGCAGCATTGTTTTGTTCTTAACAGAATTTAGGGGCTTACGATTTGTGTATCTTTTTGTTTTTGGTTGTGATAAACCTTAAGGGACAAAAGGCTTCTTTCCTGGGTTTTGGTGTTGTGGGATCCCCCCATGTAAGATAAAGGGTGCTTTCTTGGCAAGCTGTGTGTTGGAGGGAGTTCACCAAGGGGAAGAAAGGGAACCTCTCAGGAGGGTGGCTGCTGTGGCAGGTCCCCTGCCTCTGGGCACCCTTTGGGCCACCTAGTTTCCCCTGTGGAAGAGGCGAGGCTTAGACCGGTATCACTTGTATCATCAAAGAGGCATCCTCCTGGACCAGTTGATTTGACCTTCCCACTTCTTCAGCCCACCTGCCCATGGTGTCACCTGGGGAAAGTGGAACCTTAGGCCACAGGGGCAGAGGCTTCTCCGGCAGGCTGATTGCTGTAGCAGATTCTGTTCTGCCTGCTGCTCAGGAGGGCTTCTATGGCCAGGAAGTGATGCTGGGACTCTCCTGTTGGTGTTCTGCTGCCTCCGTGTTGTCTCTGGCTTCTCACGGACTCTCAGATGTGTGAAGGCAAAAAGGTTTCCTGGCTAGTTTGCGTGGTGTGGTTGGGATCACTTTTGCTACATGCCTCTCAGGCACCCTAGTGGGGGAAAAGGGAATTTTAGATTTAAGGAGAATGTGTCTATGTTGGCTGCTTATTGTTAGCAAATTTCTGAACAATTCTATTCTAAATGGTCGCCTCTTGTTGAGTAGACTCCAGCTCCATTGGAGAAGAGATGAGCTTACCTGGGCTGTGTTTTCTTGCTAGCTTGAGGGTTGAAAACACTAGGATTTTGTCTCCTTTTCCAGTTGAGTTAGGGAAGTGACATGCATTGCCACAAAACAATTTCTTCAGTTCTGGAGTCCTTAGACGGTCATCTTACTAGCACCTTCCAGCATTCTCCTTTCAGTGAGATAATAAGGGAGGGTTCCTAATCTAAAAGGAAACATGGATGGTGTTCTTATGTTGTATGACAAGAAATATGAAATAATTCTGAAAAATTTAGTCATTCTTCTTTTAAATTTAGAAACCCGTTTTTTATATTTATAATATTTAAAGCCATTAAAAGTTAAGATGTCATAATTAAAATAATCTTTTAACATTAATTAGCATTTAGCAGATGACCATAATAAATTATTTTTAATTATGCTACATTAATTGCCAATACAAATTTATTTCTGGTTTTTACAAATCTGTTTGCAAAATTTTATTTTGTCATTTATTAAATTTTTGTATAATTAGCTGCTACATTGCAGGTATAGGAACTTCCAGTATTAAGCATGATTACAAATACTTCAGTTTTCATGTCTTACCTTTTATTAATAGTCTAAAAGTTATAAAATGCTTTGTGCATTAGTATTGGTAACATTCTTTAGTATGAACTATCATTTGAAAAATGTTAGGAACATAGCTTTCCCATCTTATTTATTTTCTAGAGGTGGGGTCTCACTCTGTCGCCCAGGCTGGAGTGCAGTGGCCTGACCTTGGCTCACCGCAACCTCTGCCTCCTGGGTTCAAGCTATTTCTCCTGCCTCAGCCTCCTGAGTAGCTGGTATTACAGGCACGGGCCACCACGACCTGCTAAGTTTTGTGTTTTTAGTAGAGATGAGGTTTCACCATATTGATCATGCCGGTCTCGAACTCCTCACCTCAGGTGATCCACCTGCCTCGGCCTCCCAAAGTGTTGGGATTACAGGAGTGAGCCACCACGCGAAGCCTATTTATTTTAGATACAGTGTCTTCCTCTGTTGACCAGGTTGAAGTGCAGGGGTGTAGTCATAGCTCACTGCAGGCTCAGACAATCCTTCTGCCATGGCCTCCCAAAGTGCTGAGATTACAGGCATGGGCCACTGCGCCTGGCCTAAATTGTAATAATTTTACAGTTTGCCTCAAATGGGTGGTGACGTCTGGGCAAGGTTTGCTGGGGGCCTCCCACATGCAGGCAGTCTCTCTGCTGTGCCCTCCACCAGCACTGAGGGTCACCTGCCCACAGGCACCCCTCTCCTTTCCCCTCTGGGGAAGGCCAGAAGTGACTTTTGAGGTTACCCACGGGACTTTGTCTGGAAAAGTGTGTGAAGCTGAAGCTGATGGCCTCAGTGTCCAAAGGGGAACACTTCCCACAGGCGTTTGGAAGCCACAGACCTGACAGTGGGGTCCTGGTCTTGGGGGTCTCAGTCACCTGGCCACCCATTCCTTCCTCACTTAGGCATCCACCTAGTGGGCTGCCTACACCCTCTTCTATCTGTCTGTGCTCAGCCAATCAGGCAAGCCAGGGTTACAGCCCTCCCTGTCCTGGGCCCTGGCTCCATGAAGCACCATGTGCCTTGAAAGACCTCCCTGATTGATCCCATCTCCCCAGTATCTTCTGCTAAGGCAGAGGTTTCCCTTGGCCCCTGCTCTGGTCCGCTTCCTTGGCACAGTTTGTAGCTGTGCCTGACACAGCCCACCTGCCTGGCTTCTGTCCCAAACCTGCAGCCAGGCCATGTGACAGCTGCTGCCCCCGCCCAAACATTCATCCAGCCCCACCCAGAAGAGCCAAACAGGCACTCACACCCTAACCCACACACTCTCACCCGCCCACCCCCACCCACACACCCCTACCCACACACCCTCACCCACACCCCCACCCACACACCCCCACCCACACACCCCCACCCACAGACCCCCACCCTCACCCGCACACCCTCACCCACACACTCTCACCCACACACCCTCACCCACACACCCCCACCCACACACCCCTACCCACACCGGCACACCCTCACCCGCACACCCTCACCTGCCTGGTCCTGCTGCACCCCCACCCCACCCTCCCTCTAAACCTACTGGGTGAGCAGCTTCCCCTACATTCGCTTGCTCCACCTCCTCCTAGAGCTGGGTCACATACCAATTCCCACGCTCTTGGCAGGTTGGTCATGGTCCCAGCAGATCTGAGGACAGGATGGGCACAGGACTGTGTGCAGCATAGAAAGGTCAAGGAGTGCAGCCTCGTACTCTGTGCCAGCTGCCAGCCCCTGGAGCTTACTAGGCTGATGGGGACAAAGAATGCACCAGAGGGGACAGTGACCATTGCCCCTGGGTTAGTCCACCACAGGACTGTTGGGAAGTCCATGGATGTACTGATTGCCCTGTTGCATTGGTCCTCAGGGGCAGATGCTGAGATGGGGTTAGGAGAACAAAGGGGAGGAAGGGAGCTTGGCATGGTGGCTCATGCCTGTAAATCCTAGCACCTGGGGAGGCCCAGGTGGGAGGATTTCTTGAGGCCAGGAGTTTGAGACCAGCCTGGGTAACATAGCAAGACCCTGTCCCTACAAAAAAAAATATTAAAAATTAGCCAGCCATGGTGGCTATATTCCCAGCTACTCGGGAAGCCGAGGTGGGAGGAACAGTGGAGCCTAGGAGTTGTCAATAGAAATCAAGTGTTGGGATATTGAGAATGGCATTACAATGAGGGTCCAGAGTATGTTGTTAATACTAATGGTATAATTTTGAGCTTCTGATATATACACAAACATGTATAGCTACACCAGAGATTGTGCTCAAGATTTGACTTACATTAGCTTGTTTAAGCCTCTCCCACACACTATTTGAGGCAGGTACTGTTGTTATTTTATGGATGACAAAACTGAGAAGCAGAAAATGTAGGAAACTTGCCCAAGATCACACAGCCACGAAGCAGACACCAGAACCAGAGCCCTAGGCTCACAAACTTCACTGCCTTCACTCCTAGGCTCTATGTTATTCTGACCATCTCTCAGCCAGGAAGTCACTTCCTTATGCAAATGACATTGTTGGTGCTGATGGTGAAATATTTCTATTCTCACAACATTGGAAAGAGAGAGCCTGATTTGTTAGCTAAGCCCCAAGGGTTTCTCCTACCATTTCTAAGAGATGGAAACTTTTCTTTGCCCCTAAACTGTGGCAAAGGAAACAGAGAGGAGGAAACAGCCATCAGAAGACTAAAAATCTCTCATCTTTGCAAATAAGAATTCACTCTGAGCTTTTTTGCATGCAGCACTGGGAAGAGACCTTGTTTTTTATTCTATCAACTTATCCATTTAACAATTTATTGAGAACCTGTTGTGTATCCAATGCACTGCTGCCATTGGTTATATAGAAATCAATGCAGCGTGGTCCTTTCCCCAAGCAACTCAGTCTCCTGCTTGGTTCTCTTTTCTGGATCATTTTAATTATGGTTCTCCTTTTAAGTAAAGGACAAACAGAGAAGTAGCACTGAGTCAGATTTTTGCCACTAGTCTTATACAGGTGACCTATTTTTCTTAATGCTCCCCACACATGGAATCTGAGCCAGCTGAGCCCTGAAACCTTCCAGGCTGAGAATGTAGTGTGGCACTTCACATGAGACTGTGCAGGAGTCGATACAACTGGCATGTTAGCCACAGAAACCCTGCCAAGCGTTCGGGAATAGAAGGGGTGGACAGGACCCCACCTACTTTTCCTAATCTCATGGATATCAGGCACCACGCAGCCTTGCCCCTAGAATGGAGACATCTCAGGTAGGAGTTGTCACTGTTCCAAGCTTCCTTTGATGCCGTTTTGATCCTGGATGTAGAGTTGCCACATGGAGAGTGAAACCACCAGAATATATAATTGAAAGAGGAATGGAAAGATGGACAGATACCTAAATAGATACATAAATACTTTGCAGAAGTCTGGGACAGTGGAACGTAGGAAGAGAGCCTCAGATAGAGAGAGAACAGTAGGTTGATTGTGGTAAAGGGAAGACTTCACTTTGTTATTCAGTATACTTATTTATTGAATTGTTTAAACAATATGTATATCTTTATAATTAAAAGATAATTTGGGGCCGGGCATGGTGGCTCACACCTGTAATCCCAGCACTTGGGGAGGCCGAGGTGGGTGGATCACGAGGTCAGAATTTTGAGACCAGCCTGGCCAACATGGTGAAACTCCATCTCTACTAAAAATACAAAAAATTAGCTGGGCCTGGTGGCAGGCACCTGTAATCCCAGCTACTCAGGAGGCTGAGGCAGGAGAATCACTTGAACCTGGGAGGCAGAGGTTGCAGTGAGCCGAGATGGTGCCATTGCACTCCAGCCTGGGTGACAGAGCAAGACTCCGTTTCAAAAAAAAAAAAAAAAAAAAAGAGAGAATTTGGGCTTTAGAATAAGATTGGAGTGTGAATCCTGGCTTCTGCTATTTCTGAGAGCTATGTGACTGTGGGCAAATTGTTTCAGTTCTCTAAACCCCCAATTCCCTTGTTTATGAAATGGAGGTCATGGGGATTGAATGAGATTAAGTCCTGTATAAAATGCTGATGGAGTTCTCAATAACATCAGCTCTTTATTATTAATAGCATTAGGCGAGGCTGAGAGTCAGCTACAGAGGAGACCTCTGTGGGCAGCAGAGAACCACAGAGGAGTTAGCAAGTAGCAGTAGAGCCGAGCGAGGAATGGGTTCCATTTAACTCGGTGTCAAGTGCACTCCTCATTAGGGAGATGTACCTCCCTCCCTTCTTAACCTGCCAGCACTTGTTTTCTCCTGGGGAAACACCCGGCATGGCAAGCTTTGTATGTGGTAAGGTGGCTGAGAACATGAGCCCTGGTGCCATTGATTTCCATTCTAGCTGTGCCACTTACTTGCTTAGTCAGTTTCCTCACCTGTAGAATGGGAATGGTGATTGTGTCTACCTCAAGAATTGTCTCACCAATTAAGTGAGTTAATGCATGGGAAGGGCTTCAGAAGAGCCTGGCACAGAGTAAGTGATTTATAAATATGAGTGCATATTCTATACTCTGGTTCTAGAGTAATCCTAAGACTTTCGAAGACCCTGAACGCTCTTCCTTTTGGAGATTTCAACCCACATTTTATCAAACATACTGAAAGTCACCCACATTTCACGTTAATTATTATTATTATTTGCTGTAGTATGTTTAAAAGAGGTTTTAATGATTTTGCTTGTGGTTGGCTGTGACTAACTCATGGCTATGAGGCCTTAGCAATCGCTGGACTTATTTGAAAACCCTTTCAAAGTGAGTAATTCTAAGGAACAAATTGTTTTTAAGTGTAATACAATTTGTATGAACATCAACCTTAACAATTAATGATGTTTTCATAACATTCCATTATGTAGATATTTAATTAAAGTTTTATCTATTTCGATTTTTCAGTTTTCTCTTTTTGTATTTTGAAGCCAAAAAAAAAAGTGTTTACAGACCTCAGGTTAAGGGAATAGATGAAAGTGGTTAGCAGGGACCAGAAAGACCTCTTGGCCACCCTCCCGAAGTTGTGGTTCAGCAGAATCAGGCAGAGCCTGGGTGTAGAAGGGACCTATAAGCTTATCTATCCCTGTTCTTCCCTTTTATGAATGGAATAACTCATGTACAAGGAGGGGAGTGACTTGCCCAGAAGATAGTATAGTTTGATTCTTCAAATGCAGAGTCCTGAGCCCTTTCAAACTTTTTGTTGTTTGTTTTACGCATTCCAAGATGATATTCAAGGAGTGGTTCTCAAAGCCTAGGGGAGTGACCTCATGAGAGGTCAAGGCCGCTGATGCTGGGAAGACTCATACAGGTCCACTCAGGCTGCACGTGTGTGTAACCCAATGACCAAATCAACAGTGACTTGAACCCGCAGCCAGGGGAGTGTGAGTGAAATATGAGCAGACGTTTTCACCAGCTGTTAAAACCTAGCAGGGGCATGAGGAATCAATCGCAGACTGTGCCTCAGCAAACCTCCATGAGGAAGGCTCAAGGGAGCAGAAGAGCAGTCACAGGTCTCCACTAGCCAAGAGCAAATCCAAGCAGAGCTAAGCGATTTTGTGTCCTCTGGAGCAAGGAAACCCCATAACCTTGCAGACTTTCGGGAATGATGGAAGCTGAGAAGCTACATGGCCATGTCAGGAGGATGATGAGGTTGCCAGGCAGCTGCCATCAAATTAGAGTTCAGAGCGGTCCTGGAAGAGGAGATGCCCCTGCCCAGGACCACACAGGACAGAAGGGCATCTGGACAGTGCCAGGCCATGTTCAGAAAGTGAAGGGGCTTTCCCATAGGAAGGTTATGGGCCCAAACACTTATTGAGCGCTTACTGTGTGGCTGGCATAGTCAATAAGTGTTAAAGGAAGGGAGAGAGAAACTGCGAGGGAAGAGAGGAGGAGGAGCCCCTGGACAGCAGGTGCTGTCACTCTGAGGCTCCTCCATGTCCACAGTTGGTGGCTTCTACCTTACATCTTTATACCTTTGAATTGAATGAAATGTATTTTCTCTTGGTCATTAGGGCACTGGTGCACAATTTCAGTATGACCTTGTTGGTTCGTTCCACCTGGTCATTAAGGTTCTGGGGACTGTTTATGAAGCAGTATCATACAGGAGAAGGAGGCAGGCAAACCTGGTTTTGAATTCCAGCCTAGCCACTATATAGCGGTGGTACCATAGAGACATTCTTTACCCTCTCTGAAAGTGCGTTTCTTCATCTGGGCAATGGGCGCTAAGAATTCTTGCTTCCCAGGGCTATAGCAATGTGCTAACACAATCCCTGCTACATCATAGTAGAGGCCCCATAGAGTGCCTTTTCATGTCCCATGGTCAAGGTGGTCTTGCCTGAAACTAAGACATAGCTCATTGTACTGCTCAAGTCAGAGCAAGCCAAGTGTGCTTTGGACAACTAATGTGCCTAAGCCTGGGTCGTGAGAATCCTAAAAAGGAACAGGGCATGGCTCTGGACCTCAGGGAAACAGAGTAAGATGTGGGGGAGACATAGATCTGGAAAAAAAAAAAGCACCGGGCTTGGGGTCTGGAGTTTGGGTCACCTTCCCAGCTTTGCCACAGATTTGATATGTGTCCTTGATTAAGTCACAGTTCTCTGAATCTCAGTTTCCTCTTCTCTCCTGCAAGGGCAAAACTTGATGGTCTCTAAGATTCATCCTTGTTGAGTAAGTAAGTGCTAAGCTGCATGGCACAAATTTCAGATGCTTCTTCAAGTGTGTCCAAGAAGAAAATTCTCAGAGTCAGTTGGAGTGCCTGGGAGTGGCTAGAAAAAATTAGGGAAATGATGCCAACATTTAGCCACAAGTGATACAACTAACTTAGGATTCTGCTCCTGATCTCATGGGGGTCTTAAATTCTTCCCTCCAGTCCTTCTCTCTTGGGTTGTATTAGAAAGATTACTGAGGTAACCTTAAGCACAGCAGGTTGGATTCAGGTTAGATTTAAGGAAGGACTTCCAAACAAATGCTTTTAAAGGCATGAGCTTGTAAGTGAACAGAGAGAAAGGCATCATCTACTTTTTAAAAGACTTAAGATGCTGGGCACAGGTATATTTTGCATTCCTGAAAACTGTGTGCTAAGAGAATACACTGAATCACTCCTGCTTAAAATGCACCAGAGTGTTCACTATTTAAAGGCATGGGGATACCCTTAAGTTCACCTGTTTATGAATACGAGCTTTGTTTAGCCAGGTTTTTAAGGTGAAGATTCTAGCTGGATCTCTGTCACGCAAAGTTCAAATGTAATCTTCCTCAGAGGCAGAGAAATAAATTCAGTGCATTCTATTCTCAAGGTTGCTTTCAGATCTATGGGTCCAGGAATGCATCAAATACAAGGATGTTTATGATGTTTCTGTATTGGCCAACATTCCTGGCTTCTGTCCCTGGAGGACCTGCAGAGCCAGCAGTCTCTTCTTTGAGTATGTCTCAATCGTGAGCACCAGGCAAAACCACAGGAGCAGTACCATTGTTCTGGAGAGTTTAGTCTGGGGCCTACTGGGAATTGAGTAGAAGTTGGAATCTGATTTGACTTCCACTTACTCTGCACCTTGTACTTTGCAGTAACAAGACTGTCAGTGCCATGGGGCAGGGAGTATTTGTGATTTGCTTCTCATTGCCTGGCATGGAACGGGTACTCAATAAATGATGAATGAATGAATGAATGAATGAATGAATGAATGAATGAATGAAAATGGACACATCAATTCTAGTTGACTTTCTGGCCTTTGGCCAGGTACTTAACTGCTCTGAGCCCCAGTTTCTGCATCCATAGCATGGGGGATAGTAAGAGTTCCTACTTCACAGGGTTGTCATCAGAATTCAATGAGACAAAATATGCAAAGTACTTAGCGCGTTGTGTAGAATGTAATAGGCACTCAACCAATGTTAGCTTAGTACTACTTTTTCTGTGTAAGATTATGTTGTCCTTTCCACAGCCCTGTAAGGAGAAATATACCATCCCCACTGAACAGATGAGAAAACTGAGGCTCAGAGGTGTCAGGTGACTGCCTGAGGTCACAGGTGGGACTGGGGCTCCTTGGTCTGTCCTCTTTCTACTGCGAAACAATCTGGTGAAGCCACAGAAGGACCCATTCCTGCTAATGAGGCACTAAAGGTAATGCACGAGGAACTCTCAGGAATATGTGGAAATTCTCCTGGGTTTTCCAGCTCCTGAGAGAGCCCTGGCTTTGTGGGGTGAAGTCCTTTGATTGCCTCAGGTTCCTGATCTGTTCGTGACCCTGTTAGCCCAAAAGCTGGCAGAGCTCCATGTAAGTGCTACTGTTCTTTTTGTCTCCCTGACTCTCCCCTGCTACCCACCTGCATCGCCTTAGGCATTTATTCTTTGCTTAAACATGCCTATTTGCAGAGACACACTGAGCTAAGCAGCAAAAGTGGAGGTTGCCAGTGAGAAGTCCACTGTGAGGGAATAGGGTGTCAGGAGAGGTCCTACCAGCTCATCTTGACCGAGATGCTCGTGTGCTGTGCTTTTGAAAACACAAGCAGTCAAAGAACATTTAAAATGCACTCAGTGGATACTCTCCCTTTGTGGAACCGAGCAGATAGTAGTGCAGTGTGAAACATGACGTCCATATGGAAATAGAAGGACAAAACGCGGTCTTTGTTAACTTGATTATCTACCCTGTGGTTAGAAATGAGGGCCTGGCTAAATGCAACACAGAGAATCTAGAAACTTTGTTTTGCAAAAAAAGGCACCTACCCCATTTACACTTTACTGCACTATTATTAATAAGGAGCTTATGAGTCTATTAGATACGGTCTTTGCCTTCTTTCTCGATTCTAAGGTTGGGTTTCTGGGGACAGTGAAAAGCCCCAAAGGTGGGAAAAGCAAGAGGAGGGCAAACAGAAAGTCTGCAAACTCCATCATCCGAATAACAGGGCTGATGCTTTAGAGTGTGCTGCTTGAAAATCTGGTGTGCATATTTAAATTATAGCTTTCCACACACAGAAAGGGCAGCCGTTCCCTTTATCCCAGCCCCCTTTCCCTCTTATTATTAAAATAGAGGACAAAAGGGGTGCTTCTTTTCCTGGGTTTCTATTTTGGTATGAGTTTACAAAATGTGGTTTAACTATTGATTTTATAGGAAGAATGTCACATTTTAAGATTCAGTGTTAGGCGTGGAGCTTTCTAAAAGATTGTTAAGTAAGTATTAAGGCCAGGAAAAAGGTGCTGTGCAGCAATGCCCAGCAATAGAGGGCATTCAGGCAGGAGGGGCTGCCATTCATCAGCTACCCAGTCACCCTCTTGCGAGGGCGGAGCTGAGTTCTCCTCTGCACAGACTTCGGAGATATAGCAAAGGCAGAGCAGTGTTCTCCTCAGCACAGACCTGGGCAGGCAGGCAGGCCGGGGGCACCGCGAGGGTGCAGCTGCGTTCTGCTCAGCACAGACCCGGGGGACACCGCGAAGGCAGAGCAGTGTTCTCCTCAGCACAGACCTTGCGGGCACTGCCTCGCTTTGGGACAACTCGGGGCCACATCGACAGTGAATAAAATCCTTCCAGTTTGCAGCCCTGAATAATCAGGGTCAGAGACCAGTTAGAAGGGTTCAGTGTGGAAAACGGGAAACCAAAAGCCCCTCTGAATCCTGCCCACCGAGGTTCTCCCCAGCCAAGGCGAGGCGGCCACAGTGCAAGATCCACACCACAGCCTCGGAAGACAAATGCAGCATTCCTAATGCAGACATGACACCCAAAATATGACACCCCCATCGCTCATATAACAAGCACCTGTAATGCTAATGCACTGCCTCAATACAAAAATATTAATATAAGATCCGCAATCCCCTCGCTGCCGTGCAGTCCTAAGACAGCGATCATAACAATCAACATTGACATAGTCAATACAAATGTAGTAACGAACCTAGGGTTAAGGTTGGTGTTAGGGTTAGGGGTTAGGGGTTAAATTTAGGGTTTAGGGGTTGGAGATAGGAGTTAGGGTCAGAGTTAAGGGTTAGGAGTCAACGTTTAGAGTTAGGGGTTAAGAGAGGTTAGTGGTTTGGGATTAGGGGTTAGGGTGAGGGTGAGGGTTGGGGTTAGGGGTTAGGGTTAAGGGTCCAGGGTTAGGGGTTAGGGGTTAGGGTCAGGGGATAGGGGTCAGGGTCAGGGGTTAAGGGTCAGGGTCAGGGGTCAGGGTCAGGGGTCCCACTTTGTGGGTTGTCTACTCTGCTGACTGTTTCCTTTGCAATGCAGAAGCTCTTTAGTTTAATTAAGTCCCAGCTATTTATCTTTGTTTTTATTGCATTTGCATTTGGGTTCTTGCTCATGAAATCCTTGCCTATACCAATGTCTAGAAGGGTTTATCCAGTGTTATCTTGTAGAATTTTTATGGTTCAGGAATTAGGTTTAAGTTCTTAATCCATCTTGAGTAGATTTTTGTATAAGGTGAGAGATGAGAATCCAGTTTTATTCCCCTACATGTGGCTCGCCAATTATCCCAACATCATGTGTTGAAAAGGGTGTCCTTTCCCCACTTTACGTTTTTGTTTACTTTGTCGAAGATCAGTTGGCTGTAAGTATTTGGGTTAATTTCTGGGTTCTCTCTTCTGTTCCATTGGTCTATGTGCCTATTTTTAAACCAGTACCATGCTGTTTTGCTAACTATGGCCTTATTGTACAGTTTGAAATCAAGTAATGTGATGCCTCCAGGTTTGTTCTTTTTGCTTAGCCTTGGTCTGGCTACATGGCTTTCTTTTGGTTCCATATTAATTTTAGAATTGTTTTTGTAATTCTGTGAAGAATGACGGTGGTATTCAGATGGGGATTGCATTGAATTTGTAGATTGCCTTTAACAGAATGGTAATTTTCACAATATTGGTTCTACCCATCCAAGAGCATGGGGATGCGTTTCCATTTGTTTGTGTCGTCTATGATTTCTTTTCTTTCTTGGTTTTTTTTTTTTTTTTCAGGGGGAGTTTCGCTCTTGTCGCTGAGGTGGGAGTGCAATGGTGTGATCTTGGCTCACTACAACTTCTGCCTACTGGGTTCAAGTGATTCTCCTGCCTCAGCTTCCCGAGTAGCTGGGATTATAGGCATGCACCACCGTGCTTGGCTCCCTCTATGATTTCTTTCAGCATTGTTTTGTAATTTTCACTGTAGAGGTCTTTTGATTCCTTTGCTAGGTATATTCCTCAGTTTTGTTGTTTTATTTTTGTTTGTTTTTTGCAGCTATTGTAAAAGGGATTGAGTTCTTGATGTGATTCTCTGCTTGGTAGCTGTTGATGTATAGAAGAGCTACTGATTTGTGTCCATTAATCTTGTATCTGGAAACTTTGCTGAATTCTTTTATCAGTTCTAGGAGCTTTCTAGAGGAGTCCGTAGGGTTCTCAAGGAGAAAGGTCATATCGTCAGCAACCAGTGACAGTTTGACTTCCTCTTTACCGATTTGGATTTCCTCTATTTCCTTCTTTTGTCTGATTGCTCTGGCTAGGACTTCCAGTACTATGTTGAAGAGGAGTGGTGAGAGTAGGTTCCTCATCTTGCTCCAGTTCTCAAAGGGAATGCTTTCACCTTTTCCCCATTCAGTATTATGTTGGCTGTGGGTTTGTCCTAGATGGCTTTTATTACATTAAGGTATGTCCCTTGTATGCCTATTTTGCTGAGAGCTTTAATCATAAAGCAATGCTAGATTTTGTCAAATGCTTTTTCTGCATCTGTTGATATAATCGTGTGAGTTTTTTTAATTCTGTTTATTTGGTGTATCACATTTATTGACTTGCATATGTTAAACCATTCCTGTATCATTGGTATGAAACACACTTGATCATGGTGGATTATCTTTTTGATATGTTGTTGGATTCAGTTAGATAGTATTTTGTTAGGGATTTTGGCTTCTGTGTTCATCAAGGATATTGGTCTGTAGTTTTCTTTTTTGGTTATGTTCTTTCATGGTTTTGGTACTAGGGTGACGCTGGCTTCATAGAATGAATCGGGGAGGGTTTCTTCTTTCTCTGTCTTGTGGAATAGTGTGAAAGGATTGGTATCATTTCTTCTTTGAATGAAAGAAGACATTCTTTGAATGTCTGGTAGAATTCTGCTGTGAATCTGTCTGGTCCTCGGCTTTTTTTTTTGGAAATTTTAAAATTACCATTTCAATCTTGCTGCTTGATTTATTGGTCTGCTTGGGGTATCTAATTCTTCCTGATTTAAGTTAGGAGGGTTGTATTTTTCCAGCAGTTTATCCAACTCTTCTAGGTTTTCTAGTTTATGTGCCAAAAGGTGTTCATAGTACCCTTGAATAACCTTTAATATTTCAGTGGTGTCAGTTGTAATATCCCCTGTTTCATTTCTTAGTGAGGTTATTTGGATTTTCTCTCTTCTTTTCTTGGTTAATCTTGCTAATGGTCTATCGATTTTATTTATCTTTTCAAATAACCAACTTTTTGCTTTATTTATGTTTTGTATTTGTTGTTGTTGTTCTTGTGTCAATTTCATTTAGTTCTGCTCTGATCTTGGTTATTTCCTTTGTTTGCTGGGATTGGGTTTGGCTTGTTCCTGCTTCTCTGGTTCCCTGAGATGTGAACTTAGATTGTCTGTTTGTGCTCTTTCAGACTTTTTGACATCAGTGTTTAGGGCTACAAACTTTCCTCTTAGCACTGCCTTTGCTGTATCCCAGAGGTCTTGATAGGTTGTGTCATCCAGTTCGAAGAAATTTTTTACATTTCCATCGTGATTTCGTTTTTCACCCAATGCTCATTCAGGAGCAGGTTATTTAAATTCCATGTATTTGCATGGTTTTGAAGATTCCTTTTGGAGTTGATTTTCAGTTTTGTTCCACTGTGATCTGAGAGAGTGCGTGATACAATTTCAATTTTCTTCAATTTACTGAGACTTGTTTTATGGCCTATCATATGGTCTATCTTAGAGAAAATTCCATGTGCTGTTGAATAGAATGTGTATTCTGTGGTTGTTGGATGAAATGTTCTGTATATATCTGTTAAGTCCATTTGTTCCAAAGTATAGTTTAAATCCAGTGTTTCTTTGTTGACTTTCTGTCTTGATGATCTGTCTAGTGCTGTCAGTGGAGTATTGAAGTCCCCCACTATCATTGTGTTTCTGTCTATCTCATTTCTTATGTCTACTAGTAATTGTTTTATAAATTTGGGAGCTCCAGTGTTAGGTCCATGTATGTTTAGGATTGTCATATTTTTCTGTTGGATGAGACCTTTACCATTATATACTGCCTGTCTTTGTCTCTTTTAGCTACTGTTGCTTTAAAGTTTGTTTTGTCTCATATGAGAATAGCTACTGCTGCTCGCTTTTGGTGTCCATTTGCATGAAATGCTTTTTTCTATTCCATAATCATTCTGATGCAAAAACAATTGTAACTCTCTTTCTAGTGCCTACATTTCCTGTGAGCCCCAGTTGTGCATAGCAGAAAATACGGAGGCATCTAGGAAAACCTAGGGGCAGGAAGGGCTGGGAGGGAATAAGCCCTTTCAAGGTGTTTAAAGAAGAGACAAAGATGAAGAAGCAGGCATAGTTTCTGAAGAGGTTTTTTGGTTTTTGTTGTTGTTTGCATTTACCTAATTAGTTCTCAACTACAGAGGCACATTAGAATCTTCTGGGGAATTTTTAAAATACCACTGCATGGGCCACCTGTCATATACACTGATGTAATTGGCCTGATTTGGGGCCTAGGTGTCTCTCTCTCTCTCTGTCTCTCTCTCTCTTTCTCTCTCTCTGTCTGTCTGTCTCTCTCTCTCTCTCTCTCTCTCTCTCTCTATATATATATATATATATATATATATCTATATATATCTCCTGTTCTGTATATATCTATATATCTATAGATATATACGGAACAGGGGATACCAGTGTGTACCTACCATTGAAATCAATTGTTTTCAAGTCTTTTTAGGTCTTATTCTCAGACGGTCTTGGGTAAATGGTGGCTGATTGCCTTCAGCATCTAGAACAAAACACTCTATGGCCCAGAGGAATTCCAGCTGGAATCTATGATCTTATTCTCTTGAGGTAGGGCAGCCAAAGGGAGGATTATCTTCATGTTGAGTCTGATGGCAGGGTAATTTGCTTCATGTGGAGGCAAAGGCATATTGTTAGTTTTCCAGGTACATTGGGAGTTCTAAGTAGCCACATCTCAGGCTAATAGGAAGTCCAGATTGGTTCAAACCTTTTCTTAATTATCCTGTGTAGGAATGGACCATGCAGTATCCTTCAAGGAAGAATCAAGAATGTTTCCACAGAGAATATACATATTTCATCTCTTTCTCTGCTGAATGGATCCCCACTGAAAGCCATGAATTTCTCTTATTAGACCCTGTAGAATCCCAGTTTATGGCAGTGACATTAAAAACATCTAGTTTATGACTTGGATTAGGCAGCCTGTAAAATGGCTTCCAGTGATCCCTGCTCTCTGGTATGTATGCCTTTGTATAATACCCTCCTCATGAGTGTAGGCAGAGGTAACATCACTTTTGAAACTAGGTTATATATATTCAAACAAACAAACAAACCTGTGGCTTCCATTTTGGGTACTTTATCTCACACTCTGATTTCTTGCTTCGTGGGAAACAGACTGTAATATTGTAAGCAGTGCTATGGAGAGGTCCATGTGGTAAGGAAGTGATAGGTCCTGATAACAGCCAGTGAGGATCTAAGGTGGATCCCTTTCTGAGTTGAATATTGAGATAGATGACTACAGCCCTGGCTACACCTTGATTGCACCTCATGAGGAATTCTGAACAAAAACACTGTGCTGAACTGTGTCCAGGCTCATGAGCCACATAAACTATGAGAAAACAAATATTTGTTTCAAGCCATTAAGTTTTAATTTGTTACACAGCAATAGATAACTACCACATGGAAGGATTCAATAAGAGAAGGGTTTTTCATAAGTGAAATGTTATTTTCATCTCACATTTCAATTATTAGAATATAAATGAAAGAAAATAAATTTGGATAGGCTCTCATAAATTCAATGATAAGAATTTGGAAAATGCAACCACATGAAAACCAGGAAGTAAAAGGAAAACATAAGAGACATCTTCCCAGATGAGAGTAAATATCTGGTTCCCTGAGAAGTGTAGTTTGAGAATGGAGAAATCAGATGTTACTGGAAAGAGGCTAGGACTATATTATTTCTTGCTTCCTGTCAAGTCTTTTCAACTCAAGAGAAAGTAAATTTTCTTGACAAACCATTCAAAATTAAAGGATAGGTGGGAGTATATGTGTCCCTGAAGGAACAAGTGACCTTCATTGAAAGCAGCAGCTTGGTTGAATAAATACTGTACAGAAGTGGAATAAAGAGTAGCTGACAACAATGCTCAAATAGTTACACATGAAGTTTTAATGAGCTATTTCATATTAAGATACATATTGAGAATTCAAACCAGAGAGACCAGTTAATAGATATTTTCCCAACTCTGTTTTAAGGTGATCATAGAAATGATACCCACAAGTTAGTCACAGTGGCCTGCATCCATTTCGATATATCAGTGATGTATTCTGATTGGCCAGTAATCACCTATACTGACTGTTAAATATTTTAGTTATCACTCCTATGCATGGTGAATTTGAGTTCTGGTTTTCTTTAGCCTTGTGTTATTTATGTGTAAAGTTGGATTATGGGAGGCAAAGACTTTCTCATGTATCATTCATGCTCAAGTAAATGGCAGTGGGGTAGGGATGTAAATGAAACTGCATGATAAGCCCTGCAAGTCATTCTGAGGTATCAATTTTGCTTACTGGTGTTTAATTGCAGTCATTGTCATATTAATGCAACCACTAATACATTATGGAGTAAGATGCAAAAATCACATGAGTCTTAAGAGAAAAGAAATGTGCTGTCTGTGGTGGGCCCCCTTTGCATTATTCTCTAACTTCATATTTTATACCTCTACTATTAGAGAAATTTCAGTAGAAAATAGTGAGGGGCACCGTTTTAGAGTTTTTGTTGTTATAGGAATGCTTTTACTACAGCTAGGTCCCCTCGTACATCTTTATGTTCTTTGGCAGTCTAGAGAACCAGAAGAGCAAACTCTATGAGATAGAAACCCTAAGAATTTACCTCCAGCATCCCTTCTCTTCTGTCATTAAATTGAATTTGTAGCCAACTCAAAGGCTGACAACTTATACTATGGTTTTTATATTTTTATATTATAATTTATATTATGGCTTATGTCAAAATGTTTTGTTCACTGCTTTGAAAGTATCTTCTGTTTACTTTTGTTATCATTTCATATTTTAATTTTTTCCTTTCTAATTGTTAGAAACTCATGTATTTAATTTTATCTTTCAAAGAACATTTTTAAAAGGCTTACTCTGTTTATATGTATATTTTGCACAAAGCTTTCCATTCATAAACAAAAGGTGAATAGGAATCTGAATTGAAAACTACGTAATTTCTTTTCTCCTTTTTGTCAAATCATCACAGTATAGATTAGTCATTCTGTATGAAGTGCATTGCCAAGACATAGTCACATTTGTGTACAAATGTGAAGGCTATATCTCAATAGAAATCAAAAACAAAAAAATACAGAAGACCATTAGCTAATAATACTAATGATCTAGTGTAGAAAGCATGTGCCAACTGATCTAGACTCTTGTGACAGTTGTATATCTACCCAGCTGCATGACCTTAGGTTTATCAAAATCTTGATCTCCCAGACTACAAATGATTAAGAGGGATGGAGGCCCCTTACAGTTTTAAGATTCTAGAATTCTAAGTGTGTGTAACTGGAGCAAATTTTATTTTCTAAAATTTGCATAATAAATTTAAAAATAGGAGAAAAACAAATAATTAAGGTACATATTTCTAGAAGTCTTTTTTAGGTGATTTATACTACCAGGAATGGATTTACTACTAAATATTGGTTTTGCCTAATTCAGCATTGCTATGTAATTGGTATAACTCCATAGACAAAGAGCATTTGGTCCTAACATAGCTTGTATTTTATATGTATATACACTATTTCTATTTAAGTTTCTGTGTAGTCATGTTTTATCCTTTCAAAATGAAGATTAGTTTTATTATGTATTTTCTTTTGTCTATAAACATTCAATGAATTCACACTGAAAACTGATTATGAACAGATAGTCTGGTAGGCACTTAAGGAAACACATATGAAAGACTAAGTCCCCCTCTGCCCTCAATATGCTCACAAGACTACAGTTACTGAATCCTGATCTCAAAACCTAGCTAGCAAAGTCCTTGAATCAGGTGATAGTTCAGAATACCATTCATGCTCTCTCCCAGGAGTATATCTGAGGAAGGACAGTTCTTTCTAGTTTTCTACATCCTGGTCGTATAGGTCAACCACAGGAAAATTAAATGAATCTATTGTTTTGTTGACCTAGCCTTTTCATATAACTCTCATCTATAAATGTATTACCAAATACTATTTATGTAAAGGGACTTGAATGACAAATATTTTGAAATTAAAACCACAATGGTTAGCAAACCTTTTAAATTAGATAAATGTTGACCTCCCATTGGTGAACATATAAAGTGCTACCAAGATCTGCCTATGAAAGACTTTGGAAGTGGAAATTCATCTTTGTAATAATCCTGTTATCTGTAGGCTGACCTCAAGCCTTCATGACATTCAGGGCCCCTTATTCCTAACTGTATCTTCTATGTTGGGCATTGTGCTCTTGCATCTAACAGGAAAACAACTTTCAGTGTTGCCACCTTTTGAACAGGAGAGATTTCTAAAGATTAGAAAATTACTAAATTTAAATATACATAGTTCTAAAATATGATACTTTTCTACCCATGCATTCAAATATATTCTAACTTTAAAATCCTGTAAATATTTATATTTGTAATGATTTTATTTATCTGATCCAATTAATTGGCAAGAATATGTGGTGAAAGATTTTTTACATATTTGTATTGTTCTGTGTGAGACATCTATTGTAAGCATTGCTTCAGGCTCTCATTTTTGTCTGCCTTCCAGGATTTGCTGGCCCAAGTGCTGTGTGCTAGACTTAGTGTCAGTCACAAAGGGGAAGGAAACTTGCAGTTGAGCCAGACAGTTTTGTTATTCCTTTAAAATTAAAAGCATATGAAACAGATACAGCTTATTAAAGTTTTTTAATAAATAAAATAAACTTAAATAACAAAACAATAAAATTCAAAAACAACTTAAAATAGAGTTTAATGCTGTAACCGTAGGAAAAAAGCATGATTATTTGTGGGAAGAACATTATTAAAGGCCATATTCCCAAATATGAATTATACAAAGATAGATTATGTTACTTGAAAAAAACTTAAAGATTTCTCAATTTTACTTTGAGGAATTATAAAATGTTATTTTGTGGCAAGTAAGATGAAGTACAGTATTATCATCAATCACTGTTGCTATCTTATATACAAGATTTTTGGAAACATCCTTTTAGCAATACCTTTTCCACTTGAGCAGCATTAGAAATTTTGTTCTTGTTAATAGGTATAAGCATGTTCTAATCCTGTACTTTTGTTAAATTATCTATTTTATTGACTTTCATAATAGATTTTTTTGAGAATATTCTTTTTTTCTGATTAGAGTTTAAGTAGATTATAATTTTTCACTAGAAAGCATTTAAAATGCTGCTCATTTTCCAAAGTTAGTGTGGCTTGATTATCTGACAAATCCTGCCAGCAGCCTGTAGGTCTGATATACCTTATGTAACATCATCTGCATTATTATTATTATAGCAGCCATTTTATAAGCAGATAGGAATGTTTAAATAATCATTATCAGGTAATCAAATGTAACATACTCTTAAGGGTAAATTAATTTAAAAAAATCACTATTACTAACATCATGATTGTACAACCAGTTTTACAATTTTGTACAACCTTTAGTTACTAAATCTGATTTTTGTGTATACTTTTCAAATCTTTCTTTAATGCAGTGTCTTAAAACAAACATAAATGCACAAGTCCAGCTTGATCAGTTTTTCAGTAGTTTTCCAGCCTTTCTTGATTACTAAAAAATAAAAGGAAAGAAAATTTTGAGAAGAAAACAGTCCACTTAAAGAAATCTCCCTGCTGGAACTGGTTCTTTATATACCATATACAATTAAGTTATTGCCATAGGAAGAACGTGGGCTGTTTTTGTTCTTTCTTCATTTTTTTTCCTCTTAGAGGAATCCCCTTTTGATTTAAGGCAACAAACATTTCCCCTCCATTGTGTGTCCATTTAGCTGAGGCATATGTGTTGTAATGGTTTTCCAGAATTAGTCCTTTGAAGTTACAATCTTCATTGCATTCTTTCTGTTAAAACAAACAAACAAACAAACAAACATGTTCCAAATGATTTTTAGAGAGGCTCAATTAAACGAAGAGTAAGCAGGTAATATTTGTTAGAATTGAAACATACACAACTTTTTTTAACCCTCAGATTGAGCAGGCCTAATGTGGATTGTTAGCTATACTTATGTAGTATATTTGCATAAAAAGGTATCTTAAATTTGAAATAAAAACACCACATAATACACAGCTAGTTATGAAATATGTGTAGCTTTTTGGAAGTTCATGTCAACTATTCTTTAAAATTAGGACCTATTTCCCCCTAAGTAACAGGCCTCATATTACTATTCCCATATCACTCATTCTTTAACCACTGGAAATTTGGTATAACTAGCAGAACATCTGCCTCCCTCAGGTGAGAGACTTGTTTCATAACTTTTCTTTATTTACTTCTACATTGTCTTCAATGGTAATGGAAGATACAAGGTTAATTTGTTTGTTCATCCATGCAACCATTTGTTCATTCAATTAAACCTGTATCATTATATAATTAGCCTGTTCCAGGCATTATACTGAGCTCTGGGAATACAAAGGGAAAGCCAATTATATTTTATTACAGTGGGATGAACTGTTACATATTTTGCATTGTAGTGAAGTGGGAACAATGTGAATAATTACAGTTCAAAGCCCATGATTGTGAGATTGATGTTGATGAATGAACTAAACATTTCAAGATTTTTTCCCAAGAATTTTCATGTCAGCAATGTGCAAATTGGGTGAACTTTAACAAAAAGAGCTTTAATACTGGCAAATGGAAATTTTGGATTTTAAATATCTAAAATGCACATGGAATTTTAGAGCTGGAAGGATCCTTAGAGGTCAGCTGATTCAACTCATTTTACAGATGAAGAAACCAAAATCCAAAGAACAAGCCATTTGTCCAAAGTCACACAGAAAACATTTTTTCTTAACGTTTGAGTATAAAGTGTTTTAATAAAATCATTATATTACACAGTTGGAGATAAATTAAGTCCATTTTTCCTTTTCAGAATGGTGAGATATTTCGACAAAAATGAGTTTTAAAAATTAAGCCTAAGCGATCAATTATCAATACCTTTGCGTAGAGTTTTCCTTCCTCATTCATTGCAAGATAGAATTCACTTTCCACCCCTTTGATTGCCACAATCCCAACTGCCACTGTCCTGATTTCCATGATATATTCAAGGAATCACAGAAAGACATGTCAGGTATTCGTTCAGCTTTGCCAATGATCCATGAATGGCCATTTGTTCTTATTTCTGTTTTAATCGGAAGTTTTTAAAATTTTTAATGTGATTATTTACACAGCCCAAGACTCCGACCCACAACACATACACACAAACACCAGAATAGTCATTATATAAGGGAAGTGCAAACTGACGGTTTTTTATTTTGTAGAAAATATGTCTGTATCAAATAAATAGTTACATATTTGAGTTCAGCTTTTTATTCTCTAGAATTAAATTTCTAATTTACTATAATAATAATAGCTAATGTTTATTGAACTCATACCACATGCCAAGGATTATTGCATTGCTCTTATGTATTAACTCATTTACTCATAACCACAGATTGAGGCAGGTAGTCTTGTTATCCCAGTTTTACAGATCAGGAAACTGAAGCACAGAGAAACTAAGAAATTTGCCCAAATTCTTATACCTGAGAAGTAGCAGAACTGGAATTTGAACCCAGACATTCTGGCTCTTAATCATTATATAATTACTTTTCTATTTGGATAAACTTTATCTTAAAAATTATGGCTAACAGAATAGCTCTTGAATGTACTGAAAGTGAAGAAAATTCTAATTAAAGCAATTGTAAATGATGGTAAACAGAGCCTACTACCTTAAAAAAAGAGATTGTTTTAAACTGATAGTATTTTGATACATGAAAAGACCATTTAAAACAAAATTATGAATCCGGTTTATATAATACTTCATAACTTTATACCTTTGTAATTAACTTTTAAATCTTTGTTGAAATAGTATTTACAAAACATGTTTGCATAAGAATGGTAACTTACTATTTTCCTTTATTACATATATCTTCCTTAAATCCTGTATTTTAATGACACACTAAATAAAGTAAAATCTCAAGAAATTTATTAAAATGATGTAAGAATTAAAATTTTAGCGTACTTTTATGCAATTTGCTATTAATTACATTTTCTACATGAAGGTATAGTGCTGAGACATTCTTTTACCTATGTCTAACACAGTGCAAAGAAAAGTCGAAGTGTCAATTATCTGTGTGATTGGGCCTTCAGAAGCTATTTTCTAAAATATTGACTTAAAGAAAAAACTAATTGTTTTGCCCCATACCTTCACTTCATTCTCTTATTTATTTTTTTGACTTCATTTTTGCTACCTGGATAATAAAATTTCTATTCATGTCATTGGGATTTAATGTAGCCCAGCTAATATTTCTCATTTGCCTCACATATATGTTGCATATAAAGCCCTGTTCCCAATATACTATACTTAACACTAGTCAGAGCTCATCCAGTTGAGAGTTTCACAGCTACTCATCCAGAAATTGGGTTTAAGAAAATGTAAATGAATGGATATTAATCTTTTTATATATTTATTAAGCATTATCACAATGCATACAACCCTACTGTGGTTTTAGGACACAAATTAAGAAAAACAGCCCTGGTTTCTGACACCAGAAGTTAAAACCTAATAGAAACAGCAAACACGTCCATATATTTTGGAGAATTTTGAAGAACACAGGCCTGAATAGGCTAGAGAAAATTTTAATAATTGCTTACAAGCACATGAAGGATTATGATGTTGATGCATTCATGTAATGTTCAACAGATCTTCACTGAGAGCCAATTCTATGCTAGGCTCAATTCACAGACAAGCCTTGCCCTTTTAGAGCACTCTATTTGGTAACTACAGCTTCATTGCATTAAAGGAAGCACAAAGGGAAATAACATGCAGAAGAATACTATTAGGTTAAATTTGTACTAATACAATGAAAAATACTGAATAAATTCATTGATTCAGCATATTTGCAATACCTCCAAAATGGAATAAATGTATCAGTTAGGTTGGTGCAAAAGTAATTGTGGCTTTTGCCATTACTTTTATGACAAAAACTGTAATTACCTTTGCACCAAACTAATATTTAAAAGACAAATGGAGTAGTTGGTTTCTAAAGGTCTTAGCATTGTAAAATATCATTAAGAAGTCAATATTTTCTTTTCCTTCAAGTCTCTTTACTCCTGCCATTCCTCCCTTTATTTAATATATTTTCTTTTAGATAAAAAGAGAATGCTGATGCACAAGCTTAGAGTGTCTTTCATGATCAGTTATTAGGGACTGGAATCTGTAATATTTGCTGGCTTTTCTTTTACAGAACAATTGTAAAACATAAATGTTGACTGATAGAGTTATTATTAATTATGATAGGCAGACATCTTCCCTTTTTGGTCCTGTCATGACAATAAGTTCATATTGTCCCACTCCCAAAACATTTTCCTCTATCCCCTGCCTGTCTATTGCCCACTATTTCTTTACTGCACTTTACAAGAGGTGATGGCTGGATGTGGTAGCTCACACCTGTAATCCCAGCACTTTGGGAGGCTGAGTCAGGCAGATCACTTGAGGTCAGGAGTTCAATACTAACCTGGCCAACATGGCGAAACCCCGTTTCTACTAAAAATACAAAAAATTATCCGGGTGTGGTGGTGGGTGCCTGTAATCCCAGATACTCAGGAGGCTGAGGCAGGAGACTTGCTTGAACCCAGAAGGTGGAGGCTGCAGTGAGCCAAAACGGTGCCACTGCCCTCTAGCCTAGGCAACAGAGTGAGACTCTGTTTCACCAAAAAAAAAAAAAAAAAAAAAAAAAATTAGTTGGGCATGGTGGTGAATTCCTATAATTCTAGCTACTTGAGAGGCTGAGGCAGGAGAATCACTTGAACTTGGGAGGCAGAGGTTGCAATGAGCCAAGGTCACACCACAGCACTCCAGTCAGGGTGGAGTGAGGCTCTGTCTCAAAATAATAGATAAATAAATAAATAAAAATAAGGTGGTGAACATTTTTAATCTTATCCCTCCACATATTAGGGTTAAGGATACCAAAAATTCTTTGTAAAGATTCTACGTTTAGCTGAGATGAGAATATACTTATATTCTTAATTGCTTGACATATTTAAAAAACACCATTCACACTGGGAAATAACATATCTAAAAGACAATTGCTTGGGGAGAGCATTAAGCAGTATTGGCAGAATCAGTACCTTATCAACCCTATTTTCTAGTCTATTTTGTTCCATATCCTACGACCCTCTTTTATTCAAGAAAAGCTCAAGAATAAAGCAATTAACATTATCACTCTTTTGTTCAGTTGCAGTGTGGGGAGTGATGTTCCTTTCAATAGGCACAAATATTTATAGAAGTGTTAACTATGGGCTGGGCGCAGTGGCTCACGCCTGTAATCCCAGCACTTTGGGAGGCCAACGCAGGCGGATCACCTGAGGTCAGGAGTTCAAGACCAGCCTGGCAAATATGGTGAAACCCCATCTCTACTAAAAATACAAAAATTAGCCAGGCATGATGGTGGCTGTCTGTAATCCCAGTTACTCGGGAGGCTGAGTCAGGAGAATCATTTGAACCTGGGATGCGGAGGTTGCAGTGAGCCGAGATTTCACCATTGCACTCCAGCCTGGACAACAAGAGCTAGACTCCATCTCACAAAAAAAAAAAAAAGTATTAACTATGAAATCCTACCCTCCAAATCAGAAGCCACGAAGTTGCTCAGAAAGCATAATAGAAAAATATGTAATATGCAGATATTAAGTTAGTTAACAATATAAGTTAATTATACTTGGTCTTTTTGTCTACAGTGTATCCGTTGCCTCACATAAAACAAATAGAAGAGGCTGTCTTTCTTTGTGGATTTCCATTTGTGCTTAAGAGAAGTTTGTTCACATAAGTAGCACTCAGTAAATTTATTCCCAAAGATTTAAAGCATATTACATAGATGCATCAAATTGTTAACATAATGTCCATGATAGCATAATGGTAGAGTTCAAAAATATAAATAAAAGAGAGAGAGAGAATCAGCTCTTGCAATAGAACATGAAAAACCAGGCAATATGTCAAGCACATTGACCATTTAGCCTTGCCAGCAATATTGTCAACAATAGCATAAATTTATTATTTAGGATGTCACCCTTACACACTAGAGACTATGCCCTAAATAGCTTCCCTATTGTTTATCGTCTGGTTCAATAATTCATGAATTTATCTAAACTTTTTTTTCTGTTTATTATTTAAACCTGTATCACACTTGGAATGAAAAGTGGGGAACTTTGATCTAAATTGCAATTACTTTTTTAAAAAATTATCTGAAATCTTTCAGAATTTTAGGTGTCCCTCTAATCTTGTATTTCAGAAATTGATACTAATTCTTTTTTAATTACCAATAGCTTTGTGATTTTAAAGTGCTTTAACTTTTCTGTTTTAAAAATTACTTTTTAGTGTCTCACTACACAGAATCCATGCCCACCAATCTCAGCATCATTAATATTTCTTTTTCCTGAAACTGTTAAAGCTTTATGTTTAAAGTTTTGAAGGGGTATATATTAATATGGCTGTGCTAGCATGATAACTAAATATTATTTTCAAGTTGCAAAAAAAAGTGGAGGCAGTGGTTTGATATTTAGCCAATCAGAACATTTAATCTTGTCCTTGATCAAGTATACCCTCTTCGGCATGTTAAAACTAAGAACTAGTATCAACAAAGAAAAAAACATTTAAATTTAAATACATTTTATGATTTTCTGTCAAGCCTGGATTGTTGAGTGGGAAATCTTAACCATTATATATTTATATTATGTTTAAGGCTATAGATTCCATTCATTTTACGTCACTAAAATACACCAACATATACATATATGCAAAAAATATATCAATATATCCAACATATACAAAAAACACTGAAAACACAACAATAAGAAAAAAACCTAGTTAAAAAGTGGGCAAAATCTGGACACATCACTAAAGATACACAAAGGGCAAATAAGCAGATGAAAAGATGCTCAATATCATAGATCATCAAGGAATTACAACATGGATGCAGCCGGAGGCCATTATCCTAAGCAAATTAACACAGGAACAGAAAACTAACTACTGCATGTTTTCACTTATAAGTGGGAGCTAAACACTGGGTACTTAGGGACATAAAGATGGCAACAACTGACACTGGGGACTACTGGCGGGTAGTAGATGAGGGAAGGGTTGAAAAACCATTAGGTACTATGCTCAGTACCTGGGTGATGGGAGCAATCATACCTCAAACCTCAGTATCACACAATATACCCAGGTAAAGACCTGCACATGTACCCCCTGAATCTAAAATAAAAGTTGAAATTATTTAAAAAGGAATCGCAAATTAAAACAACAATGAGATACCTCTATACAACTATTAGCATGACTAAACTCCAGAAAACTGACAGTGCTGTACGCTGGCAAGGATGCAAAGCAACCAAAACTCTTTCATTACTAGTGGGAATGCAAAATGGTGCAGTCACATGGGAAGACAATTTGGCAGTTTCTTAAAAACTGAATATGCTATATAATCCAGCAGTCATGCCCCCAGGTATTTGCCCAATTGAATTGAAAACTTATGTCCACACAAAAACCTGAACATGACTATTTATAGAAGCTTTATTCGTATCATCAAAAACCAGATGCAACCAACATATCCAATAGGTAAATGGATAAACAAACTATGGTACACGTATACATTGGAATATTATTTAGCAATAAAAAGGTATTGAGCTGTGAAGCCACAAAAAGACAAGGGGAACCTTAAGTACATATTGCTAAGTGAAAGAAACCAGTCTGAAAAAGCCACATACTGTATGATTCCAGCCATATGACATTCTGGCAAAGGCAAAACTTTAGAGATAGTAAGATCAGTGGTTGCAAGGGCCTTGAGGAGAGGAGAAAAAGGATGAAAAGCTGAATCACAGGGGATTTTTAAATCAGTGAAACTATTCTGCTTAATACTGTAATAGTGGATACACGATATACATTTGTCAGAACTCATAGAACTATACAAAGCAAAGCGTGGACCTTAGTATAAACTGATGGTATAAATAAATATTGGCTCATCTATTGTGATAAATGTGCCACATTAATGCTAGATATTTATAATGGAGGAACTGTGGGGGGAAATGGAGATTGTTTATGGGACTCTATTATCTGCTCATTTTTTTTTTTTTTTGAGGCACTCTCACTCTGTCGCCCAGGCTGGAGTGCAGTGGCGTGATCTCGGTTCACTGCAAGCTCCGCCTCCCAGGTTTGTGCCATTTCCCTGCCTCAGCCTCCCGAATAGCTGGGACTACAGGCACCCGCCACCACGCCCAGCTACTTTTTTGTATTTTTAGTAGAGACGAGGTTTCACCGTGTTAGCCAGGATGGTCTCGATCTCCTGACCTTGTGATCTGCCCACCTCGGCCTCCCAAAGTGCTGGGATTATAGGGGTGAGCCACCGCGCCCGGCCTATCTGCTCAATTATTTTTTTAAATCTAAAAATGTTCTAAAATACAAATTCTACTAATTTTTAAATGCAGCTGACTTTAATAATATAATATCATTGAGTGTAGAGAAACTATTTGTACCGACATTTTACATTATTTATTTATGTCCCAAATATATAGAACATATGGGATTTGTTATTAATTACTATTAAAAATGTCTTTGGTAATGGATTAAGATCTTCTTCCCCAATGGATAACTTCTTTTTGTGAAATATGGACAGTAAGGAGGAGTAAGGTCATAATAAAAACACACTTTGGAGATTGTAGGCTACAAATGCTGGATATGCAGACCACTGTTTCACTTGTTAAGTGGACAGTATCTCTCAAGTGTTTGGGAATGGAAAACAAGAGCCAGTAATATTTTAGAAACTTGATCTGATTACTTTAATTATGATATCCTATCTGGATATTAATAAATATATACAAAAATTCAGTTAGTATTTTTTCTTTCCACAGAAAAAATAAAATGAGTGCTACCTAGCAGTATATGCCAATTGCAAAAAAAAAAAAAAAACAGGAAAATAAATAGGAATTCAGAAGAAAGAAGTGGCCAAGGGAGGATGTGAGGAATAGATAGAGCTTGAATTAGATCTTGATGGATGAATAGAGTTGACATAGGTAGAAAAGATGGAAACATGCTAATCGAGAGATAAAAGTACTATGTGCAAGGCCATGGAAGCAAAGATTCAAACGTCGTGTTCAGAAGATTGAAACTAGAGCTGTATATCTGGAATAGGAAGTGTAACAAAATAGTGAGAGGGTGGAAAAAGAGTCAGGGCCAAATTGTCAAGGGTCTTGAACCTCCCAGGTTCAAGCAGTTCTTGTTCCTCAGCCTCCCCTGTAGCTGCAATTACAGGCATGCACCACCACGCGCGCCTAATTTTTGTAATTTTAGTAGAGACCCGGTTTTGCCATGTTGGCCAGGCTGGTCTCAAACTCCTGACCTCAGGTCATTCACCTGCCTCAGCCTCCCAAAGTGTTGGGATTACAGGTATGAGCCACCATGCCCGCCCCTAGCTGTAAATTTTCTGCAAATTGTGTACATTCTTGGGAATTGTTACAAAGTAAAAAAAATCAAATTGATTTTAGATGTTATGAAAAAAATTAATAAATTTAATAAATAAAGTTAGCATAATATTTTTTTGGTTAAATATCTGCTAATCTGTATATTTTATTTTCAAATTTTACTGTCACTATCAATATTAAAGTTTAAATACATTTGCAAGCCTTTGAAATTTTCACAGGCTCCCATCTCTGTGCCTATAGGTCAAATGAATAAAATGTCCCTGCCCTTAACTCTGAAATCTTTTCAAAGGACTACCCTAGTTCCTTTGCACTAGCACCAACTTTCTTGAACATGCAGCCAGAATCTGCTCATTTTTCTTCAATTTAACTTTTGCATCCTAACTTCTAATCTCTTTATTGGCGTTCTCTCTTCAAGCTCATGAATAAACTCCTAATTGCCAAATCCAAGAGTTCTTTCAGTAACGCTTTATTTTATGCACTATTAGGCTCACTTCACACTTCTTCTTCTATTCCTAATTCTCATGTTTCACTAATCGTGCACTACCGGAGTGCAGGGTGAAAAAATTAATCAAGCTGATCAGTTTTTGTGTAACCAATTCTATAGATCTTTTGTGATAATTTATTATATTGTATCTATGCTTAAAAGTATGTTTTCCATACCATTGTCTGAAATATAGTTTATTCTAACTTTTATAGTTTGAATTTTAAATATAAATTCAAATTATCTTAAATTCATCTGGAATTAATTCTGGGGTATGGTGTGAGACGATACTCTAAACCAGCAGTCAGGGGATGGCAGCCGGGGGGAGGTTCAGGATGAAACTGTTCCACTTCAAATCGTCAGGCATTAGTGAGATTTTCATAAGGAGCGCAAAACCTAGATCCCTGGCATACGCAGTTTCACAATAGGGTTCACGCCCCTATGAGATTCTAATGCCACAGCTAATCTGACAGGAGGTGGAATGCTTGCTTACCCACCACTCACCTCCTGCTCTGCGGCCTAGTTCCTAACAGGCCACGGACCAGTACCAGTCCCCAGCCCAGGGGTTGGGGACTCCTGCCGCAAACTGGTATTTTATTCCTTCAAATAGCTATCTAGTTTTTTCAACATTATTTATTAAACATTCGATTCCTTTTTTACTGATGCCTCTCTTTTACCTTTTATTGACTCTTTTGTCCCATTGATTTACCTGTCTGTCAGCTCTATAATCTCATTAATTGTAGGTTACCAGTTTTCAGGTGGTTCATTACATTTACAAGTAGCTCTGATTGTGTTACCAATTATATGTGAATATATCCTCTGAAGCTATGCAGAATAAATCAATACCATTTCCACATAACAGCCCTTGAAAGAGGTGAAGACATTGATCATGCTTCCCATTATCCTTAGTTTCTTTGGCCCTTTCTCATACAGTATGAATTCCAGACTCTTTACCAGCTACATTATTTACTTAAAATAAGTATCTCAGCAAGAACTGGACTGATATAGATAGCCTAAGACAGAATATTGTTCATTATTTTCCTTGATATAGACCATAAACGTATTTTACAGTAATATCATCTCACCATCTCCTTAAAAATATTTTTAATCTTGTCATTATTTTAGAGTTTGAATATAATAAAAAATTTGCCTATCAAAAATAAATTTTGTTTTAGGTTAGTATATTTTTCAAGGTTATATTATAAAGTTTGTTTAAATATGTTTTATATATAAAGGCAAATGTCAACTGTTCCCCTTCAACAAATGATGAATGTTCTTCATTTTCTTTAAATTAATTATGTTTTTAAAAACCTCATGATTTTTGAAAAAATAAATTTTAAAATGACCTCATATAGCATGTGTAGAATTAAAAGTTAGTTAAATAAATATATGTTGAAATATAAATGTTTTAACATCAAAGATGACAAAATCTAGTTTTGGGATCTAATCATTAAAATTCTTTCTATGCTTTAAAAAAATTAGCTCACTTATTTTTACAATTTATTTGGTTTCTAAATGTTGAAATAAGAGAAATAGTTTTATTCTTCTATTTGCAAATAGTGCTCCATAAATAAAACATTGCAGGGGTAGAGAGTCATTATACCCCTCCAAAACATGCGACCAACTCCAATATGATTGTCACAATATTTTCTGTAACATACAAAGTTATTTAACAAGTATTTATTGAGTGTTTATTGCCAGACCCATTCTTGGCACTAGGACTGTAGTGACCTGAAGAAAATTATCTAAAAGTTAACTGTAAATTGTCAAATATACATCAATTTAAAAAATAAAAGCAAATTTTGGAGTTATTTTATGCTTCTAATAACTTATATTTAACTCATTGTTCTTTATACTTTCTCGTTAACCAATGGTTTGTTAAGGTTATAAATTTAGCAGCATATGACAATGAATGAACTTATTTACATAATAGTGAACATCATTGTGACTTCATTAAATGACGAACGGATGAGTTAACTAAACTGTGAGTAAATCTATCTCATCTTTCTAAATTCCAGGCATTCATATTTGATGTGTTTGTGGAGGCACTCAAACCATTCTTTTCTAAATTGAAAAAATACAATTTTTTAAAAAATATTAAGTTGAAAAAAGATTACAGTATGCCTTTAGTTAAATTAATCCCCCAAGTACCTTTGGAAACATTTCAGTGGTCCACATACAATTGCTTAAGAAATGGTGAGTTTTAATTCAGCCACTTTAATTCTGTTTATAATTTGGCATGGAATAAATCACAAATAAGTGATACATGAGTATATTAAAATTTATGGTACCCAAAAACTTAGATACTCCTTTCTCTTATTTGTCATTGGCAAATTTGGGAAATGTCTTCATCTATAATGTCATGTAACTTTTCCATCTACTATTTATCATTGCATCTGTGCTTTTTTTCTACCCATTTGAAGTTACACGTTTTGATTCTGGCCCTTTTCTTATGAGGCATAATAAGCTTTCTATTCTCTTCTTGTCATATCTTTGCCCCTTAAGTCTTCAAGCTTATGACGGTATAATGTCATTCATTATGATGTTCATTCCTTCAATCATATGTAGGCATTTTTCTCCCCAACTTACTGAGCAAAGACTTTTAATCATTCCCAACTTTTATTCTCTCCTTTTTCCATGGCAATAGAATTTTTAGCTGACTGCACAAAATAAACTTTCCATTTCCCAGTCTTTGTTACAGCTTAATGTGGCCATGTGACCAAGTTTTAGCTGA
This sequence comes from Homo sapiens, assembly GCF_000001405.40. Classification (NCBI taxonomy): domain Eukaryota; kingdom Metazoa; phylum Chordata; class Mammalia; order Primates; family Hominidae; genus Homo; species Homo sapiens. The sequence continues at coordinate 14,900,709 of NC_000018.10, forward strand.
TGTGATTTAACTGAAATGTCCTATGGCAACTTCCAAAAGTCTTCCATAAAAGGTAGCCAGCAGAAGCCCTTTGTGCTCACTTTTAATCCCTTTATTCCACCTTCCTGCTGGAATTTGGATTCTACCTTGAGTTATGAGAACAAAGAGATTATGGAACGGTGAGCTAAATGGAACTGGAAACTTCCAGATGTTTTTGTGGAGCAGAGTTCTCACTCTTCCAGATGTTTATTGCATGGAGAAATAAATAATTTTTTAAGCCAAACTGAATCTTAACTAATGCACCCCAATTTCATTTTACTTCAAATGCATTCTTCATAAAATGTACATAAAACTCCAGGAGCCTATTTTTTCAGTTATTCTAAGCTGAATAACTAAATAACCACTGAAAGAGTGGAGGGGATGTTGCTTGGCATTCACAGGTTTTTGTTAGCCATAGAAATAATCAAATTTCCTTGTCAATTGTGTCTTTAACCATGGCTATTCTGTCTTTTGTCATTCATAGACAATATCGCTTTACTTTGATTCATTTCAAAAAGTGGTTTATAGTTGGCTACAGCCAAAAATTTACTTCTTTTACAAGAAAATTCATGAAAAAGACCATAACAAGTATTCTTGAATGTAGGTTTTTGATAATTTTGGAGATTATACCATTGGATTAGGTAAAAACTTACAAAACTCTAATAAACAAATGAATGAGTTCATGAAGATTACTAACCCAACATCAAGTAGAACAAAATTAATTACATGAGACTGAACTGATGAAAGACCAAAACAATTTTTGTAACTTCTTTTTATTTGAAATATTGCTGATTCTTTTTATTTTTTGCTTTTCAGAGTCAAGACAAAGTTTTTTTTTTTTCTTCCTTTCTTTTAAGCTATTTACAGCTTACAGCAATTGGGTAAAATATATTGTTGTGAGCAAAATGGGAACATTTACCTTTCTTTCTACCTGATCCCTACAGAATTTGAAAACTATTCGTGGGTATTTGTATTTTATGTCAATATATTATTAGCATAACTTCAATAAGAATTTGCTCTCTTTGTGATAGGGCAATTAGGAGTATAGCTTCCATTACCAAAGCTTTGATTGAGATGTCATATTTTCAGATTGACCAGATTGCTTTGAGGAACTAAGAAGCTGTTAAACCTTTGGAAGAACTGGCCTGATACGTTGTCTACATGGTTCTCCTACAAGGTGCATGAGTCCATTTTTATGCCGCTGATAAAGACATACCTGCAACTAGGAAGAAAAAGTTTAATTGGACTTACAGTTCCACATGGCTGGAGAGGCCTCAGAATCATGGCAGGAGGCAAAAGGCACTTCTTACATGGTGGCACCAAGGAAAAATGAGGATGATGAAAAAGTGAAAACTCCTGAAAAAATCAGATTTTGTGAGACTTATTCACTACCACGAGAACAGTATGGAGGAAACCGCTCCCATGATTCAAATTATTTCCAACCCGGTCCCTGCCACCCCCTCCCCACAACATATGGGAATTACGGGAGTACAATTCAAGAAGATTTAGGTGGGGACACAAAGCCAAACCATATTACAAGGTTTATAGGCTTGCAGTAAGTAAAGAATACCATTTTCTGACAAGCCCAGGAACTTCAGGATATTTGGGGGACCTCAAAAAAGAGGGATTTACCCAATTCATACAAGTATTACAGGCAAAATCTGAGGGTGAATTGTTGGCCCGGCTTCCAATCTTAAGAGGCTTTTAAAGATTGAACCTGAAATTCCTTATAAAAAAAAGTTTCAGTCAAGTCAATTTAAAAAGTGCTTACATGGCCAAGTACTATTCTGGCTGTACTTTAGTCAAATAATCAGGCCAAGTATAACAAGTCTAAAACTTTATTTTGCAAATAAATTGGTCCTACTCTCCTGCAGGGAGCTGTCCTCCTCCTTTCACCTGTTAAACGTCCACTCTCAACCTCACTCTCCATGTGTCTGTATCCTTTAGTTCCTCAGCCGTGAGACAATGATCCCAGGGTACCGCCCCAGACAATGAGGCCATTTCACTTGCACACTCACTTGTACACTCGATTTGTCCCACTCTAGGCCCCCTACTAGGTACCTTGGGTAAGTAATACAGCATATTTTTCTCCTATGTTTTCTTAAAATAAGTAATGGGGATACTAGAAGCTGCAATCTCAGTTATGCCAACAATTATGGAATCCATGGGAAGCACTTGTTACAGGACTTGGACCTGGTGAGCATCTGTATTTTTTCTGTGGCTGCTGTAACAAATTACTACCAACTTGGTGATTTAAAACAATTCACACAGTAGAGATGGCCTGAGTTCAAAGCACTTTCACGGGGCTAAAATCGAGGTATTTTGGGAGAGCTGCACTCCTTCTGGAGGCTCTTGGGGAGCACCAGCCCTTGGCTCTCCTGACTTCAGGTGGCTGCCAGCACTCCTTGGCTGCAGTGGCCTCACTGCAATCTCTGTCTCTGTAGTCATGCAGGGGCCAAGGCAACACTTCCCCTTCACCCTCTGAAGGCTTGCTAGTAAATAAACTGACAAAAGGCAGATTAATTGGAGGAAAGGCGTGAACATTTATTAATAGGTGCCTGGGGGAGAGCCACAGAGTGATTGTCCCATATTCCAATGGGGCCCAGATACTTGTATAGCCCTATTTCAGAGGGGAAGAGGAGATGGGAATGTAGGTAATTACAGGATGATAAATGATTACTGAAGAGAATAAATAGATCAGGGAACAGGAATTCACTTGTAAATCATGCTCTTTGAAAATTGACTGAGACTGAGAGATAGATATTGTCTTGTGAAAGTCTGTGCTGGCATGGTTACACTCTTGTTCCTGTTTTCTGTAATAGATAATGAGCTAACAGGGAGAGGAAGGAAAGACAATTGTTCTCCTTGGATACTCCCTCTGGTCTCTATGTAGACAGAGAACGTTCTCCTCCAGCCTCTGTTGATCTCTGAAGGTCTTTAATTCAAAATGCACGTTACATCAGGGACCACTATTTTGGGGTAAAGTTCTCTGCACTCCTTCAGTTTCACATCTTCTGCCGGTTAAGCCACCCTCTGTCTCTCTCCTATAGTAGCACTTGTGATTCCATTTAAGGTACACCTGGAAAATCAGAGCTATTGCTCCACCACAGAATCCTTAAGCACATTCCCAAAGACCCTTTTTCTACATCGAGGAACAACTACACATTCCAGAGATTAGGACCAGATACCTGTGTAAGCTATTATTTAGCTCACCACTACATTTGATATATACTTGTCCCTGGCCCCCAATCATTAGATTATAAAGAAGGGCTGTCCAATTGTCATCTGTCTTCACTGTGGTTCCAACCCCAGAGCTCCATTGTTATTAACACCTGTATAATCCTGAGCCCCAACATGGTTTCATCCACCCACAGCAGGGCAGACCTCATCACATGGGCCATGGGGCATTGACCTACTGTGTTTATCGGTGATCAGTTCTCTTCCCATGATCTGGCCTAAAGTTTCTGGAAAACAGTTTCTATGCATAATTATCCCAGCTGGATATTACAGAGCTATAAAAGGCAGAGGTCCTGTCCTGGCCGTGTGTCTAAGCTAGAGAAACATTTATTTCAGGTTATTCTGAGGCTTGATGGGAATGAGCCTGGCTCCTGGTCTAACCTAATAGTAAACATGTTCCCACAGCCAGGCTCTGAGTACTCCTTGGGGCCTGAGCTAACCTCAGTTTTGGGGGACTGTTCTATTTTGTGAGTCACTTTACCAGGCACACAGGATCTGAACTTCTTTTCTCCTCTCTTCTTTCCCTCTCTTCCTCATTCTCCCTCTCCTCTCTCACTCCATTGATCTTTTTCTATTCCTCAACTCCCCATTTGCTGTCCTCTACTTTGATTTCCTCATTCTCCCTCATGTCTATATATCCATTTACAGCTTAATCCCCCCCATCTCATCTGATTCCTCTGTTGATGAAAAAGCCAAACTCTGTAAAATATTTAGAGATTTATTCTTAACCAATATGAGTGACCATGGTCAAGGGAACAGTTTTAGAAGGTCTGGAGAAAGTGAGGTGGTTGGATTACAGCTTGGTTTATACTTTTTATGGAGACAAAAGTTACAGGCAAAGACATAAATCAATACATGTGTCAGAGGCTTTTGAATCAGAGAGACTCCATCTTGAATAGGGGCATGGTAAAATAAGGGTGAGACCTACTGGGCTGCATTCCCAGGAGGTTAGGCATTCTTAAACTCACAAGATGAGATAGGAGGTTGGCATGAGATGCAGGTCATGCAGACCTTGCTGATAACACAGGTTGCAGTAGAGAAGCTGGTCAAGACCCCCGAAAACCAAGATGGCAACGAGAGTGATTTCTGGTCTTCTTCACTGCTACACTCCCACTAGCACCAGGACAGTTTACAAATGCCATGGCAATATCAGGAAGTTACCCTATATGGTCTAAAATGGGAGTCATGAATAATCCACCCCTTGTTTAGTATATCATCCAGAAATAACCACAAAAATGGGCAAACAGCAGCCCTTGAAGCTGCCCTGCCTATGATGTAGCTATTCTCTATTCCTTTACCTTCACTTTACTGTATGGACTCACCCTGAATTCTTTCTTGCACAAGTCCAAGAGTCCTCCCTTGGGGTCTGGATCCTGACCTCTTTCCAGTAACACATGTAAGGTATACATTGGTTGGCCCAAAGTTGTGGAATATTTCAAAGTGGGGACTTACAGGTAATAGGTGAATTCAAGGATTTTCTGATCAGCACTTGGTTGAAAGAATTTAGCTTTGTCTAAAGACAGTAGAAAGAAATGCTTGAGTTAAGAAAAGGAAGGTTATGGAAGCCAAGGTTCTTGTTATGTAGATGAAGCCTCTAGGTAGTATTCTTCAGAGAGAATAGATGGTCAATGTCTCTTTTCAGATTTTAAATAGAGTCCAACTCAGTTAAATCTCCTCTAGACCTGGCAAAGACCTAGAAAGGGAAAGAGATTCTAAAGATGCAAAATTTTACCCCACAAAAGGCTTTGCAGGGCCATTTCAACATATGTCAGATAAATATATTTTGAAGTAAAGTGTGTTAATTTCTTTCAGGGTCTGCTGTCATGTGATGCTATACCAGAGTCAAGCTGGAATTTGGCATCTTAGTGCCAAAGGGTCTGTTTCATCCATGAAGGGATGTCTATTTTAATGTTAATGCTGGTAAGTTTTGCCTAAACTCCAAAAAAAGAAGGGGTATAATGAGGCATGTCTGACCTGTCTTCCTTTCATGGCCTGGAATTCAGTTTTTTGGGTTTCTTTATGATTTGCTTGGCCCTGAAGGTGGTTCCATTCATTCGGTCTGTTAGAGGGCTTAGAGATTTTTTTTTTTTGGTTTACACCTCAGACTCAATTCAAGTCAGCAAATACTTTTAGCCCAAAGTATATGCCACACATTGTTTAAAGTGGCATAAAGAACAGATGGTATGCCTGGCATGGTCCTGATCTGGAAGGACCTAACCTCTTCCTGCCTCTTCCTGGAATCTGTCTCTGCTTTTCAAATGCCTGCCAGTCTCTGCCTCTCCCTTCCACTCTATGTCCTGATTTCCTGTGTTCTCCTGTCACTTTCTCTTGTGTTCTCTGTCCTCTCTCTTTTGTTGTAAAATGGCATCAAAATCTTATAATAAAAATCTATCTCCCATGTTTCTTGAATGACTCTCTACCAATCTCATTATGTTTGTTATAGATGAATATAATATGAGTGATTTTAAAAATATTATTTTATTAAATAAATTATGAAAAGTACACAGCAAGGCCTGGGATTGATATGCTCATTTTCAGCCTCAATATTAAATCTCTGGACTGCACAAATGATTACACATTGAACTAAATGTATGGTTTTATCTTTTGTGCATATAAAGAAAAGTCTTTCATATTATACAATTTGTACCACTTTCTCTTTTTTTTGCACACACACTTCTCCAGCTCCATTGCCAAACCTCAGCTGTCAATTCTGTTTAGTCCCATTGATGAAAAGAACCAAATTCTAAAATATTTGAAGAGATTCATTCTGAACCATATAGGAGTGACCATGGCCCATGACACAGCCCTCAGGAGATCTTGAGAACGTGTGCTCAAGGTGGTTGGGGTGTGGCTTGGTTTTATACATTTTAGGGAGACATGAGACTTCAATCACACACATTTAAGAAGTACATTGGTTTGGTCAAGGAAGGTGAAGTGTGAGGAGGGTGGGGGGTTGGGTGGCGGTGGGGGTCCAGGTTATAGGTAGATTCAAAAATTTTCTGACTGGCTATTGGTTAAGTTCATATAAAGACCTGCGATCAATAGAAAGGAAATGTCTCAGTTAAGATAAGGAATTATGGAGGTCAAAGTTCTTATTATGAAGATGAAGGCTTCAGGCAGTAGGCTTTAGAGAGAATAGATTGTAAGTGTTTCTTATCAGACTTATGGTCTGTGTTGATGTTAATGCTGGAGAGTATAATGAGGCAGGTCCGACCCCCACTCCCTGTCATGGCCTGAACCAGTTTCTCATGTTAAATTTTAAGAGTGCCCTGGCCTAGGAGGAATTCTATTCAGATAACTAGGGAACCTTAGAATTTTATTTTTGGTTTATATTCCAAACTCAATTTTACTGAAAAAAAAAAGACATCAAATGATAGGGTCATTGTATTAACACTGAATAGGTCTAATTTCTTTCATTGCTGGTTTGTTGTGCCTGTGGAATAAGAAAGTGGGTCTGAGATTGTGTTTGGTGGTGCTGGTGTCAGGCCCTGGGCAGTGATGTCCCACCCGGGCCTGGAGACACTGAGCATCCCAGGGAGAGGGCGTAGGAGCGGCTTAACAGAGGTCCTGAGCAGAAGATGGGCTGGCGTCTGTGCTGAGGCATGGACACGGCCTCCTCTGGGTCAGACTTTGACAAAGATGCACTGAAATTAGCACAGCCCTTATGTGGGTCTTGGGAGGCCGAGGCTGTCTGATTGATGGATCAGCATGTCCCGGATGTAGCTGTTTGGACAGAGAAGACACTGCGTCCTGTCCACTGGCCTCCCAAGCGTCCTGGCAGGATTCTCATCTGGGTACCCTTCCAGATCTGGCTTCCCCCTACCTCACAGTTACTGAACCCCTTTCTTTTTTCCAAACTGACACTCTGCCAAACTCCAGGCTCTCCCAGAGCCATCATTTCATCTCTCTACACTCTGCACATGGGTATCTCTGCCTAGACTCCTTTGTAGAAAAGTTTGAATTTTCCCCAGAAGGTTTCATAATTTGAGATACATTAACAGAAAAAAAAGGCAGACAAATTTTATCATATGCATATACGTGCGCAGGAGTCATATAAAATGGACAGATGGTTGATGCTTTTATACCATTTTGAGCATACAGAAATAATTGGGGGTTTGCAGCATGACCGAAAACAGGTATGTTGGCAAGACAGGTTAATGGGAATAAGCAAAGAGGAGGCATGGCTAGCAGAGGTGTTTTGGTTGTATGAAGCCTCACAGGTAGGCAATCCTCAGAGAAAATAGTAAATGGATCTTTAAGACCATTAAAGGTGTCAGACTCACAGTTCATCTTTCCTAGGATCCCTGCAAGTGCCTCAGGGAAAGCCTGAATGCCTCCGCTGTTTACTTCACTTTAACTCCTCTACAGATGCAACTCCCCTCCACAAATGACAGCTGTGCGGGACTCTTTCTGTCTGCAGGCCCTCTCATCAGCCAACTCAACATATTTGGCTTCCTTCACCTCTTTGACCTTTGGCTGCCTGTAGAACATCTCCTAATTCTTGGAGGTCACTGTCTCATGAAACTCCCTCAGCATCCGAGGAGATGTGATCTGCAGCCACTCTGCGCCTCACTGTGCCTGCCAGCCCCCTCCCCTAACCCTCTCGCTCTGACCTCACCATCATCCATGTGTTCGTGTGCTTTACTTTCTAATCTGTGAGGTCTTTGAGGGCAGGGTCTGTGTCCTTTTAGTGTCTGTGTCTTTAGCTCCCGTGTGGAGCCCAGCTCAGAGCAGGTGTTCTGATGCTGCCTGGCTGAGTGACTGAGTGAATGAGAGTGCTGGAGGGGCCAATGCTGGGAGAGAATTGCTGGATTCCAGGCCTCGGGACACAGCAGCTTCCAGGGCTCCTGAGGGCCCTCCCCTGTGGTATGGGAGGATGTGGAGCTGGCTTGCAAATATCCACAGGAATATTGCATTTCAATGACGTCCTTGATCCTGGGGAAAAGCTATCTATCCTGTTGTCAGGACTCACTGCCACTAGTCCTGCCACCATAGATGGACAATGGCCAAGAAGGGCTGGGTCTCTCTGGAAGGAGACAGGGAAGCTGTCGGAGGATGTGCTGTCTCTGAGTGCAGAGCCAGCCTTTGTCGTCTGATGGGACTTGACTGACAAAGTCTGCACCTGTCTTCTTTCTGCCAAAGCCATCAGGAGGGGCTGCATAGGAGGCAGTGGAGGGGTTTTGTCTGGGACACAGGACATCTGAGCCAACCTTTTCTGGGCTTCTGTCACCATGTCTGTAAATTGACAGGGCTGAACTCTGTGCTTGTTAAGGGTGTCCCTGTTTGAAGTTCCTGTGCTCCCCAGTGTCCTAGGTGGAGGGAAGAGTCCCAGTGTGGGGAAGGCAGTGACAATGAGGGTGATGTTTGTCGGACACTTGCAGCATACCTGACACTGCTGAACAGTCAATATTGTTTAATCCTCACCACGATCTAATAAGGAAGGCGCTATTTGTTGTTGTTGTTAGACAGTGTCTTGCTCTGTGGCTCAGGCTGGAGTGCAGTGGTGTGATCTCATCTCACTACAACCTCCGCCTCCCGGATTCAAGTGATTCTTCCCCCTCAGCCTCCCAAATAGCTGGGGTTACAGGCGCGCACCACCATTCTAGCTATTTTTTTGTATTTTTAGTACAGATGGAGTTTCACCATGTTGGCCAGGCTGGTCTCAAACTCCTGGCCTCAGGTGATCCACATGCTTGGCCTCCCAAAGTGCTGAGATTACAGGCATGAGTCACTGCGCCTGACTGGAAGGCACTATTTTTAATCACTATTTTACAGATGAATTCTCTTAATTTTGCAAAGTTATGTATATTATTCAAAGTTGTATTTCTAGAAGTGGTGGCTGGGTAGGATTTGTATTTCAGGGTTGTTAGACTGCAAAGCACACAATACTAGCATCTACTTTGTGGTTTCCAGCAGGTCAAGCAGTACCTGAGAGCACTGAGGAGCACCTGGACCCAGTAACTTCTCTAAATCTAGTGTGGGGGAAGATGCGCCCCTGCCATGGAGCCATGTTCTATGGCAGGCAACCACTGGTCAATAAAAAAAAATCAGATGATGTCAAGTGTATATCTAATTGACATTAAAATACACATTTGAAAATTTGGAAATCCTTTTTTAAATAAAATTTTTAAATTTCATTTTTAATATATTTAGGGAGTCTAAGTACAGGATTCTTCCATGCATATATTGCAGAGTGGTGAAGTCTAGGCCTACAGTGTACTCATCACCTGAACTGTAACCCAAAGGCTGTTTTTGTTCCTCACCCCTCTGCCACCCTCCCACCTTTTGTAGTCTCCGAAGTCTATTATTCCATCTGTATGTCTATGTGTACTCACTGTTCAGCTCCCACTCATACATGAGAACATGTGGCATTTGACTTTTCTCCTTCTGAATTACTTCACTGAGGATAATGGCCTCCAGTTTCATCTACGTTCCTAAAAAGACATGATTTTTCATTTTTTTATGGCTAAGTAGTGTTACATAATATATATGTGTGATACATATATATACACAATGTAAAAATATATATATATATATATAAAATTTCTTTATCCAGCCCTCCATTGATGGACATGTAGGTTGATTCCACATTTTTGCTATTGGGAATAGCGCTTCCATAAACATACAAGAGCAAGTTTTTTTTTGATATAATAAATTATTTCCCTATGAGTGTATTCCCAATAGTGGGATTGCTGAATCAAATTGTGGTTCTATTTTTAGTTATTTGAGAAATCTCCATTCTCTTTTTCATAGAAGTTGTACTAATTTACATTCCCACCAACAGTGTATAAGTGTTCTCTTTTCCCTGCATCCTAGCCAACATCTATTGTTTTTAGGCTTTTTAGTAATAGCCATTCTGATTGGTGTAAGATGGTATCTTATTGTGGTTTCCATTTGCATTTCTCTAATGATTAGTGATGTTCAGCATTCTTTCGTGTTTCTTGGCAACTTGTATGTCTTCCTTTGAAAAATGTCTGTTCATGTCCTTTCCCACTTTTTGGTGGGTTTGTTTTTTTATTCTCATTGAACTGTTTGAGTTTCTTTTAGATTCTGGATATTGGCCCTTTGACTGATAGTTTGCAAATATTTTTTTCCATTCTGTAGGTTGTCTGTTTACTCCATCGATTATTTATTTTGCTGTGCAGAAGCTTTTTAGTTTAATTAAGTTTCATTTGTCTATTTTTGGTTTTGTTGCACTTGCTTTTGAGGACTTAGTCATACATTTTTTTTTGCCAAGGCCAACATCCAAAAGAGTTTTTCCTAGATTTTCTTCTAAGAGTTTTATGTTTTCAGGTTTTACCTTTAGGTCTTTAGTCCATCTTTAGTTGATTATTATATATGGTGAGAGGTAAGGGTACAGTCTCTCCCTTCTGCATAGGGCAATCCAATTTTACCAGAACAATTGAGTGAATACAGTGTCTTTTCTCCAGTGTATATGTATTTTTGACTTTGTCAAAGATAATTTGATTGTATATATGTGGCATTATTTCTGGGTTTGCTATTCTGTTTCATTGGTCTATGGGTCTATTTTTATACCATTACCATGTTGTCTTGGTTATTGCAGCTTTGGAATAGAATTTGAAGTCAGGTAATGTGATGCCTCCTCCTTTGTTCTTTGTGCACATGATTGCTTTGGATATTCAGGCTCTTTTTTGGTTTCATATGGCTTCAAGATTGTTTTTTCCAATTCTATGAAAAATGATGTTAGTAATTTAATAGGAATTAAATTGTACTTCTGGGTTGCTTTGGGCTGTATGGTCACTTTAACAATATTAATTCTTCCAATCCATGAGCATGGGAAGTTTTTCCATTTGTTTGTGTGATCAATATTTCTTTCATCAGTGTTTTGTAATTCTCCTAATAGGGATATTTCACTTCTTTGCTTACATTTATTTCTAGGTATTTTATGTTTAAAGATATTGTAAATGGGATTGCCTTCTCAATTCGGTCCTCTGCTAGACTGTTACTGGTATATACAAATTTTACTGAATTATGTACATTAATTTTGTATTATGAAATGTTACAGAATTCATTTATCAAATCTAAGAGTTTATTGGTGGAGTCCTTTAGAGTTTTCTACATATAGATCATATTATCAGTGAATAGGAATAACTTGGCTTCCTCTTTTCTAGTTTGAATGTCTTTTGATTTATTTTGTCTTATTCCTCTGGCAAGGACATTCAGTACTATGTTGAGTAAGAGTGATCAAAGTGGGCATCCTTGTTTTGCTTCAGTTCTTAGAGGAAACGCTTTCAACTACTGCCTGTTAAGTAGGATGTTGGCTGTGGGTTTGTTGTATATGACCTTTATTATGATGAGCTGTATTCCTTCTATGCCTAGTTTTTTTGAGGATTTTTATCATGAAAGAATGCTGAATTTTATTGAAGTATTTTTGTGTCTATTGAGATAATCATATAGTTTTTGTTCTTAATTCTGCTTATGTGATGCATCTTATTTATTGACTCATGTATGTTGGACTATCCTTGCATCCCTGAGATAAATCCCACCTGATCATGGTGTATTATCTTTTTGATGTGCTCTTGGATTCAATATGCTAGTGTTTTTGTTGAGCATGTTGTGTCTGTGTTCATCAGAGATATTGGTATGTAGTGTTCTTCTTTTGTTGTGTCCTTACCTAGTTTAAGTATCAGAGTGATACTGGCCTTGTAGAAAGAAGTAGGAAGAATTCTCTCCTCCTTGATTTTTTAGAACAATTTCAGAAAGATTGGTATTAGTTCTTCGTGTGTTTGGTATAATTAAGCTGTGAGCCCATCTGGCCCTGGGTTTCTACTTCTTGGGAGATTTTTATTAGTGATTCCATAAAATTACTCATCATTGTTCTGTTTTGGATTTCTACTTGCCTGGTCTGATCTCAGGATGTTGTGTGAAAACTTAAAAATCTACAATCCAAGCTTGTGTGATGCATGAAAGAAAAGCAAAATATTGAGCTGAGTGCTGGGAGTTTTGTGTACTGGTTTGTTTTTATTTTCTTCAGCTGTTATCCAAATGTTTGCAATTATGCAATTGCTGGGTCCAAGCTTCTGGGCTTACAGGTTTCCTGTCTGTGACTGACCCAGCATGAGATGAGCAGAGAAGGACCCATTTTATCAGTGCATTTTCTTGGCCACATTGCAGGCTCTTTTGGCAGAGGCCAGATTTCCTGCACATCCATGTGGAATCTGTGGCCCTTTAATGCACTATTTAGACTAAGTACCAATTGAAGCTTTCAGTGAGCTCAGTGCTGGCAGCCTACAGCCTTTTAGTTACCCAGGGTTAGCTATTAAATAAAGGATTGCTGCCGAAGTGCCATGCTGACAACCATTCACAGCAGCTGGCCAGTCCCTGTCCTGCCCAGCCATCTGTGCACCTAAGGGCCAGAGAACATGGACAAGCTACCCAGAAGGAGGCTGGTTTGGGGAGAATTGTATCTACAGAAGAGGGAATTTTATGAATTTCCAATATCAGGCTGCAACTTCAGGGAATTATTTTTCTGGGTATTCAAATATATTAAGATAATTTATTATAACTTCATACTATATATGAACAATTCACACTCTCTTTTAGGATGTAATCTTCATCAGGACAGGATCTGCGCTATTCAAGAGCAATATTTGACATCAGTTAGAGGCTTATTACGTGGCAAGCCCTTACAAAATGCCATATACATATACACACCTTCCCAAACCCTGAGAACTATTTGTATCAACATTTCATAGTTTTTAACAATGACTGTAAAGAAGTCATGGGCCTGTCTGGGGTCACTCTGATGGTAAGTGATGGGGTGAGGGTTTGTCCAAGGTCCCTTGGACCCCAGATCCTCTGGGATGTGTTTCCCATGTGGTTTACTCTCCCTCTCACAGTGTCCTGTTGGTAAAAGTAAAAATTAACATCTATACAGTGTTTACTATGAGTTGGATGCTGTCCTGTGTGTTTTGTATAAATTACCTTAATTAATCTTTACAAAAGTCTTAATGAGGAATGTGCTGTTAATTTTGTTCCTGTTTTATAGGTGAGAAAATTGAGGTATAAACGGGGTAATTTGTCCAAAGTACTGCAGCTTGTGTCAGAGACGGGAGTTGAGCCAGAAAACCTAGTACCAGAGACCATCCTCATAACTTCCCTGCTGTCACAGCTCTTCAAGGATGTTAAGAATGTCCATGATGCTGATATTTTAGCATAAAAACAGGTTGATTGGTCTGGAAATTCACATGGCAATTATTAACATTGATAATCTTTCTCTGTTCCTCCATGTTTATAAGCAGACTTGCCACACAGATTTAAATAAAGGTGCTTTGTTCCATGGCCTAGCTGATTTTAGATTCCTGAGTTATGAGTAAGTTACCTCTGGGAGGCTCACAGGCTTTGAGTATTGGAGTCTTTTGATTTGTGTGGGGATCCACTGCTCCTGCTACTGACTAGGTAGCCTGCTTTAACTGTTATTGAGCTTTATTGAGCTGAGGGTCAGATTTTTTCAAAGACCAGAGAGCTCTGGGAACAGGGCCCTTGCTCCTGGACAGTGAAGATAACTGATGGAAAGATTGTCTGTTAGACCAAATAGACAGCACTTTCAGAAATTCTGGAAGGGTATGATGGCTGTTTGGGCAAGAATTGTGGTGGAGACAGAGAGAAACGCATAAATATAAGGATTGTTTAATAAGAACTTCATAATGAATTGAATTATGGGGTGAGGGGAAATGAGGAAGTAAGGGTGTTGAGTTTCTAGCTTTTGTTACTAGATGAAAGGTCATTTATTTTAATTTGTTAGGAAACAGTACAGAAAGTGGACTAGTTTCAGAATGAGAGAAGGAAGATCATAAACTCTATTGGGGGGTTGTCGTGTTTTAGGTCTCTTGAAACATCCAGGAAGATAAACCAAGGAGGCCATTGGACATAGGGGTCTGAAGCTCAGAAGAGAGGTCTGGACGAGAGACAACATTAGTGTGTCATCCACATATGGTGGTGATAGGATCCACAGGCTTGTATGACATACTCTAGGAAAAATGTTGAGTGAGAAGAAAAGCAGGCTTAGGATCCAGTTTTGAAGGGTCCCAAAATAGCATGGTCAGGTAGAGAAGAATGAGCCTACGAAGTAAATAGCAGCAGTGATCATCCCATTCCTGTCTCTAGGGGTCAGCTGATCTCCATGCTCCCCCCACTATTTCCATCAAGGTTAGCACTGAGTAGACATGGAATTAGGCAGTGAGCTGAGCCTCTTCAATTAGAATGAGGCAAGTAAGAGAGCAAACAGCAGCAGACAGGGGGCCTGATGTGAAAGAGGAGCCTTGGTAATTTGTGTCTGAAGGTCACTAGACTATCCTACCAATGTGGTTGTTTTTTCTGTCCAGAAAAAGACACTGCACCTCTCTTCTCCTTCTAGAAAATGGTTCTTCCTCCACCACTCTAACAAGGTAGCTGGAGTAAAAATAGGCATATTCTGTTTGATTTGTTTCCACAGCAAGTCCTTGACCCAACCTAGACCAGGTAGAGACCTTCTGGGGTTATCTTATCTTTTAACATGAGCCTTATGAGGACCCATTGCTGTTCCCCTCAGGGCCTAGTATGAGGTGAGTGCCTAGGCATTGCCATGTAGACGCTGTCTGAGAGATGAAGGTCATTCTCCAAGGAGCAGAGAAAATGAGTATCGTCCTCATCAACCAAGCTACTGGGTCAAGTCACTCTTGAGACTCAAGGGTCAAGTCACTCCTGAGACTCAACTGTATTCCAAACTTTTGTGCAGATTGATTACTTACAATAAATGCTGTTTTTTATCTTAATACTCCTTGTGTTAGATTTCAAGCACATATACTTCAAAATGTCCTGATACGTAGATATAGTAGGCCCTCTGCATCCACAGGTTCTACATCCACAAGTCAAAAGTATTCAGAAAAGCAATAAAATATAACAATAAAAATTATTCGAATAAAAAACATGGTATAACAACTATTTACATAGCATTTGTGTTGTATTAGGTATTAGAAGTAGTCTAGAAATGACTTAAAGTTTTTGGAAGAACGTGTGAAGGTTATCTGCAAACACTACACCATTTTATATTAGAAATCTAAGCATCTGTAGATTTTGGTATCTGGAGATTCTTGGAATCAATGCCTATGGATACAGAAGAATGGCTGTATGTGCTGAGTAAATGGTTATGCTCTTGGCTGATGGTGCTGCTGTGGGCCTCAGCCAACCCTGATGGTGATTGTAAAGTGCCTAAAGGGGGTGAGCACTGGTTCCCAGGAGGCCACCAACAGTTCTGGGCTGCAGGTATCCTCTCCAGGAAGTGTGATCTGCCCTGGGATGGGTGGCAGGAATCCCGTCAGGGAGGGGGCAGATGTGTGTAGTTCTCCTGTGAATGGCCACAGGTTATGTTTTGTGAATCTGCATCTGGGATCTGGAGGTCCCATTGTCTCTTACCAAGTACTGAGCCTTGAGGAGGATACCACTTTACAGAATAGGCTGAGTTCTGTTGAATCATTGGAGTAAATTGCTCAAGTCACTCAAATGGAGGGAGAGAGGGAGATGCCTCCAGCTGGAAGAAGAGCAGATTCACAGCCAGGGGCTTCTCTCTAACCCTGTATTCCCCACTAGGAGCTGTACCATGCACACTGGGAAGCAGAAAATGACAGAGAGAGTGTATGTGTGTGGTGGGTGGGGGAGGTTGTGATATAAAAGCAGAGTGATCTAGAACAAAACTTCTTACTAAATTAATTTTTCTATTAATTATCTGAGCTTGCTGCAAACTGAGTTATGCAAACGCAGTTGATCTAATCAATATGTAATGTGAAGGCCAACAAGAATGATAGCTAACATGCATTTTATTGCCGACCCTGGGTGTTACTTGACCCTGGCTCCTATTTCCTTAATGTTCTTAATGATCCTGCAAAGTGAGCACTGTCATTCCCACTTGGTAGTTGGAAACACAGGCTCAGAGGAGCCAGTGACTTGGCTAAAGTCCCCACAGGAAAGAGGCAGAACCAGGACTTACTTAAATGTCGGTCATCAGTCTCTAAATCCAGAAATTCAACTGTTTCCACGCTGGCCACCAACTCAGCCGGGGGCTGCTCTGAGCTGAGAGACACACAGAGGATATGAGGTGACCATGTGAAGCCAGCCACCTCTCTGCCAGCTGACACTCTGTCCTCAGGCTTCAGCTGGACTCCCTCCCCCTGGCTGCGTCCTCCGGCCCCAGTGCCTACTGCAGGCTATTATGCATGTCATTCTCCGTCTTCTGTGCAGCTATTTCTTCTATTTTTCCCTTTTCTCTAACTGAAATACTTGTGTTTTTGGTCTTTCTCTCTCCCTGCTTTCCCACAATTTCCCCAACATGCACAGAAACTTCTTAATTGTTCTCTTTCCTTTCTCATTGCCTTTCTCTCTTTTCCCCACTGTGTGTTCCCTCTGTTATCATTTTCCTGTACCCTCACCTTCCTCTTCCATCTTTCCCTTCCTGTCTATCTGCGCTTCTCTTTCTCTGTGTCCTCAGTCCCAGGTTTCACCCTTCCCTGCCTGCAGACACGGGGTCTGGCCATGCAATCACCCTGGACACCAGCCATTTAGGCAGGTCCTCAAGGAGTCACCAGACTGTCCTGGTTGGTAAATCAGGTGGGGGAGAAAAGGGAGAGGGATTTATTCAGAGTCAAGTTTGAGCAGTTTCACACATCAGAATCCCTCAGTGCTTTGGCCCAGGCCTGCTGTACACCCTGAACAGCAGGCGTACACATGTGGGGCCATGTAACTAATGTTCCTCAGGGATGAGACCTGGCACAGCATGAGTGTGCTCAGGGCCTGCTCTTCACAGTTCTGCCAAGGCTCCTGCCAGTACACTTGTAAGCAAAAGAAAAGCTGATCCTGTTTAGGAACTCCTGGCCCATCTGGGCTCAGATTTATTGGTGTTTATTTGGAACAATTGCATGATCACCTTCTTCTCCCCCAGGGCGATGAGCAAGGTGTTCTTGTAAAAAGAAAGCCAGATGTTCTTCTTTGGCTAATTTTGCTGGGGAAGTCTCCAAGGAATGAGGTGGGAATTGAAGACACGTCTTATCTGAAGAACTAGAAAACTTCTAATCCCTGGCACCTGTAAGAAAGCCCAGCAAGAAGAAAGCGGGGTGTGGATGAGAAGGGTAGGGGAAGGACTCCCGTACTCAGGCATGGCATAAAGATGAGACAGCAATCACTTGACAAGGCTGGTTTACTTTAGTTCCCTTCCCCAGACTTTATTATTTCTTGCCTGGAAGACTCAGCAGTTTTGTTTTTCCTCCTACTAGCCCTTAGATATATGATAATTCTCCTGAGACATGCTCAGGTATTCTCCTGAGGCATAAGCTTGTAAGGGTTGCTGCACCCCTTGGAACTGGGATGTCAGCAATACATCTATTTAGATTTTGGTTTAATTTTAAAATCTTTACTCTGCCAGAAATATTAGTAATAGCAGTAAAATTAATGTAGGAGCGTATTAATATCTTATAGGACATGAAAACCTTTTCTTATGCCCCACAGAAGAATAGGCATAAGAGTGAATTCAAAGCTGTTAGGACAGGCTCCCCGACTCCAGGCACAGAAGGCCAAATAGGCCCTCCCCATGAGATATCCCAATATCCAGGCTCTAGGGATGTATGTCTTCCTGAGGCCACTGGAAGTCACAATGAAGGCACCCAGGGAATGCAGTGGAGGACAACATCAGGCCCCTCATCAAGAAAAAAACTGTAAATATACAGGAACTGGGAACCAAGATTTATCAATGCAGTGAAGACTATGGTCTCATGATTGCTTGAAAGTAAACAACCTATTATTTATTTCCTAAGGTCTGAATGTTTGTGACCCATTCAAAATTCCTAATTTGAAACCCAACCCCCTAGTGCGATAGTGTTGGGAGGTGGGGCCTTTATGAGGTAGCTAAGTCATGAGGACAGAGCTATCATGTGTGGGTTAATGTTGTTATGAAAAGAGCTCACAGAAGTAAGTGCTCACAGAAATTAGTTCACTGACTTGCCATTCCAGCTTCTGCCATGTGATGACACAGCAAGAAAGCCCTCACCGGATGCTGATACTTTGATCTTGGACTTCCCAGCCTCCAGAACTGTGAGAGAACAACCTTGTGTTTATTAGAAATTACTCGGTTCCAGGTATCCTGTGAGAGCTGCATAAAATGCACTAGGTCACCATCCCATTTTGAAATTGAGACAGTTTCATTGCCCACTAGGTTATAAGGGATTAGGGCAAGGACTTGCTAGTGTTCTTCAAAGCACCTCAGATATAAGGAGGGCCAAAATGTTTCTTGAAACACACATTGTAAAATGTCAGCAATGCTGGCTCTATTTCCTTCACCCGCATTTGGTAGGCCTGACAGGACTCAGAAGCCAGCAGCCATCCTGGAGGTGAAGGTGTAGCTCTTTTGACTGCCCTCTCCCAAACCAAGAACCAGTACCTTGGGGCCCTGCAGCTCTCCCTGCTCTGGGCTGCTCTTGATTCCCTCTGCCACATCCCAGGTAAGGATCATAAGCAGAGGTGTGAGCCTGCAGTGATTTAAGGTGGGAGGAGCTCCCATGAGGGACAAGAGATGCTTGTCCAGGGCTCCAGCATGTAGGCACCAAGTCAGCTGGCCCACAATCACACTCTAAATGACAGGTACCCCAGCCCTGGTCCCATGGGGAACTGAAGTGTTTTCACTAACTGCCATGTCCGTTGTAAAATCAAGGAGGGGAAAAAAGTTTCTAACATGATGAACATATGCTTTTTATTTGTCAGGAAAAACTCTTAGTTATAAAAAGGTTTTCTGCCCACTGGCCCCACCCTGCTGGCCAGGTGACTTTGATACCCAACTTACTTTTCTGTATGAAGAGTGCCACATAGCTCCTAAATCAACCCTGGTAAATGTTTAAAAACGTTCTGCACCTGGACTTAGGCCAAGCTGGGGCAGAAGTGGGGGCTAGAACAGGGCTTGCAGGTCAAAGTCCAGGCTTCTGTGCTGGTAGTGGCTCTGGGGAAGGCCCCAAGAGGCTGCTTTCCTGCACAGGCCTCTGAACTGTGCCTCATCCACAGGCTCAGCCACTTGATGTGGGAAGTTTTCCCCAGGAAGGCAAATCAGCTGAGGCCCAAGGAAAGAGAGGGTCAGTAAACAAGGCACTGAACCACTGTCCTTGGTGTGTTGTGGTCAGTGGATGGAGTGGGGAGTACAGGCTGACCATGTTGCCCCTTCCAGGACCCTCCTTGTTCATTCATTTATTCGTTCATTCATTTGAACATGTTGTAGGTACTGGGTGTTGTGTGAAGCACTGGTTCTATAGAACATGCTCACTGAAACTTGTACATCTAAGCTTGGCTTCTTGACGCTCAACTGACTCACTTTGACTTTGGCTTTCTCACAAATTCCTCTAAGCCTATTTCTGTAACTCTGAAAAGTATTTAACTGCACCCTGTAACTTGGAAGGCTTAATTAAGGTAATGAGTGTCACCATAGTGACTAGTGTCACCATAGAGTCACTATAGTGTCTAGAAAGACACACCATAGTGTCTAGAAAGGGCTAAACAAAAGTTAAAGACTATCAGAATTCCCCAGTCTTAGGGATCTTGTAGCTTCCTGGGGCTATAGCACAAAAGAAAAAAATGAGTGACAGCAGCCAAAGTCTGGGTGTCCCTGGATTTCCCAGACTCCATTTTAAGAAGCAATCTGAAATTAGTGTTTTGACTTCCCAAGGTCCTGCCTGATCCTAAGACATTCTCCAGGCTGAAAGTGTAGTAGGGTGGGATCCCCTGCAATGCACACCACTTGTCCTCTTCAGGTGGTTTTTGCAAGCCTGCCCCACCATGGGAACTCCTTCGTCAGTGGGGCCTATCTTGTGGGTGCTTTTTGTGGAAAACATTTTGTGTTGATGTTTGAAATAATTGACAAGTTACCAAGTGCAAGTGCATGTAAGATTGGCTGAGAGCATTTACATGTCACACATATAGATACACTTATTTTTATGTCTCTGTCTCAGAGCATTTTACAATGTTGTGTGATTGCTGATTAGGGAAACTTGACATTCTTGGCTCTGTGGACAAAGAAAATGTTTTTACTTTTATCAAGGTCTTTGTCTGGAAAGAGCATAATAAGGGGGAAGAAAGGTGGAGCCCAGTAATGAGGAAGTGATCAGGTGGCAGGTGTAATTGTCAAAGGGAATCAGCAGTGGTGGAGAGGGCAGGAGGCAAATGAGGGACGTGTTTAGATACAACTGCCTGTTGTGGTGGGTGGAGAGGGCAGGAGACACATGAGGCATGTGTTTAGATACAACTGCCTGTTGTGGTGGGTGTAGAGGGCAGGAGACACATGAGGCGCATGTTTAGATACAACTGCCTGTTGTGGTGCAACCAGCAGAGGTGGAGAGGGCAGGAGACAAATGAGGTGCGTGTTTAGATATAATTGCCTGTTGTGGTGGGTGGAGAGGGCAGGAGACAAATGAGGCGCGTGTTTAGATATAATTGCCTGTTGTGGTGCAACCAGGCTTCTGTGAGCAGGAGACACAACCCAAGGTGTCACGAGGCCCCACCCTGTCTGCTGCCCCTGTTTTCCTCACACATACACTGAGATCCTCAGTGAGGGTAGAATCTATGTAGTAAAAAGGGAAAAAAAAATCATAGAATAGCCTTCTAAACCAAGCACTATGAAAAAATACTAGACAAAGCAAAAATGAACAAGACAGCTCCTGTGTAAAGGAAGTTCTAAAACCAATGGGAAAGTGGACAAGTACACAGAGAGTTGGCAGGTAAGGCTGTTTATAATGCAAACAGAGGCATGGTAGTATTTCAGAGATGGGCAGGGTGTCTAGAATGTGACCAGAGCTGCCGGCTCTGCCTATTTCTCACCACGTGGCCTTAGGCAATTGGCGGTTCTCAGTAGTATTGTTTTCCGATGCATAAATTGTGGATAAGGGAAAAAGGGGAGACAGAGCAAGAGGGTCAAAAAGAAGCCTCCACCAATGGTCCTCCCTGCCAGACACCAAATTTAACAACTATCTATACACACAAACAAAAACAAACAAAAAAATCCTTCATTAGAACCAAGAATCAGGTGAGCAATCAAAGTACATCCTTTTAACTTCATATGACTGAAAGAGGCATTGAAGAGGGTAGGAAAGACAGTCTTAAATTGCCAACACCATCCCTTCCTCATCTTCTGGCAGGAGGAGAATTTGTTTGTTGGAGGAGAGAGAGAGTGGAGATTGGGGACTTTGCATTGGAACTCAGTGCTGCCCTGTCACAGTGGAGAGCAACACTGGGCAGAACTCAGCCAACACCCACAGAGGGAGCATTTACACCAGCCCTAGCCAGAGGGGTATCTCCCATCCCAGTGGTTAAAAGTTGAGTTTCTGCAAGCTTCACACCATGGGCTAAAGTGCTCTGGGGCACTACATAAACTTGAAAGTCTAGGTCACGGCTGGGCGTGGTGGCTCATGCCTGTAATCCTAGCACTTTGGGAGGCCGAGGCAGGTGGATCAAGAGGTCAGGAGATTGAGATCATCCTGGCTAACACGGTGAAACCCCATCTCTACTAAAAATACAAAAAATTAGCCGGGCGTGGTGGCAGATGCCTGTACTCCCAGCTACTCAGGAGGCTGAGGCAGGAGAATGGAGTGAACCTGGGAGGCAGAGCTTGCAGTGAGCCAAGATCGCGCCACCGCACTCCAGCCTGGGTGACAGAGTGAGACTCCGTCTCAAAAAAAAAAAAAAAAAGAAAAGAAAAGAAAGTCTAGGTCACAAGGACTGAAATTCCTAGGCAAGTCTTAGTGCTGCGCTGTGCTCAGAACTGGTGGATAAGAGGGACACAGGACATAGAAAGACACCAGCCCAGGTGGTAAGGGAGTGCTTGCACCACTCCTTGTAAAAGCCGAGGCAGATCAGCTCACAGCAACAAAAGTGACTCCTTCATTTCGCTTGACAAGGGTAGAGGAAAGAGGAAAGAAGACTTGGTTTTGCATCTTGGAAACCAGCTCAGCCACAGTAGAATAGGACACTGGGCAGAGTCACCAGGCCCTACTTCCTGGAATACGTATCTAGACACATCCTGGGCCAGGAAAAAACCTGCTGCCTTGAAGGGAAGAGCTCAGTCTTGGCAGGATTCATCACCTGCCGAATAAAGAGTCCACAGGCCCTGAAGAACCAGCAGCAATACCCAGGTAGTAGACTGTGGGCCTTGGGTGAGACTGAAATGTGCTGGTTTCAGTAACCAGCTCAGCCACACTGGGGTAGACCACCAAATGGGCTCTTCAGGTCTCTGATTTCAGGCCTTGGCTCTTGGATGGCATTTGTGGGCCTGCCCGGGGTCAAAGGGAGCTCACTGCCCTGAAGGGTGAGTCCTAGGCCTGGCAGCATTCATACAAGCTGACTGAAGGGCCCTTGGGTTCTAAGTGAACATTGGCAGTGGCCTGGCAGTACTCCCTGTGTGCCTGTGGTGGTGACCATGAGGAGAGGCTTCACTGCCTGTGGAAAGAGGAGAGAAGAGTGAGAAGGACCTTTTTTTGTGGTTTGGGTGCCAGCTCAGCTGCAGTAGAATGGACCACCAAGAACATTTGTAAGGTTTCCGACTCCAGGCCCTGTCTCCTGGATGGCATCTCTGGACCTTCCTGGGTCCTGGAAGAACTCACCACCCTGAAGGGAAGGACAGAAGCCTGGCTGGCTTTGCAACCTGCTAATTCCTAGGGCCTTGAGTGAAAATAGCAACAAGGTACCCAAGTAGGGTTAAAATGGGCTGTGGGTAAGACCCAGTGATGTGCTGGCTTCAGATCAACATTGGTGGTCTTGGATAAGATCTGCAAGAAGTATCTGGATTAACAGGCAGAGAATCTTGTTCTCTTTCCTTACTTTCTTCCAAACAGTCTCTCTCTGTGTGTTGAGCTGTCTAAAGCTGGGAGAGGGGTGACACCAGTAGTATCCTTCTGGACACCAGTACTGGGACTGTACTGAGTCACATCTGAAGACACTATATCACCTGTGGTGCTGGGATACCCCTTCCCATACAGCTTAGATCTCATGGCTTGTTCTTAGTTTCCAAACTCTCCATGTACTCTGTGCTTATATGTCTCATCTTCTCACCTAGATTGTCCCAGCATCACAACGTAGTGCATGATCCATCACCAAGTGTCCCATACACTGGTCATGTCACCTCTGACACTTGCTTAATTACTCTGAATCTCTCTTTCCTTGAAATAAAGAGAAAAGAAACCATCCTTCTCACCTTACCAAACTGTTGTTAGAAATAAAATGAACAGTAGAACTGTGGTATTTTAGCATTGAAAGAAAACTCAATAATATCCAATCACTCAATTTCCAAGTGGTGAAACAGGATTCTGGGAAGTTCACAGAGTTCCTTTCCCTGGCTACGGAGCTAGCAATGATAACTAATACTATCTTAAACTTACTGTAGCTATATGTAGATGGTGATTCACTTATGGGGCATTTTTACATAACCAACTAATTGAATCATTGTTCATTTACAAATAAGCACGTGCTCCATGCCCGGCCTGTGCTAGGCAGAGGGGTAAAGAAGATCCACACCAAGCTCCATCCTCTCAGAGTTGTGGCATCTCAAGGGGGACTGTCATGAGGAACTGGCATGAGGCCCTAATACAAGAGTGAGAGATACAGCAGAGCCGGGGAGCACACAGCAGGGGCTGGGGCCAGGGAAGCCTCAGACAGACGAGGTCCATGAGGGCCCTGGGCTACAGACAGGAGACTTTTAGGTGAGATCACAACCAAACTGAAATGTAACTTTGGTTTTCAACCCCAGTGTCGGGGCTGTCTCTGCATCAGTGTCATGCAAACTAAACACAGAGGGATCGGGGGAAGATTCCTGGTGTTCCCCAGGCTGAGAGGGCTCAGACCTTGAAATGACTCTGGGAAGGGAGGTAGCTCAGTGCAGTGGTTAGGACACAGATGGGGCTGGACTGCTCAGGCCCATGTCCTGGCTAACCACTTTCCAGCTGTGTGACATAGACAATTGCAACAACCTTGCTGTGCCTTGCTTTCTCATCTGCAAATGGGTAGAACAGGGCAGTTATGAGCACTGAATGGGGCAGAATTTCCAAAGGCTTAGACCATGGCCTGGTATGTAGCCCATGCAGTGAGAGTACTGGATAATGAGCCCTTGTTCCCCCATCAGTGGGACAGGAGTGGCTGTTTCATGCCAGAGTTGACATCGACATTTTGGGGAAGAAAGTGGAATCTGAGTGGAGGGTCAGAGGAAGTGCTGGGTTTGGATAGAGGCTGAGGAAGGGAGAGGACAGCTGTGTCAGGAGGAGTGGAGACATGGGAAGCACTGAGCTGGCCTGAACTTCTGACAAGAGAGCCAGGGGCTGAGCTCTGCACTGCCATCTTGCCCCTGGCTGTGGGGACCAGGGGCCCTGGCACACTTCCCATTGGGGGTTCTTTCCTCTTGGGCTTGATGTGCTGTTCAGATGCAGCAGGAGCTGTCCGGAAATGTCCAGCTCCTTTCCTCACATTCGGCTCTGGGAGAGTGGCCTGCCAGAGAATGTCCATGGAGACTTATCTACAGCCTGGGGTTTTGGTTTTGGTTTTGGTTTCTAACTTATTTTAACTTCCAGATGGAAAGTGTTATTTTGCCAGATGGTAGCAGGCTAGGTTTTGTGGGCAAGGCCCACAGGGTTGTGGCCAGCTCTGAGGGAAGAGTGTATTCGGCCCTGGCCTGGCTGTCATATTGAGAAGCTGACAGTGTTTCCAGGCTGCTCACAGCCCAGATGGTGGGCTGTGCTGGCTGCCCTGGAGGCTGGGGCTCCCAGGTGTCTCAGTGCAGGAATCAGAGCTCCACCTTGCTGAGCTCACACAGCGCCTGGAGCCAGGCCCCGGACCCAGAGGCCCGAGGGAGAGATTGAAGAGGAGCCTGGAACTGACCAAAAGAAGGAGGGCACCTGACCCTGTAAGGGGAGCAGGCTCGCAGCTGAAGACCCTGGAGAAGCAGCTGCCACAGAGGGGGCGTTTGCACCCACCTGTCCTGTGCTCACAAAAGGTGACTTTGTGAAGTGTACTTATAAATTTTGGGTTTTCAGATAAAAAAAAATGACAACATTTTTAAAAGTCAAAAGATATTAAGAATTTGAAGATAAACCTCAATTGCATTCCTCATGCCTACCAGCGGCAGAGTTAGCCCAACACGGCAGCGAGGAAGACCACATTTTGGTGATCTCTGCGGCAGTTGGAGTCCCGGTTTCCTGAAGGTGTAATTACCTATGAGCCCAGGAGGGGTAAAAAGGTCCAGCAAATAGAGGAGGCAATGTTCCTACTAATCGGCTCACCTGCATTTTGCCAGAAAATAAGCCATCTACAAAAATGTGACATGAAAAGAACAAGAAATGTGATGACAAGCACCAGAATAATGGCCAGGCCAGAAGCAGGTCATCTCCTCCCTCAGAACTGGCTCCAGCCTGGGATTTGCCCACTCTGCTCAGCTGGCTCCTGCTTGGGGAGGACTCCCTTGATGACCTGTGTGGGCAGCTCTCGTGGGGCATCCCAGCCAGGATTCCACACATTGTCAAGGTGAGACAGGGCCCTGGGTCCTCTGCTGTGGCACAGGTGTGGACCCAGCAAGCTTTGTGTGGATGGGCAAATTTATAAAGCTGGACAAGGTAATATTTGAATTTTTTAAGTAACTTACAAATATTTTAAATTTTAACATTTTATATTTGTTACATAAAATGAGACATAAAAATTAGAAGCATAAAAATCAACTTTGGGAGGCCATGGTGGGAGGATCACTTGAGCCCAAGAGTCTGAGACCAGCCTGGGCAAAATACTAGGACCCCATCTCTACAAAAATTAAAAAACAAATTAGTCAGGGTAGTGGCGCGAGCCTATAGTCTTAGCTGCTTGGAAGGTTGAGGTGAGAGGATTTCTTGAGCCCAGGAGTTGGAGGCTGGAATGAAAGAAAAGTACAAAGCACTGTCTATGTGTATTCCCATTTGTGAGCAAGGGTTGTGTGTGTGTGTGTGTGTGTGTGTATGTGTGTGTACTCTCTTTATAGAGACTATCTCTGAGAGGAAATACAAGTAATTGGTAGTAGTAGTTGGTCTAATTTTTGTTTCTTCTTCTCTTTTTTTTTCCTATAAGAATGGATTTTTACAATAAGAAGTACTCAATTTAAAAACTGTATGTTATTTAAAGTAAGTAATTTAAAAATTTATGTGCATAGGCAGAGGAAATTAGGCAAATGCTAACAACTAGGGAATTTAGGTAAAGGCACAAATTACCTTTGTACAATTATTGCAAATTTTTAGAAAATCTAAAATTATTTTAAAATTATAAAAAATACCCACTAATTCCATAATCAGTTCTTTTAAACTCCGAACTCAGGGCCTACACAATTTTCCATACCCCACCTAGCTCACATGCCCTATGTGCAGATGACCTAATACTGTTGACCCTCAGTTTCCTCATTTCAAAATTCAGAATGATGGTAATATTAAGCCTGTAGGGTTGCATCCTGCACATACTGAGCATTCAATGCATCTTACTGTGCCCTTCTTTCCTTAATCTCTTCCAACACCTTCCTAACCAGCTAAACCATGGACAGCACAGGAGGCCAGGAGGCCAAAGCACTTTGTGATTCTGTAAAGAGGAAGCCAAAATTGCAGATGAAGCAAAGCCTATTATCTTTGGTGTTAAATCCACAGAGAACATATCTGGATTTGGTCACCTCCTCCTCCTGTGCTTTAAGATATTAAATATTTTGCTGTCAAGAAGCAATTCCCCATAAACTCCAAAGTTCCTGGCTCTAACAATTCTAAACCTTGGGCTACAGATGAGAATTTTGAGCTAACTTAGTAGCTATCTCAAATATATGCAGCTTTTGATGCCAAGAGTCTTATACCAGCTATGTCCAGCCCCAGTAAGAAATGAACCAACAGAAGCATTTGTTCTGCAGATGTAGGCTCCACCACACGTGTGGAATTTAGGAGCTCTGTGGTGATTAAGTTTAGACTTAGGAATGAACAACTGGGTGAAACAAGACCGTGTGTGATGGTAATTTTTTTTTTTTTAGTGGAGTCTCACTCTTGTTGCCCAGGCTGGAGTGCAATGGTGCTATCTCAGCTCACTGCAACTTCTCTCTCCTAGGTTCAAGCGATTCTCCTGCCTCAGCTTCCTGAGTAGCTGGGATTACAGGCACCTGCCACCATGCCTGGCTAATTTTTGTATTTTTAGTAGAGACAGAGTTTCAGCATGCTGGCCAGGCTGGTCTCTAACTCCCGACCTCAGGCGATCTGCCTGCCTCGGCGTCCCAAAGTGCTGGGATTACAGGCGCGAGTCACCACGCCTGGCCATGTGATGTTAATTTTATGTGTCAGCCTCATTGGGCCATAGGGTGCCCAAAACAGATATTTAGTTAAACATATTTCTGGATGAATCTGTGAGGATGTTTCTGGATGATAGAAGCATTTGAACTGGTAGGCCGAATGACGAAGATTGCCTTTCCCGATGTGGCTTGGAATCACCCAATCAGCTGATGGCCTCAACAGAAAGAACAAAGTGGTGGAGGAAGGAGAACACATTTTCTCTGTCAGATGGCCCGAGTAGGGACATTGGTCTTCCCCTGCCCTCAGGCCAGAAGTTCACTATCAGCGATCCTGTTCTCCGGCCTTGGAACTGGAACTGGAACTTGTACCACTGGTTATTCTGGTTCACAGGGCTACCACTGGTCTCCTGAGTCTCCAGATTGCAGATGGAAGACTGTGAGACTTTTCAGTCTCTATAATCCTCAACCTTTCCCTCTGCCTCTCCCTCCTCTATTGGTACTGTTTCTGGAGAACCCTGACTAATATGTTAATCATGTTCTGTCAAATTTTGGTGATATATTTTTCTTAAATCTGTCTCATTGACTATTCTCAAAATCTGCCGAGTGGGGCCATTCATTGTTTCTCAGCTGAAGGACTGCAGTCACTTTTAGGTACTTCCCTACCTTTGGTCATGCGTCTCTATTCTTCATCCTTTACACAGCTGCCATTCCAGTCTTTCTAAACTAGAACTATTCCTCTGATTAAAAATGAAACAAAGCTTATTGTGACTGTAATGAAATCTGTGTACTGGACTTCTGTTGGCTCTGTGGTTCTCAGCAGCCTACCAGAACACAGAGCTTTCCAAACTCAGCCCTGGGCACATCTGTTCCTTCATCCAGGCTTTCCACCCTGCGTGGCTCTCACCCTTGTGTGTCCGTCCTTGTTTCTTAGAGGAGTCGTGTGCCTCCAAATGCATATGCCTACGACCTTTTCTTTCTCTTGCCTGAAATGCCAAACTTCATTCTCCATCAGGTGAATTCCAACTCACCCCTGAAGATGAGCTCAACTGTCTCTCTTGTGTGAAGCCTTCCCTGACACCCCTGAGAATTTTCCATCCACGTCACCACAGAGTAATGTCCATCCTCCTGTAGAACCATTCACTCATCACAGGTCTGGATGCCCATTGTTCATAGGAGGTCTTCCCCACTAGACTTCAAAGCTTCAGTGATAGGCGCTTGTGTCCCTGGCCTACACGAGGCCCTTATTCCCACTGCTCTTTTTTGAAAAAATAATAGTTTCTTCAGGCCTATATAAGCTCAAAGAGATCCCAGAGGACAATGAGTCCAATTTTTTTACTTTCCAGAATAGGATACTGGGATATTTTAATTCATGGAATTATTCTAGCATCAAACTTTACATAATAAGTATTCGTTGAGGACTTGGAGTGTACCTGTTTCTAGGTTCTAGGGAAACAGGATTGACTATGACGGGCAAAGTTACTGCCCCATGGAGTTCACCATTTGGGGATTGGTGGGTGGATAACAACGGCAACTACAAGATATGTGCATGCATGTGTGTGTGTATGTGTGTGTGCATTTCATATAGTGCTAGGTGTAATAGATAAACGAAGGTGGTGACTGGGGAAATGATCCAGGAGAAATCTCTGAGGAAATGACATTTCATCTCACAGGGTAATGAGGAAAATGAGGCAGCCAGATGGAGTCCCAGCAAAAGCAGACTTCAGGCAGAAGGAACGGCAAGTCCAGGGCTCTGGATGAGTAAGTGGCTTCCCTCACAGGTAGATGGGAAGGGGTCATGTGAGGATACTTCAGCCATGTTAGATGAATGTATTGCCTTAAGAACATCCTGAGATAAAGGGTGGCATATGCAGGTGTGTGGCTCAGGTGAGTGAATAGGGGGAAGAAGCAGGACACTGGCTCGCCAGGTGGGTTCCTCCAGAAGGCAGGCTGCATCTGCCAGGGTCCATCCCAGGCCAGTCCCTGAGAGGCTGGGCCGACAGAGAAGGATGGTGACCTGGGCCTGGATTGTCAGTGAGGCCTTCCTTGAGTGAAATATACACTAAATGGTCTCAGAAGGCCGCACAAGGGCAGGGCAGTGAGTTTCTGGGAGGAAGGTGGGTGGTGGGTGGGGTGCAGAGCCTGGGGCAGAGGGACTCCTCTGAAGTTAAATTAATGCAACTGACCCACCCCTCAAATGATTTCAGGCCATGGTCTTCTCTGATGAGGACTCCATCCCTGTAAGAAAACTAAAGAGCTGGAGAGTGGAGAGGAAGGAGAGTGTGGGATGTGAATTCTAAGCTATCAAAGAGGTTCTGCTTCCTCTAAGGCCATGGACGCTGGGTGTGCTATGGGGTAGACACACCACACTCCTATTGTCCAGCCACCTATTATACCTTCCACACCCAGGAAGTGCTGAGGCCCTTCCTGGAGTCTCCCCAACCCACACAACTGAAACAGCATGGGGTGTCCACAGGCCCTATCCACTAGGATGGCTCCTTCCCCAGCACGGTGGCTGAGCTTCCTGAGAATGATGCATCCTCGTGGCTCTGCTGGTCCTCACAGATCTCCAGGTAGAAGCTCATTGTAGAATAGCATTTGCCTTGAATGCTCTGATAATTTTCTGCTAACCTAGTTGTGGCTAATTAAAGTCAGGAGTTTGGTGCTGGCCTCACTTTGGTGCTTGGAAAACTGGGGACATTGTACTCAGCAGAGAAGTCATTGGAAATACAGACTTGCCAGTCCTACCACAGAAGATGATGATTTAGTAGAGTTATGCTGGCCCAGCAATCAGCATTTACAGAAGCATTCCTGGAGATTCCGTGATTGTGCTGCGAGGTGGCATTTGGCAGCCCTGCACCCAGAGCCCTGAAGCTCTCTTCAGCAGTAATGACCTGCCAGGCTACTGTCTTTAGTGACAGGGGATGCTACGAAGAGTGTGCATCACCCAAATGACAGCTCACCATTGACTCTTAAGATGGAAGAGACTTTAGAGGCTCTTTAGTCCAAACCTCTCATTTTTCAAATGAGGCAGAAGTGTCCTAGAGTGGAAATGTGACTTACCCAAGGTCACACACCAGAGACTAAAAATTCTAGAACAAGGACGAGTATTTTGATCTCCAGTGATCTGGAAAACTCTGCATGTCAAACACCCATTTCTGTTCCCAGCATCTGGTAACCCCTTAATTCCTGGTCACCTCCACCCCTCCTCAATGCCCAGACTTTCCGTCACATGGAAACCCACTAGGCTTTTGACCTCACATGCTGTTTCAGCAGGCATCCCCCTGTGCTGACCTTAGCTCTAGCAGTGTAAGGCGGAGCTGCCCTCCCTGAACTGACAGAGGAGGCTACAGTGTGTTGTGTGGGTGTGGGAGGCTCCAGGAAGGGCCTCAGTGCTCCCTGCGCATGGAACATAAAATAGGCAGCTGGACAACAGGAGTGTGGTGTGTGCCCCACAGCGCACACAGCATCCATGGCCTTAGGCGAAGTACAGCCCCTTTTGATAGCTCAGAATTCACGTTCCACACCCTCCCTCCTCTCTCAATCCAGCTCCTCAGTTTTCTTACAGGGATGGAGTCCTGAACAGAGAAGACTCTGGCCTGAAACCATTTGAGGGCAGAGCAGTGGCATTAGTTCAACTTCAGAGGAGGCCCTCTGTCCCAGGCCCCCCACCCCACCTCCCTCCTGCTCTGTCCCGGGCCCCCCACCCCACCTCCCTCCTCCTTCCTCCCTCCTGTACTGTCCCAGGCCCCCCACCCCACCTCCCACCTCCCTCCTGCTCTGTCCCAGGCGCCCCACCCCACCTCCCTCCTGCACACTCACTGCCCTGCCCTTGTGGGGCTTCTGAGATATTTAGCACATATTTTCTTCAGGGTACATTTCACTGATAGAATTCAGGCCCAGGTCACCATCCTTCTCTGTCGGCCCAGCCTCCCAGCCCCTTGTGCCTCATCCCAGACCTGGGAGGTGGGGTGGGGGGCTCCTGCCTGGCGTCAGGTCTGAGTCCTGCTCCTGAAGGCTGTGGCAGTGGCCTCCAGGGCTGCCTTTGGCCCAGGGAGCTGGAGAACAGTGGGTTCCTCTCCCCTATCTCTATCTTTTTGTTGTTGTTGTTGTTTTTGAGACGGAGTCTCACTCTGTCGCCCAGGCTGGAGTGGCGTGGCGCGATCTCGGCTCACTGCAAGCTCCGCCTCCCGGGTTCACGACATTCTCCTCCCTCAGCCTCCCGAGTAGCTGGGACTACAGGCGCCCGCCACCGCGCCCGGCTAACTTTTTTTGTATTTTTAGTAGAGACGGGGTTTCACCGTGTTAGCCAGGATGTTTTTGATCTCCAGACCTCGTGATCCGCCCGCTTCCCCCTCCCAAAGTGCTGGGATTACAGGCATGAGCCACCGCGCCGGCCTCCCCTATCTCTATCTTAATGAATATTTTGTCCTGGGTATGTTCTGGGACCCAAGTCCATTCTCCCTGTAGCCCCTGCTCCCCAGTCCTGAAGACCCTCTCAGGCTCTTCCCACTTTGCACTGCCAGAAGCCCCTGTGGGCTCACAGCTCTTGCCCTCTTCTCTCTTAAGTGCACCAGCATTCAAGCTCCTCCCTGGGCTGCTGGGAGGACAGATTGCTTCATAAATTCTTAAGAACGTATTTGGAACTAACAGCTTAATCATTATAATGCATTATTCAATCAACCAACAGTGTTTTTTGGAGGGAAAAAAATACACCATGAAATATATCTTCATTTTAAGTACATCTGTTGTTTCTTGAAAGCCATCAGCTGTCAGTGAATCATCAATTTTGTTTCGTTGTGTGGCTAAGACTATTTGTTCTAATTAAAGACCATGCACGAATCTAAACAAATTTGCCTTATCTGTAAAAATGGAACTTTCAGTCCTGCTAAGCGTGACAATCCTAAATGTGCTGGAGAAGCAATTTTCTCCAGGTCTTACCAGGTGCATCTGTGGGGAGTGGGGGAATGACAGTGGGGCTGTAGCCTCCTCTGCATGCAGGGTCCAGCCCACCAGGACCACTAACCAGGTGCCTGTGTCCCACCCTCCTTCCCCAGCCTGATGCAGCTCTGACCTCCTAGAGAGGAGGCTGCAGAGAGAGCCCCGGCAGCTCCTGTCCTGTTCTGCAGTGCAGGCCATCAAGGGGACAGCAGCAGGCCCGGGGGTGGGTGCCTTGGGTTCTGGGCCAGGTGGGAGCTGGGCCTGCAGAGAGCAAGGGGCAGGAAATTGGGGCCAGGTGGGAGCTGGGACTGCAGGGAGCAAGGGCCAGGAAATCGGGACTGGGTGGGAGCTGCATGGAGCAAGGGCCAGGAAGGAGGTGGATCCCGGGACCAGGATTCTTCCCTAGAGATGCAGGCTCAGCTGAGGCTTCCTCTCCTGGGCTCCAGGTGCAGACAGGGAGGGGCAGTGCTGGGAGATATGCGTGCAAGCGGGTGTGCTTGAAGGGCAGGAAAGGAAAGGGGTTAGGGACTGGCATTAATCAGTGGCCACTACGTGGGGAGAGGTGTTTGACTCAGAGGAGGTGAACTCGGAGGGAAGGCGCATTGAGACCTGAGGCATTTATGACTTTGCAACTACGTCAAGTGCAGATGGTGAAACATAAAATGAACTTGCCCTTTGTACAGGGCTGCTCTGAAACCTAATTTTTCACAGAAATGAATTGGTCTTGGCCCTGTCTCCTCTCAGACTCCAGGCTCTTTTCTAACCCTTGTCAGCTTCTCTTCTCTAAACGATGTCTCAGGGCCTTGCCCGCCTCCCGCCTCTGGATCGTACCCCAGACCATCCTTCCTCCACCTCAGAGCCCCTCTGGAGCCCTCTCTGCTTTGCATTCCACCCTGGGCAGCCATAAAAAGCAAGCAAGGGGTCCACCCACAGCCTCACTGCAGGGCAGGCGCCCCAGGCCCTGGAGCAGGTCTGCTGACTCCACTGCAGGCTGCTGGGCTGGCTCCGCCAGGCTTGGTCTCCTGAGCCTGGCCTGGAAGGCAGGCAATGTGTGCCATGGGCTGCAGGCAGGGGCCATGCATGGGCAGGGGCGTGTCAGTGCCTATGAGGCAGGTGCTGGCCAGCGAGAGGCAGGCCCGAGGGGAGCTGGGGAGTTCGATTCCTCTCCTTTCCCTCACCTGTCCTGACATGGACATACTCACAGCAGTGACACTTGCTACCCGGCAGTGATGGCACACAGGTCTGCCCGCCCTGCCTCCCCACCTCAGTCCACTGCTCCTCCTTCCTGTTTCCCTGAGGCTGCACTCATTAGTAAGTTGGTAGCACTGAAGCTTCTGCCTCAGGTTGCACTGTTAAAAGACCCTGGATGAAGACATAGTACTCTGAAGCCAGGAGCCACCGATGCATCAGAGGGAGTGGGATGAAATGCACTGGAGAGGCTGTGGTGGAGTTGGTATCCATGCCAGGCTAGGGCATCTGGGGCTGGGTCAGGGAGGGGCTGGCATGGACACTGAAGCCTGAACGTTGGGAATATTCAAGGAGGAATAGCAAGAAGGGATCCGGAGCCAAGAGCAGCCAGAACTGCTGAAACAGAAGGCATCTGGGAGCAGTCATGGGAGACGCTGGCACAGAGCTGGCTTTTGGTTCCTGGAGTGCAGGCATGCGGCTGCAGGGGCTGCAGGAGAGAGAGGGGTGTGCACAGGTAGCCCAGCACATCCTCCTCCCTCTACCACACACACACACACACACACACACACACACACACACACACCCCATCGTGTCTGCAGTCAGTACAGATGCCCTGCACCCTCCCAGGCCCCCTCACAGACAGGACTGCGCTCTCAGGGACCCTGGGCTCAGGCCAACCCACCCCACTTAAGTGGAGACTTTAAAATAAATGAACATATTGTTAGCATGGTTTCCTCCTGTTTGAGCATTATAGCATGCTAGTCTCATGAATCAGACCTGATTAGCACAGCCATTGTCATAGCCTGGGAGGGGTACCTCGAGGAGGCATTCAAAGGTAGACTCATGAAATGGAGAGGGGTATGTAAGAGCAGCCATGGCTTCCTGTGCTGCTAGGACACTTTCCTCACTTAGAGGATGAGCTTTCCAGCTAGTTAGCTTTCCGGTGTATTCTTTTTCACAACCAAGTTAACCTGGAGCAGAGACAGCCCTGGGCCTTTTGTGGCTGCTCCTCCAGAAGGTCGCCTGTCCACAGACTACTCCCTGGCCCTGAGAAGCAGTGATTCAGGTAAAAATCATGTGCATCCAGCAGCCCAAGGTGGAGTCATACTCCAAGCTCCTTCCCTACGGTGGGCCTGACACCTGCAGGCCACCACTGACAGGGGCAGAGGCTCTGCTGTGGTGTGACAGGTTTATGTGCAATTACTAGTTCTGGTCACCTATTTTTCTTCTTGCAAATGTGTGTGTGTGCATGCATGTGTATTTATATGTGTGTGTCTCTGGGTATGGTATGTGCATGATGCTTGCATACGTGTGTGCATGTGGGTATATGTGTAGTGCATGCATATGTGTACCTGCATGCACACGTGTATGTGTGCATCTGTATGCCTATGTATGTGTGCACGTGCATGCACAGTGCATTCTGCACTACCACTGCCTTTTATGTATTTTGGCTGCACACAGAGACTGTCTCAAGGATGTTCCTTGTGTTACCCCAGGGAGTGCAGCCTGTGAAAGGCAGTGTGAGAAACACCCTCCTCTGTACACACAGCTCCTTTCCTTTACCTTCAAACTTGCACTTAAGGAGTGAACTCTTGAAAATAAATTCTTTGCTTTGAAAGGTGAAACCAGAAAGAAAGGCAGTCAATTGCTGTTGTCTTCTTCTAAAGCAGCTGGCAAAGCCTGGAACCTGAGCGCTTGAAGAGCCTGAGTGTGGGTAGGCTGCAGTGTTGCAAGGGAACATTCCCAAATAGAGCACAAAACACCACTGAACCTTTCCCTTTCCTTCTCCTGGGCCCAAGGCATGTCTCACAGCTTATGGACCTAAGAGTTGCAAAGTTCTTCAGGCTGTCAAAAAGTCGACACTGTGAAAGGACTGTCTGTGTTGGAGGTGTTTCCCATCCTTCATGTTCAATTTCCAGAAACAAAAGTATTTACTGTGTGAGATTTTTGAGGCTGCCAAAGGTACATCTAACAGCTTCTTCCATCCTCCCTCCTCCACCTTCCTCCCTCTTTGCTTGCTTCCTTACTTCCTTCCTTCCTCCCTCCCTCCACAAACGCATCCTAAGCCCTGCAATCTGCTGGCCCAGCAATCCACATTTATGATGCTGGGGATAGGGTGGAGAAACGAGAGGCAGTGCCTGCCCCCAAGGACTTTGTACCTAGGGCGGAGGGTAGGGAGGGATGTGAAACAAACATATAATTAGAAATGATAGTCCTTGCCTTGAAGAGGGACACCAGGGCTGTGAGGGAGACTCACAGGCAATTCTCATCTAGGCTGTGGGGCAGACAATAAGAAACAACCTCTCTGTGTGAGTAGCACTCCATTCTTTCCTCAATCAACGTTCTTCCACCATTTCCTGAAAGCCTACTGCTCTAGGGGCTGGAGAAACAGTAGGGATCAGAGTAACTGAGGCTTCACATCTGCAAGGATGCTATTTTTCAGAGAACAGACACAGACAGTAAGCAAGACGGGGCCAGGCTGGGAGCCAGCAGCCCTGGGCTGAGATTCACAGAGGCTGGCTGGAAAATCATGATGGGAAGGCATTCAGAGGACATGTTTTCTCCTCTTTGCACACTTTCTACCTCCAGTCCTGGGCTCCAGGCTGGGAGAAGAGAACTAGGACCCCGCTGGGTCCCCCATTATGAGACTGAAGGACTGCAGAGCCCAAGCTGTGCTGGTAGTGACCAACTGAAGACCCTAAGTCCATGACCTGGGAACATACTGGTCATGAGCCTCATGTCACTGTGCAAAGAGCTTACTCCCTACAGCAGGGACCTCCCATGACATAAGGTGAATACATCATTGTGCTTGCCTCCTTCAGCACTTTGGTCATGAGTGTAAAGGAAAATGAAAAGAAATCTCAGAACCCCTAACTTCTAGAGACCGAGTCACAAAACACCACCAGCTTTTTCCCAAATAAACAACAGTTACTTTACAAGCTGGTGTCCAAGCATTCCACACTCAACAAACTGTGGCAGGAGAACAGGGAGTTAGAGTAAACGGGGGTTCAGCAGGTGTAGCCAGTTCATATAAGCAAAAGAACAGCAGGTGCCGCCGGTTTGTATAAGCAGGAGAGCAGCAGGGGCTGCATACAGGCCACGTCCTCCCGCCCATGGTAACAAGCCACTCCAGCCTCTGATGGACTGCAAGCTGGGTCTCCACTGCAGCCTCTGATGGGTCGCAGGCCAATCTTTCATGGGGTGTAGCCAATTGGAGGCCTCTAAAGGGCATGGAGGGGTGTTGCCAGGTTCCTCGAGCTTAATAAAACCCCTAATTAAGGAGGCTATTGACCGCTTGCTCGAGCCGGTTCCCGCTCTGTGAATTGTCCTCAATAAATCTGTGCTTTTGTTGCTCCGTTCTTCTGTTGCTTTGCCTTTCGTTGCTTCGCCTTTCGTTGCTTCATTCTTTTGTTACTTTGTGTGTGCATTTTGTTCAGTTCTTGGTTCAACACTTCAAGAATGTGGACAACTTTATCTTGTAACAAAACCCCATAGAAAAGCAAAGGCCCCTGGCGTCTCTGGGTGACTGCCCCCACAAACTGTTCCTTGCTGGCCTGGAACCGTTTCAAGATGTACATCCTCCCATCAAACAAGGATATGTCAATGGTAACTTCAGGTCTGCAATCCAACCGCTGCTCCTAAAACTAAAGTCTTTTCCATTCCGCACTGATGATGCTCATCTTCCCAGGTATGAAACTGACGAGATGACCCATTCTTCTGCCTTCACTCCTCTCCCTACATGCCTTCCCCAACTTAGGAGGAAATGCATAAACACCGAGTCTCAGTCACACACACAACCGTGGCTGGTGTTTCCTGGATGTGCCCTCAGCTCTGGCTGAATATACCTCAGCTGATTGAGACTCTTGCCTCAGTCACTCATTTTGGATTAAACAAGAAAATAAATGCAAAGGTGTTTTAGAAAATTTAAAAAGTGGCTTTAGAAACTAAGTATTCTCTTCTTTTCCCACAGAACACAGTCTCAACAGAAGAAGGATGAAATGCTCCCACGCTTGCCGCCCTCTGCTCTTTTACAGGTCTTGAGTTGTCGCTGGCCTTCCTGATCACATCTTCCACCCCCAACCCATATTCCCTTTCTCCTCTTCAGGCATCTTGGCTGGCCATGGCCCTCAGTCCTCTACCTGGTAGGGGACACAAACTTTCATTCCGGAAGGGTCTGAGACATTCATAGTTCATCTGGACTGGCTATTTGCAGTTTTCAACTGACCTCAGTCACAGGACATGGCAGTACTAATAACAGACAGGACTTGGGGGATCTCTTCTTGAACCTCGCTGACCAGATGTTTAAAATATTTAGTGTTGTGTTGAACATGGGGAGTCGGGCTAAAGGGCACCCATGAGGCGTAAGCATATTGAAGATGACTGTAAGAGGGGGACAAGATGCTCACCTCCTGTTATTAGTCTTGATGCGTGTGGGACTGGACAAAGCAGATTTAAATTGAAGCAAGATAAACTTGGATCAGACAAAAAAGGGAGTCTTAAAGAAGAGCAGATTTAGGTTCTGCAGGGTATAATAAAGACAGCTTTCATTTCCCCCCCAGGAGAAGATCAACAACAGGAGACAGAGGGACCCCTCTAGAGGCAGGAGGAAAGATAAATGGCCACAGGCTGCTGTCATCTAGGCCAGGGTTCTGGCAGCAATGAAAACACGTCTGCAGGAGGAGAAAGAAGTGCTTTTGAATCCATCTTACTCATCGTCTGTCTCTTGTCTCTTCAAAGTGAATGCAGTTGGAAGGAAAGGGACAGGTTGGTTCTGTGCTTTGCCCAAGTAGGTCCAAATTCTGTTTTTTTTCAGGATGTAGCAGGGTGAGCTGTTCTGACAAACTTGATCTTAGCACAACAGGGGCAGTAAGGTCATCATCCCCACCAGTCCTTTGCCCTAGGATTACAGGACCTGCCCCCAGAGGGACAGGAGCTCATCCTACACTGTCCCAGTGTTTCTGTGAAACACCTTAGCTCCCTGGCTGATTCCCCAGTGGCTCAGGGGCCCAGGGAGCCTCCTCACACCCAAGGTCCCTGTCCCCAGGTGTGGGGGATCCCTATGTATGACATTGTGGGTGACTGGGACTCCTCACTGAACAGGATCAGTAAAGGGCCTGCCTGGCTCTAGGCACTCATTCAGCTGCACTGGAATTTGGAGAAAGAGGCTGCAGAATACACCCCTAGCCCTAATTAGGAAAGAAACAGAGTGGTCTTGAGTCAACTCCTGAAAGCTGTGTGTGCCCTGGATCAATGGCCCACGGGACATGTAGAACAGAGGCAGGAAGTCCCACTGTAAATGGCAGACTTCAGTTTCCAGGACTTAGATTCCACTGGGAAGCAGCTGTCCAATTCACAAAATTGTCAGTGATCAAAATAAATATAATAAAGTAGTTCATTTTAAGCAATGCAAAGAAAGCTGAGTGGCAGATAAAGCTAAAGATGAGCTCCAGATGCCACCAGGCATAGCACGTGGAGGGACTGCATACCCGCGTCCAGCGTAACTTACAACTCCTGGAATGCTGGGACTGTGCAGTGTTAATTCTAATGGCCCATGGAGGCATAATTAATTAACCTTTCAGTTACTCTGGGCACTGCCCTTATCCAAACATAAATATGTGTATGCCGGGAAAATTTTGCAATATAGAAAGCCGACATCGTTGACTCCTTATTCATAGGCAAATCCAGTGCTTTTCAATTTTGACTGTGCAGCAGAATCACCGATGGATTTTATTTTTAAAATAGGGGTACGTATGTCTCATCTCACCCAGGGTGAGGTCCATGGATCTAATGTTATGAAGCCCACAGTGGGTCCCAAATCCCAGCTGAGCTCCAGGACTAGGAATGTCACCCAGCCTCCCTGCTGTAGAGCTGCACCATGGCTTTCGTTCTTCCCGTGGTGGAAACAAAGCTTGCCTAGAGTTTCTGGATGCAGCATCTCTCCGAAAACAAGCTGGGGCTCTGCCGCCCTCACTGGAGCACAGCCAGTGCTGTGGAGCCCCCAGAGTGGCCACAGGGATAGAGGGGACTTAAAACTGAGTAGGGGGCAACAGAGTTGGGGGTCTATCCACCACATGTGGACACACAGCAAGTCAGGCATGTGGGAAGGAGGGAACAGCAGCGTGGAATGGAAATGGCAAATGTTCATCCAGCCAGGTGTTATTTTATTTATGGCTTCTGGGGAAATGGGATGAACAATTTCAGAACAGCCTTGGGTTGAACTTGATGCTGCAAATGGAACTTAATTGCTCAAATAATGTCATATCAATTTCATATAAATGATAAAGAAGGAAAGTCCCTCTTTCTAGAGAGAAAACTCTCCTGACGGCATCAGGCTGTCCTGGGAAGTCACTGCTTCCCTTTTCTGTTGTGGGGCATAACGGGAGATGAAGCTGGGAATTGACAATCTCTTTTTTCTGCTGGACTGAAACCTCCTGGAGCAGAAAAATAGTTTTTTATTTTGCAAATGAAAGTCAAAGATGTGGCAGGAGTTGAGGGTGGGCATTGCAAGAGCTAAATCCGGTGCTTCTGACAGCCCAGCCCTAGTGAGAGGCCCCTTCTGAGAGTCCCAGGGACTCTTATGTAAATGAAACTCAAATAGAGCTCCCCACAGCACCTGAGCTTAGGGTCACCAGGCTCTGGGACTCTGTATGTGCTCCCAGGAGATTCCATCCCCAGGATAACACTGCAGGTCAATTTGTGCTTTTCCTACCATGCAAACCATACTCTGGTAACTGTGCAGGATTCTAAGAAATAAACTTATTGAACCAAAGTATTGTATAACTTATTTTAAGTTATATATTTTTCCTTGTCATTAGTAACCAAAGAATAATTATTCTGCCATTTTTAATTACAGTGTGTGCATATAGAAAGTATTTCTTTCTTTTTTATTAGAGAATGTGTGCTACATACCTTTAGGCTCTACCTTCCAAACTGAGTGGAAGGCAGGCACGCTCCCTCTTCACCCGGTAATAGCCCTTGGAGTACAGATTTGGTGTCTAGGAGAACATCCCAAGTCTCTGGCATGTGGCGTCACCACCCTGGGGAGTGGCAGTGGCTCTCCTGCGTGGAGCACTCTGTGCAGGCTGTGCCCCTCCCAGGCAGGGCAGGCATGCTGCATTCAGAGCCTGTGAGACACTCCCCAGGGCTGGTCGGAAAGCAGCTGGTTCTGAAGAGGAGGCTGTAAGGCTTCCAATCTTGGGGACCCCTTGTGTCTGGAAAGAGGGATCTGGGAGTCCTAGAAAAATCTTCCAGGGCAGGTCTCCATTCCAGAGAGTAAAAGCTGCAGCCTTGAGCAGCCTCTTCTCCTCCCAGCTGTCCCCGTTCAGGTCAGGGACCAGGGCAGTCTTTGTCACCAGGGAGGTGGGTACCAGGTGGTCCTGGCCAAGTGGCCAGGATCCAGGTCTTGGGCAGCCTTTGAGCTGTCCCTGCAGGGCTTGAGAGGTGGGGAGGAGGGAGAAGGACAGGCTAGAAGCCCAGTACAAGGAAGTGAGGTCAGGCCTGAGTGCAGACACTGGGCAGCCAAGGTCCAGAGATGCTGAGGTCTGCTCTGGCCACAAATGAGCCCAGACTGCAGCTTCTGACCCTCCCCATGACTCTGTCCCCACACACGGGGGCCTCTCATGGGCCTCAGCCTATGGCCTACAAAGTACAAGCTCCTTACCCTGCCCCTTGCCCAGCCTGGCACCTCCCATGTTCTAGGAGGATGAGGAAGTCCTAGGAACCATTTCTCTATTTCCCTTCCTCTCTGAACCGTGAATCTCTTCTTCTTACTTCCAAAAGGCCAGGGCAGAAGTCACAATGGCTGCTTGGACCGTGGAAGCCTGAAGCCTGGTCCCTAAAGTGAATATGGTCTTGGCAACATCAGAACTGCCAAGAGCCAAGGTTTCCTTATTGGCTAAATTAAATCACAATCCTCCCCTGGCTAACCTAGAACTCTGGGAATCAAATATACCAATAAAATGTCTGTAAAAGCACTGTTTGAATTTGCATTTGCACCACTACTCTTAGCAGAGGAAGCGGCAGCCTGAGGCTGGTGTGAGCACTGGGCTGGGAGTCAGCGGTTCTAAGCGTGAGCCCCAGCTCTGCAACCTACCAGCCTATTTGGGACTCTCCATTTCTCATCTGAAAATGCGTAGGCCGGAAATAGCTGCTGCCCTGCCTGCTGTCATCATCTCAGTCACTGAACAAGTGTATGGGGATCATCAGTCTGTATCAGGTACCCTTGTAGACATGGGACTGGCATTGTGTGTTCAGACACGGGCCCTGACTGCACGTCTCACATCCCAGTGGTGAGGAGACAGACAGCAAACAGGTAGGTAATTAAATAAATACGATCATTTAATCTTCTTTATGTGTGTGGTGATGCTGGCATAAACAGACATACTGCTCTGCCAGTCCTATAAAAGTCTAGCACACACAATTATATTCTGTACATAATAAGTGATAATGATAATAAAAGGTTTACTGATTTACATATTTACTATACTATACTTGTTATGGTTGTAGAGTGTGGGCTCCTTCTACTTATAAAAATAAGTTAACTGTAAAATGGTCTCAGGCATGTCCTTCAGGAGGAATTCCAGAAGAAGGCATCGCTATCACAGGAGATGACAGCTCCATGTTATTGCCCCTGAAGAC
The DNA here is from genome assembly GCF_000001405.40 of Homo sapiens. Lineage (NCBI taxonomy): Eukaryota > Metazoa > Chordata > Mammalia > Primates > Hominidae > Homo > Homo sapiens. The sequence goes on from NC_000018.10 coordinate 14,943,004, forward strand.
CTTCCAGTGGGACAGGATGTGGAGGTGTAAGACAGTGATAGTGACAGTCCTGACCCTCTGCAGGCCTTGGCTAATGTGTGTGTCTGTGTCTTAGATTTTTTTTTTCCGGAGACAGAGTCTTGCTCTGTCGCCCAGGCTGGAGTGCAATGGTACGATCTTGGCTCACTGCAACCTCCGCCTCCTGGGTTCAAGAAATTCTCCTGCCTCAGCCTCCTGAGTAGCTGGAATTACAGGTGCCTGCCACCACACCCAGCTAATTTTTGTATTTTTAGTGGGCGAGGTTTCACCATGTTGGCCAGACTAGTCTCAAACTCCTGGCCTCAAGTGATCTGCCCTCCTTGGCCTCCCAAAGTGCTGGGGTTACAGCATGAGCCACTGTGCCCAGCCTGTGTCTTAGTTTTCAACTGCAAAGTTTAAAATGTTAAAAAAAGAATTTGAAAACAGAAAAAATCTTACAGAATAAGGATACAAAGAGAAAATATTTTTTACAGCTGGACAATGTGTTTGTATTCTAAGCTGAGTCATTACAAAAGAGTCAAAAAGTTAAAAGCATAGAAATTTATAAAGTAAAAAGTTACAGGAAGCTTATTTTCTTTCTGAAGTTCAGTCTGGGTGCACAGTAGGCTCCACCATCTGGCCTGGGTGCGCAGTGGGCTCCGCCATCCGGCCTGGGTGCACAGTGGGTTCTGCCATCCGGCCTCGGTGCGCAGTGGGCTGTGCCATCCAGGTGTGTGTAAGTGTGCTCTGTGGTGTTCACACAATGGCAAAATCACCTAATGACACATTTCTCATAACAGAGCCCTGTTGTTAAGGGATGCGTGGCTATAAGAATGTCGCGTTCAGGGAGAAATTGGGGCTGAGGACACAGATGTGGCAGGAATTGTGAATTTGGTCGTTAAAGTTGTGGCACCTAAGGGACACACCCAGATAGCAGGAGCGAGGAAAAGTCAAGATCCAGCTCTAGACGAGCCCACAGGAAGAGGACTGGCTGAGAAGGGAGAGCTGACACAAGACAAGGAGAGGGAGGGAGGTGGCGCAGGTGAAAGGAGCCGGGGTGGAGTGATGCATGGTACCCCCTGCTGTTAGGGTGCAATGAAATACAAAATATAATCCTTTCAATAAGTTTTAAAGCACTGTTTAACTGTTAGTCACAGTGGGCCCCTGGGTGTGGGCGGAGGGAACAGCTGACCACAGCAATGACGAAGAGATGACAAGAAGCTACCTGGGCCACTGGTTCCTTGGCTCCCTGGTCCTGGAGGAGGCTGGGCTAGACTTGGGAGGAGGGGAGGAGGTGTCTCCTGCAGCCACCAGGACCATGGCCGCCCTCCCTCACTTGCCGTGGGCCTCCCTCCCTCTGCTCTTCCCTCGCTCGCCACCTGGGGGTACTGGGTCACTTACTTCCACACTCATTCTTCAATGTCCACGAGCAAACCTGGAAATGAGGGTGGCTATACTCAGGACAGGATCAGGGTCCATGATGTTGGGTGTTTACAGCGCCTCCCAAAAACGTCGTGATACAGGACCAGGAACCTCCAGCGAGGGCCCTTCCCAGTCACACGGCAGCAGTGCATGTGCACGTGGGGCCCAGGATGCTTCAGATCTGAAGGAACACCTGGGAAGGGCCCCATCAGCGGCAGGGGGCCGGGGGGGGGGTTCGTCCAGGATTTCGTGCATGTGTCACTGCAGTTATGTCATTAAAGATTTGTTTTGCTTGGGCATTTTCATGGAGTGTATTGTTTTTATCTGAGTTACAAACACATTCGGGTAGATACACACATGCCCAGCCTGTGATATTTTTGACAAGAAGTAAGACCTATTAAAAAGCATATTTTTACTGATTCAATCCCTTAGGCCAAGAGCAGAGACATGGAGTTATGCAGAGGTGGGGGTGACAGGGCAGGAGGGTGTTTCAGGGGAAGCGTGAAGCAGTCTCCTCCCTTTTTTCTGGGCCACCTCCTGGGTGAGCTGGAGTAGCTGGCCAGGCTCGGATTGCTCCTCCAGGCAGCGGAAGGGGCCCCTGCCCAAAAGGTGGGAGATGCCAGATGGCCTGGGGCACAGCAGGCTTGGCTAAGTCGGCCCCCAGAGCACAGAAAGGCTCTCTGAGAGCTCGGATCCCACCTGCTTTTTCAGAGTGAGTATTTCCTTTCTAGAGGCCAGGAACGGAGATGCATCAGCCTCAGCTGAGTAAGCAGGGTTCGAATAGGACACCACTGGGGCCATTGGGCTTCTTCCATGGCACTGACTTCTTAGGCAGCTCCCCACCTTCTCAGGAGAAACCATCTCCCCTCAATGTCAGGGTAAGCAGTGCCCGTCTTTTCAGGGGGAGGCAAGTATTCTTCATGTACAGAGGAATAGATTTGAGCATGCTGGGAAAACCAGGGTCACACAGCACGGAAATCCCTCTGTCGAAGGAGGAGAACAGGAGGCCCAGGTGGGACTGAGGGGCCACTCACACCCAGGAACCACCTCCAGCTCCCAGCCTGGGGTGCCTGATGGTGCCACCTTTGGTTAGAGGCTGCTGTGGTCACGAATGTCCCTTCTCCAAGGGTTTTGGGTCTGAGGACCCAGTGAGCCTCTCCCCTCTGCAGTGTACTCACAGGAAGCTGAATTCCCTGGGGTTCTGGGGTCAGGAACACCCACCTAGAGCCACAGAAGACCCAGGTTGAGCCACTCCTGAACATCCCTGGTTTTGTTTTTACCAAAACCCAGGAAGAGGCTTCGATTTCAAGCATGAAGTTAGGGACAGGAAGAAAACTAATATCCTTGGCTACCTACTCCACAGCAGCCTTCTGAAACTTCTTTAACCCTCTACCAATGGCAGCACCCATTTTGCAGAGGTGGAAACTAAGATTTAGACCAGGGCTGTCCAATAGCACTCGCTGTGGAGCTGGGTCAACACAGCGGCCACCAGCCACAGGGCACTATTGAGCAGTGTGGCAAGTGCACCAGCGAAGTGGGATTTTAAATTGTATTTCCTTTTATTTGAATTAAGGGTAAATGCAAATAGCTTCCTGTGGCTAGTGACTGCTACATTGGACAGTGCAGATCTAGGGAATAAATGACTGTCCAGGATCACACAGCTACTAAGGAGCCGGACTGGAGTCAAGCCCTACCTCTTTAACTTTCCTGAGGCTCCGCTCCTTGCCCCACCATGTGACTGCCATGTGAGCAGTGACCACAGAAAGTGAGGGAGCAAGTGATCAGGGAGGGCCCTTCCCATTGGAGCTGTTTCCTCCTGAGTCAGCCCGAGGATTCGGGCTCGCACTTCAGGCCACTCCTGCACCCCGGGACTTTCACTCTGAGAAATCCTTTACCGTGGAAGCAGGTAACATTTTTGTGAGACACTTTTGTGATGTTTGTGATTGAAGTCTGTGTGAAGTTCTAGCCTGGGTGGAGGGAGGGTGCCCAGGGCCAGGGATGGGAGAGAGGCTGTAAAAGATGAAGCAATCATTGAAAATCTGAGACTTCATCAGAAACTTTCCATTCAGCTCAGATCTTTGCTGAGACTGACCTTCCAACTGGATTTAACTCCTGCATTTTTGCCACCAGGTTTCCAGCTGCAGAGATCTGATACCCACTCAGTATTTATCACTCTTTGGTTGTACAAGATAGAAGCTTTGCAATTCACAATGAGCCTCGGATTTCACCTGATACCATCTCCAAATCTTTGCTAGAGGGTTTCTTGTGGCCCTGAGGCCCTTGTCCTGCTCACATTTTCAGGGGGCACTGAGTGTTCTCACAATGCAGAGACGGCCTGACCTAGAAAAATGGTATCAGCCCTGGGTCAAATCCTGCCCCTCTGGGCCACATTTCCCTCATGTGCGATCACAGTGGTAATAAAACACCAACAGCCATCACTTCCAGGGGTTTGCTCTACACCAAACAGACACTATGTGCCTATTTATTATTTTATTACATTATTACCTTATTTCCTTGTCAACACATCAGTGCTAATCCCACAGGAAAGCACAGTGACTAGCCCAGATCACCAGCTGGTAAGCCGAGGGCCTGGAGTCAAACTTCAATCTGCTCTGCTCCCCTGAATATTCTCGGATTTACTGTGTTCCACAGCTTCAGGGATGATGAGAGTGTTACCTACACCAAGAGGTGTCAACAAGTGAGGGTGAACATATCAGCTGGACCAAACACTGAGCGTGTAGTTATATGTCCAAAAGAGAGGGAGATTCGGAGCTATGGACTGTTCTTTCTTCCTGAACCATCCTTTTCTGGATTTCACCTACTTCAGCCAAGCTGGTGGCCCTGGGGGTGGCTGGTGGTGAGCTCGACCTGCCACTTGTCTCTTGGGTAGGTCCCCTGTCCACATAGGTCACATGGACTCCCACCATCCCCACATTAAAATCTGCCCAGCTTACTGACATTTTAACTGCTTCAGCTTTCACTGACATCATTTTCTTCTTCTTTACATTTTCTAAATTACTGCATTACCAAGACACAGAGGCTTAAAATCAGAGAGTTTTAAAGTAAAATGTAGAAGACAAAACCAAAGCAAATCAAGCAAAAGACAAACTGTGATCCAGTGGAACTGCCAAGTGGAGATGGCCAGCGGGAGGATTCCCTGGCACTTGGCAGGGCAGCTGACATTTGTCCAAGGCTTAGCTTGAATTTCAAATTTCATCCTGGCCCTTGGTGTCCTGGCAGGTTTAGCAAGCCTGGCATTATTGTCAGAGCAGCTCATGATTTAGATGATGTCAGAGTGTTCAGGCTGGACCAGTGGAGACATTCACATCTGCAAATAGGACTGGAAGGGGCGGCAAGAGTCAGAGACAGACAGTCAAGCATCTTGGCTCTGCTACCACTTCGTGATGGGGAGGCCAAGTTATGCGATGCATTCCAGCTCAATCAATTTCTGGAGATGGGCCCTTTGTGGAATCTTCTTCATCAGAAAGTGACTAATACCTTCTATGATGAAGCCCTCCTCCAGCTTTGCCCGGCCAGGTAGGCTCCTTTCCCTTCTCCTGCAATGTGTGGTGCATCCCGCATGCTGCTGTACCACGGTTAGGGGCATTCAAGTGTGGGTTTGCATCATGAGATTATGAGCCCACCGAGGACAGGGGCCTTTGTGTTCCCAGCTCTTAGCATGTTTCAAACTTATATTTCTAGCTCTTAGCATGTTGCTGACTTATATGAGGTCCCTTTATAGATGTTGACCAACTTGAATTATACTGAATGGAAACAGACACAACTCAGGGAGGTGTAGGTAGTCCCTTCAGTTCCAGGGATGGGCACCAAACTCCTATCCTGGCTCCCAGCAGCTGGGAACCAGTGGGCTGGGTTCTACCGTGGTCTGGAACTGTGCAAGTGGCAGGTGTCATTTTGGAGGCCTTGAACTCTTGTGAGGGGAGATGCCCAAGAACCTCTTGCAGCCAATTTCGATCCTGTTTGGGGAGCCTCCCTCATTTCTTTCCCAAGTAGCTAAAGGGCAGCATTCTGGCACTTGTTTTTGCCTTCTTCACCCATCCTGATAGGGTTTCCTTCTCCCTTAACCATCAAGAAGAGGTACAAAGAGCCAGCGAGGGAGCACCTCAGGTACTTCTCAGGCAGGGAGCACAGTCTCATTGCTGCTGAGCAGGTTAAGAAATTGTCCAGGTTGTGCATCAATTGCTGGCTAAAGAATGACCTTCAGAAGGCCCTGGGATGCCCTACTTGATGCTCTTTTAGCCTCATCTGTTCTGATTTGGGCTTTGGAAATATATCTTCAGCTCGCACTGAGAAATTGTCAAAAAATACACCATTTGTCTGTCTATGTCCTCATGTAGTTGTAGCTGAGAACACATAATGTCTTCAGTAAAGGTGGTGCATGGAGAAATCTCTCTGATCGGCATTCTAGGAGCAGCTGTGCCCCTCCACAGCAAAACAAACAAATAATAACCTCATAGCCAATTTGGAGCTCACTAATAATAACTCTCAGGCCCCCAGACAGCAACACCACAGAGGCTGGAACCATGCAGTTTTGCATACGAACGTCTCTCCTGACCTCACTCTATCTTTCACCCATTTTTTTTCCTTTTTCTTTTGTTCCTTGACCCACTTATTTTACATTTGACTTCATCTTGCTTGGTTCTATATATCTTTTTGAGGTGCCTTAATGTTTTTCTTGAACTGCTTTGAGTACAGATCCATAAGTGCTTAAATAATAGATTATTGTACCCTGGCAGAGTTGTCATAAATCCTGCCTTCATCCTGGGCTTAATCTCTATGGCTGGGGAAAAGGGAAATCACATATACATGCAGACAGCTGGCTTGGTGGTTTTCTTACTTAGTCCTCACAGCAACCCCACAAAGTTATTTTCTCTCAGTTACAGATGAGAGAATTGGGGCTAAGAGAAGTTAAGTGGAGGTAGTGTGGTCTGCTCAAGAAACTTTTTCATTATACAAAGCATGGCTTTGCCACATATCAGTTTGGGGAATTTACATGAGAGTTAACCTCCCTAAGTCTCAGTTTCCTTACACATAAAATACAGATGAAAATACTTTAGAGAGCTATTATAAGCAATATGCTTCGTGAATATATAAAAGTTATATTGGTGCTTGAAACATGAGAATCAACAAGTGCCAGGTCCAACCCTCCTCAGTTACATACAACCTGTCATCCTCAGTGATGTGGTCCAGGCTGAACCACCTAGCCTGACCCTGTGCTCTGTCCTATACCACTCGGCCTTTCCACAATGCCAGCAGCCACTCAGCAGGCACGTAAACATCCACATGCATGCTGCATTGAGGAATCTGTATGCTTTGGGCATAGGTGACTTGCTGAGCAGCAGGAGATAGAAAAGTATTGCTGGGCCCAAATTTGAACAGAGGAATGCACAATTTAAGATTTCCAATGTTAGTGCCTAGATTATATACCAGAAGAGCTCTGCTATGTGAAAAGCAAGAAATATATTGCATCTTCTGGGTCAGTTTCTCAACCCCAGATGGAAGTGACCTTACTGAAGCCACACGGCCAGAGTGGGCCCAGGTGTTTCCGTGCTCCATGTGGTTGGCAAGTCTGTGGCTGACAAGGCAGCTTTCTCAATGGAGATGGACCCACAGGGGCAGTTGGGACCTGTCTTCTAGGCAGTCCACAGACAAGGGCATCAGTCTAGAGACAAAGGCATAAGAAAAGATCTTGCCAATCCCTCAGGGAGTAGTCTTTCAGAAGGTCAGTGTGACGAAGGCCAGGAAACAGAGGCTTCTCTGCAAAGCTTAGGAACGTGATTTCAGGGTAAATTTCCTCGCATGATTGCATTTTATTGCAGAGTCATTAGGATAATATTGCTATTCTTTCCACACCAGTGGCATCTCTGCCTGATTTTCATGTTCTGCTAGTTCTTTGTTTTTGTGCTGAGAGCAGGTTATTTTTGTAAGGCAGAGGTTAAGAGGGATGGACACAGAGCCATTTGCCAAGGTCAGGCTGAAACCATCAGCTTCTTCCTCCCCATCCATCAGGGCCGTCTCCAGGCAGGAGTCTCCTGGAGAGGCAGAGATGTAAGCCCCATCTCTCAGACACCTTGGGACTGAGATTCACACACTAGCTCTGTGTGATGAAGTGGAGGCTCTTGTACCCTACGTGCCTCTAAGTTTAAAATTGTGGACAGGTGCAGAATGCTTGTGAGTACATGATTTATGTGGAGTAACCATCTCGATCAGTCCTCGAGCTTTATAGAGGCCCTCAGCTGAGGAGCCATGTGTTTTCACAGAGGTTTAACAGAGAGAGAATGGCTTCATCTATGAAAAAAAAAAAAGGCATTGCTCTGGTGTCAGGGGTTAGAACTTGGTTCGGATACCGTTCCTGTCACTTACCCATCGAATCACCTTGGAGGAGTGACTTTAAGATTCCTGATCCTTCGTTTTCTCGCCTATAAGGAGAGGTGATGATTCTGCCCTGTCTGCTGATAGCGCTGTTGTAAAGATGAAATGAGCTATTGCAGATGAAAACAGTTTTCACGATCTAAAGCAGAGTACAGACATCAGCTGTAAAGCACAGTCACTAAGAGCGAAGATTTTGGAGTTTACCTGTTTGAGTTTGAAGCCCAGATCTTCCACTGATAGCTGTGTGATCCTGAGTGCTTTGATTAACATCCCCAACTATAAACTTTTGCTAAGCAGAATTCCTTCAAAAATTTGTTATAATATTTACATGCATTAATACATGCAAAGTACTTATGTTAGTATCTGGCACATAGTAAATAATATTTACTGTTTGTTGCTCTTGATGTTTTTGTTACTGGTTGTGTTATTATGACTTGTGGTTTGTTATGATTGTTTATGTCATTGTAGACTTGACTGGAGCAATTCACAGTGCCACTATCTCTGGTTACAACTCATGCTTCCAGAAGCCAATCTAAGTGCAGGATTCTATGTTGATCCTTCCTGTTGTATTAACAGAATCATAAGGCATTTGAACTGGGCAGACTCTACTTTCCAGCATACTCTATGTTAAGTTGCAGCCCTGCACCATTTACATACCCCCCTGCAATGTGGGAGGGTTTCAATTTCTCAGCATTTCTGCCAATGCTTATTGTTCATTTTTTTAAAAAAAATATCCATTGTGATGGGTATGAGTGGCATGTGACTATGGTCTTGACTTGCCTTCCCCTGGTGACTCATGGGGCAGAGCATCTTTTCATGGGCTTCTTGGCCATTGATAAAGTTCCGGGAGAGATGCCTATTTAAATTATTTGTTCACCTTAATTGAAATATTTTCCCTTTCATGATTGAGCTGTAAGACGTCTTTATTCTTTATACTAGACTCTGGTCAGATTATAGTTTGCAAATATTTTTCCCATTCTGTGGGTCAGTTTTTTACTTTCTTCATAATATCTCAGTCTCACTTGCTGAAAAGATGATTATTCGTTATTGAATGGGCTTCGCATTCTTGTTAAAATCAGCTGAACATATGTGTGTGGATATTTTTCTGGAGTGTCAGTTCTGTTCCTTTGCTTTATGAGTCTATCTGTATGCCAGCACCACACTGTCTTGATGACTGTAGCGTGGCCCTGTGTTTTGAAATGTGTACGCCAACTCTGTTTTTGATTTTTTTCCTCTTTAAGATTGTTCTGGCTTTTTGGGTTACCTTGAATGTCCATATGAATTTGCAAATCACCTTGTTCATTTAAAAAAGCAGTGAAATTTTTATTAGGATGGCATATTTGAAGATTGATTTTGTACATATCACCATCTTAACCATATTAAGTCCTCTAATTCATAAAGATGGGATGTGTTTCCATTTAATTAGGTCTTCTTAAATTTCCTTCAACAATGTTTCATAGTTTTCAATGTAAAGTCTTGCACTACTTTGGTTAAATTTATTTCTAAGTATTTTTTAATGCTATTGTAAATTAAAAATTTCATTTTCAGAAATTTTATTGCTACTTTATAAAAATATAACTGATTTTTATTTTTGTATATTTATTTCATACCCTGTATCTTTGTTGAATTTATTGTCTATAATACTTTGTGCATATGTGTGTATTATTTGGTGTTTCTTTAATGCCATCTACAGATAGAAAGAGTTTTATTTCTTCCTTCCCAATCCTTATATGTTTTATGGCATTTTATTGCCTAATTACGCTGGCTAGAATTTATAGTATAATGTTAAACAGAAGTAGTGAGAACAGAAATCCTTGCCTCCTTCCTGATTTCAAGGGGAAAGCATTCAGTCTTTCATCAGTAAGTAGGAGGCTGGCTGTGGGTGTTTTGCAGATGCTCTTTAACAGGTTAAGGAAGATCCCTTTTATTCTTAGTTTGCTGTGTGTTGGTATTATGAAGGCGTGTTGGATTTTGTCAAATACTTTTTCTAACTATATTGAGGTAATCATCTCCTCCTTTTTATTCTTTTATTATAGCATATTACATAGATTGATTTCCCTATGTTGAACTAGCTTTGCACTCTTGGGATAAATTCAACTATGTCATGATGTGTAATCCTTCTTATATGGTGCTAGATTCATTTGCTAGTTTTGTTGAAGATTTTTACATCTGTATTTATATAAGGAATATTGTTCTGTAGTTTTTCTTGTGAGTCTTGTCTGAGTTTGTTATTTGGTCTTATAAAATAAGTTAGAAAGTGCTTCCTTCTATTTTTTGGAAGGGTTTGTGAAGGATTAGGGTTAATTATTTAAATGCTTAAGAGAATCCACTAGTAAAGTCATCTGCTGTGGGCTTTTCACGTGGGAAGGATTTTTTGTAAATTATTATTAACTTCTGTAGCTCTTATAGATGTATTTACATTTTCTATTTCTTATTGAGTCAGTTTTGTTATTGTTGTTATTTGAGACAGGGTCTCACTTTGTTGCCCAGGCTAGAGTGCAGTGGTAAAATCTTGGCTCACTGCATTCTCAAATTCCTGGGCACAAGGGATCCTCCCACCTTAGCCTCCCAAGTAGCTAGAACTACAGGCATGAGCCACCATGCCTGGCTAGTTAAAAAAAATTTTTTTTTGGTAGAGATGGGGTCTCACTATGTTGCCCAAGCTGGTCTCAAACTACTGGGCTTAAGTGATCCTCCCACCTCAGCCTCCCAAAGTGCTGGAATTACAGGCTTGAGCCACCACAGCTGGCTTTGAGTCAGTTTTTGGTAGGTAGCTCATGTCCTAAAAATTTGTTTGCTTCATCTGAATTATTTGATTTGTGGCAAATTGTTTATAGTATTATTTTATAATCTCTTTTATTTTGTTCCAGTTGGAAGTAACATCCCCTTTTTATCTGATTTCAGTAATTTAATGTTTAACTCTTTTTTTCTTGATTATTTTACTTAGAAGTTAGTCAATTTTGGTGATATTTTCAAAGAAACTTTTTTCTCTTTTTTCGTCATTTTTTATTTTGTTTATCCATAGTCTAATCTTAATTATTTCCTTCCTTTTGCTTGGTTTAGATGCCATTTTCTCTTCTTTTCTTACTTGTTTAGACAAAAAGATGAGTTTATTGATTTACAATCTCTAATGTTTTTAATATAGGCCTTTGCAGCTCTAAATGTCCCTCTGAGTGCTGCTTTCATTGCATCCTATAATGTCTGGTGTGTTACGTTTTTGTTTTCATTCTGCTGAAGCTATTTTATAATTTCCCTGTGATTTCTTCTTTGGCACATTGGCAATTTAAAAATGTCTTAATTTCCATATATTTGAAAATTTACCAGATTTCCTTTTGTTATTGATTTTAGTTTTATTGCAGTGGCTTGAGAACATAGTGTTATATGATTTCAATCCCTGTAAATTTATTGGGGCTTGTTGTATAGCCTAAAACATGGTCTGTCATGGAGAATTTTCCATATACACTTGGGAAGAATGTATATATTTTTTCCATTGTTATGTAGAGTGCTCTGAAGCTGGTTTATAACACTGTCCAAGTCTTCTATTTTCTTTGCAATATGCTATCTAGTTTTTGATCCATTATTGAAAGTGAGATATAATAGTCTAATATAATAGTATAATAATCTCCAACTATTTTCCTAAATTGCATATACCTTCCTTCAATTCTGTCAGTTATTATTTCATTTATTTGCATAAAATTTACAGATATATTTTTACCTTTTTGATAAATGTACTCTTTTATAGCTATAAAGTGTTGTTATTTAATGAAAATTTTTCTCTATTTTGTTTGATACTAGTATAGTCACTCCTGCTCTCTTTTGGTAACTTTTGCATGGTATATATTTTCCATCATTTTACCTGCAACCTATTTTGTCATCGAATCTAAAAGGAATGTCTTGTAGATAGCATATAGTTGGATCATTAAAAAAATTATTCTGCTAATATCTGCTTTTACTTGCAGAGTTTAATCCATTTTCATTTAATGTAATTGTTTATGGGTAGGATTTACATCTTCAGTTTTGCTATTTGTTTTCGTATGTCTTATGCCATTTTTATTCCTCAATTTCTCTATTATTGCTTATTTTTATTGCATGTTAAATTTTTCTAGTTTACTATATTAATTTTCTTACCATTTCTTTTACTGTATATTTTTGAGTGATATTCTTAGTGGCTCCCCTAGGAATTACTAATAACATCTTAATTTATAACAATATTCAAATTAAAACAAACAATTTCAATCATAAGAAAAACTTTGCTGTTAAATAACTCCACAATCCTTTTATGTTGTCATTGTCACAGATTACATCCTTATACATTGTGTGTATATTCCCTTGTGCAGTTTTTTTATTAGATAGAGGAAAAAGTGGCATAAAAATAAATTAATATTGTCTTTATATTTACCTATATTGTTACCTTTACCATTGCTGTTTATTTATTCATGTTAGTTTGAGTTACTGTCTAATGTCCCTTTATTTCAACCTGAAACTCCCCCTGTAATATTTCTTACAGGGCAGGTCCTCTAGTGACAAAGTCCCTCAGTTTTTATTTATCTGTGAATATGTTAATTTTCTTTTCATTTTTGAGGGATAGTTCTGCTGAATATAGTATTCTTAGTTAACAGGCTTTTGTTAATTTGATATATTTCGGCACTGCCTTATGGCCTTCATAATTTCTAATGAGCAATTATCTCTTATAGTTATCGCAAACTTCTCGTACATAAAGAGTCACTTCTTTCTTGCTGCTTCCAAGCTTTATTTTTTTAATCAACAGTTTGATTATGATGTGCCTTATAGTGGCTCTTTCTAAATTTCTTACTTGGAGTTAGTTAAGCTTCTTAGATGTATAAAGTAATATTTTTTCATCAAATTTAGAAATTTTTGACTATTATAACTTCAAATCATTTTTTCTTTTTTCTTTATGTTCCATGAACTAAATAATTTCAATTGATTTCTTATTAAGTTCACTGATGATTTTTCTTCCTGCTCAGATATGCTGTTGAATACCTCTAGTAAATTTTTCAAGTCAGTTATTGTACTATACAATTCCAGGGTTTCTATTTGGTTCTTTTTCTATAATTTAAATGCATTTATTGATATTGTGTTTGGTGAGATATAATTATCATTTCCTTTAATTCTTTAGACATGATTTCCTTTAATTCTTTGAATATACTTAAAATCAGTGATATAAGGTTTTAGACTAGTAAGTTCAATGTCTGGACTTCCTCTGGATCACTTTCTATTTATTCCATTTTCCCTGCCATACTTTTTTGTTTCTTTGCCTGTCTCCTGGTTTGGTTTTTTTGTTGAAAACTAGACATTTTACGTTATATAGCATGGCAACTCTGCAATTCAGTTTCTTCTCCCTCATAAGAGTTTGTGGCTATTGCTGCTTGTTGTAATTATTGTTTATTTAGTATCTTTTTCTGAACAAATTCTGTGCAGTCTATATTATTTATTGTGTTCAGCCACTAAAACCTCTATTCAATTTAGTTGTCAGGTAATGATTGTACAGACATTTCTTTTCTTTCTTTCTTTCTTTTTTTTTTTTTTTTTTTTTGATACAGAGCCTTGCTCTGTCACCCAGGCTGGAGTAAAATGGTACAATCTCAGCTCACAGCAACCTCTGCCTCCTTAGTTCAAGTGATTCTCCTGCCTCAGCCTCCTGAGTGGCTGGTATTACAGGTGCACGCCTCCACACCCAGCTAATTTTTGTATTTTTAGTAGAGACCGGGTTTCACCATGTTGGTCAGGCTGGTCTTGAACTCATGACCTCATGATCCACTCATCTCAGCCTCCCGAAGTGCTGGGATTACAGGCATGAGCCGCCACACCTGGCCAGGTATTTCTTTAAACACCTAAGACCAATAAATATTCCAGTCTTTGCTGAGGGAATTCTGCATGTGTGTTAAGGCATGTCTTCAATGGTTTAAAAATCTATCTTAGCCTTCACTTTCTGCTTGAACAGAGCCTGAAACTCAGCCAAAAGTGAGAGCTTAGGGCTTTCACAGATACTTTCCTGAGCATGTGCATAGCTCTACATATATTTATAGATGTCTATATTTCCATGAATATGTCTGATATTTTTAAAATCTCTGTGAACATCTTGCTTTTCAGCAGGCTCTTTTAAGCTTTCTGGTTAATATATGTTATTTGATCCAACTGTTATCCACCATATCTGGCAAACACAACATTTACAACACTTGCCTATAATTTTTTTTTTCAAATTCCCTCTCAACCACTCTTTTTGTAGATGTTTTTAACAGCGCATAAGATCTAAGTAAGGTTACATAAAGAAAATCCTTTCCAGCCCAGTTTTCTAGGGAACCACCAGACAGTTCAAATAATTGCAATTCTTTGGGAATTAGGATCTAACTCCATTCTGCTCCTTTCTGTGATAGAAATGCTGTTATTTTTCAAGACTATGACTTCACTGTGGAAGGGTGGGTGCACCTATGGCAAGTTAAAACACAAATATTGAGTTCTTGTGGAGATCTAGCCTTTTTTTAATACATGCTTCTAACATTCTTTAAGCCTTTGGTTAATTGCCTATGTTTTGAAAAAGTTGACACTGAATCTGACAATTCTTTTCAGATTTCTGTTGCTTTTATGGAGGGGGAGATTTTCAGAGGCTCTTACTTCATTATTTTTACTAATAAAATTTCACTCTGGTTATTTTAATGAAGAGAATGTAATTTAAAAACTCAATATGCCATATTTAATTGCTTTTAGCAGTTCTGTGATATATAGAGTTGTTCTACATGGGAAGATACTGAGACAAGATACCAGAAAAAATATTAAAACAAAAGTATTGTTATATAAAAGTTGCTTAAAATGCTAAAAGATCATTGATAAGAGGAAAAATGATGTTTGTGCTTAAGATCAGTGAAGTCCAACATGTTCAGTGATGTAGAGATAGATAGACTAAAATTTCCCATGGCCCCATTCACTGGAGGGTTTATTTACTCAAGCTGAGAAGTCGGTAAGACAGGAAGAACGAGGTGATCTTGGAAAGGAGACACCAAGAGGACCAGATTTATTCTCTCAGGAGGACAATGGTCTCTCCTCTTTCATCACTAATCAATGTTCCAGTGGCACCCCAAATGATAGCCTCATTGAGTCCCTCATGATTTCACCATCCCCACTCCTTGGGATGCAGGCATGTGTCACTTTCCCTCCCAGGCCTACAGTGCTGTGCCAGCTTGGTTTCACTTCTCAGACCAACACTTTCCTTAGGGGATGACAAGAGCTGAGGCTCTATATCCACAGGGACTCAATAAATGAAGAATGGAGTCAGTCCAAGAGGCAGAATGACCACTGTGATTCGGGAGATGGAGTCAGCCTTAAACTTAATATGTAGATTCATTGAACAGCTATTGGAGGACTGGCAAAGGAAAAGGGAACACTGAAATAGCAAAAAAAAAAAAAAAAAAAAAAAAAAAAACTCAAGTATTTTTTTCTCTATTAGGAATATGACTACTTCTTGAGATCCTCATAAACATTCAATGAGATAGCATGTAAAGTATTCAGCAATGAGATATCTCAAAAAGATTTACCAATGAAAGATTGTTTACTCTCTTCTTACCACCCATCATGAATAAATTGCTATAAATGTATTACCAATTGTAAATATGCATTCTAAATTTGAAGCTGCTATAATGACTACTGATCCTTTTATCTTTTCCAATGTCATGTGTATACTTTCTTTAGTCATATGATTAGACATTTTTGCATATTTAATTTTATTTTCCTATACCCCAACCCCCTCCTTATCCATGAAAAATATCTTCCTAGACTCCAGTGAATAGCTGAAATTGTGGATAGTACCAAACCCTATATATATATTTTGTTTTTTCTTATATATTCATACCTATGATAAATTTTAATTTATAAATTAAGTACAGAAAGAGATAAACCATAACAACTAATAATAAAATAGAACAATTATGATAATATTTTATAATAAAACTTACATAAACATGGTCTTTCTTTACAAATATATTATTGTACTTAACTCACCTTTCTTCTTGGGCGCTGTCAATCTGATAACCTAGACTGCTGCTATGAAGAGTAAATATGCTGGACAAGGAATGATTCATGTTCCACGTGGGACAGAGCAGGACAGCATGAGATTTTATCATGCTACCAGAAAGGCATGCAGTTTAGAACTTGTAAATTGTTTATCTCTAGAATTTTCTATTTAATATTTTTGAATCTCGTTGACCAGAGGTAATTGAAATCACAGAAGGAAAACCTCAAGTACAGGGAAGTACTGCATTAGGTTTGGCTTAAATCAAACTCCATTTACTGATGAGTTGGGCAGTTGGGAGAGGGAGTGGGTGTCCATCTAGGAATGCGTTCTCTCAGATCAGGACCATGAATGGAACTGTGCGACGTTTGGTTCATGTTTATTACTGCTTAGAAATGTCTTCAAAGCTCAATCATAGGAATAATGTCAACCCTAACTGCAGCAGTAATTAATACTTCTCTTTTTGTTGGTATTAACTTTATTACTTATTTTATAGTATTGGCCTTATCGTAAATGTTTTTGTTATAAGACAGATCTCATCCTTTTTTGGGGTTTGGGAGGTGGGAACAGTAGAACATGAAGATACATAATAAGTCCCATACAATAGTTAATAATAAGTCACCAACAGGATTATTCCTAACTCCAGCCCTCCAAATGCTGGGGCATGGATGTATGTGTGCAGGAATGGCATCAGACTAGACACAGACTGGCACAGAGCCTGCCAAGGTGAAGACAATGCACCTTATAAAACAGTTACAGTAACATCTATTGCATACATGAAAACAATTTGCAGCAGATTAAATACCCTTAAGAAAGGAGGCTACCAGACGAACCACCTCAACACCAAAGCAGGGTTTGGTCGGCATCTGACAGCGCTGTGGACAGTGGCCAGATGTGGCCCAGCGGCTCTCCTTGGATCTGACAGCACTGTGGACAGTGGCCAGATGTGGCCCCAGCAATCTGACAGCGCTGCGGACAGTGGCCAGATGTGGCCCAGCGGCTCTCCTCGGGCTGTTTCTTCCAGGAGCATGAGCTTCTTCTCTATTTCGGTGAGATTCTCTGCCTGAGTTGGCGTTCTGAGGAGCATTCAGAAATTGTTTGTTCTGAATTTCTAAAACACGAACTATTAGAAAAGGACAAAAAAAATCTACAGACTGTGGGAAAAGTTAGTGTCAAACAAATACAAAAAGGAAAAGTTGAGAACAGCAAATGGTGGCTGTGTTATGTGGAAGTGACAGAGTTGAAAAATGATGCATTGATAAAGGGACAAAAAAAATCCGGAGGAGGAGGAGAAGCAGGAGGAGAAGGAGAAGGAGGAGAAGGAAGCTAAAATAACCATTCTTGGTTTGATCTGGATTTATGTTTCTTCTTCATTAGGTTTGTTTATTGCAGCATTTCTGCCATGGTGAACTAAGTGCTCTCCATTTTTCCCTATCAGTTTCTTCTTATCCAGAGACCCTGGAGTCTTTGCCCAGGGGCCACTGCCTGGTGATGAAAGTCATATTGTTCAGCTTCCATAAACAACCTCCACTCTCATGATTAGCATTGGAAAATCAGCTGAATCTTAGCCTTTAGCTTCACAGTGTATGTCTATCTGTCTGTTTTATTTTTACAAAAGGCGGGGAAAAATTAAATACTTAAAAATAACAATTGAGTAATTTCAACAAAAGATTGTGATCAGATCAGGCTCTTGGGGAATGCAGAATCAGGACCTCTCCCTACTCTTCTCACCACTAATTGTTGCCATGCAAAGTATCGTATACTTTAATTGTCTGAGTATTTAAATCTACCCACTAAGCATATTTCTTTGTTTCTATAAAATGAAATGAGCAGATTTATGGACAGATGTATGAGTTTGTCTCAGGGTCTAGAAATCTTTTTTTCTTTCTCTCTTCCACCTAGGTCCAAGTCTATAATTTAAGTTTTAAACTTTCTAAATAAAAAGTTGATTTTAAATTTAGCATTAGCAGAAGGTCAGCAGCAATTGGTAGTGTTGGCTTGATGCTGGGGGAGAGGTAAAGGGTTGGTGTGACAAAAGTGGTGAAGGGATGGGTTGGGAGGCCATGTGGGTGAGAGGAAGGTAAGGAGGGAGGAAGCCTGTGCCTTCTGTTGGCAAGATCTGCTGTTCTTAAAACATCACTTTGAGTTATTGAATGTGTTAGTCCATTCAGGCTTCCATACTAGAATACCATAGACTGAGTGGCTTACAAACAACAGAAATGCATTTCTCACAGTTATGAAGACTGGAAGTCCAAAATCCAGGTGCTGAGAATTCAGTGTCTCGTGACAGCTTACTTCCTGGTTTATAAGCAGCCGTCTTGTCACTGTGTCCCCACATGGAGGGTGAAAGAGCTCTCTGGAGTCTCTTCTAGGAGGGCACTGATCCCATTCATGAAGGCCTCACCTTTATGATCTAATCACCTCTCAAAGGCCCCACCTCCTAATACCATCACCTTAGGTGTTAGGAGTTCAACATATACATCTTGAAGAGACATAAACCATCATTCTGCAGCATTCAGCTCCTGGCCTAGAATGCTTCTAACATGCAAAATGCACTAATTACATCCCAATAGCCCCAAAAGTCTCAACCCCTTCAGTGTCAACTCTAAATCTCAAATCGGAAGTCTTATATAAATATCCTCTAAATTAGATATGGCTAAGACTCAAGGTAAAAGTCATCTTGAAACAAATTTCTCTCTAGGCAGGAATCTGTGAAACTAAATGTTATGTGCCTCCAGAGTAGAGTAGTGCTGCAAGCATAGGACAGACATTTCTCCCAGAGAGAGAAATAGGAAACAAGAAAGGAGTAATGGATCTCAGGCAAGTCCAAACCACAAGGCAAACTCCCTGGAATGAAGAGCGTTGAACCCGATTTCCTTTGGCTCAATGATCTGCCTTCCAGGCCCACTGGGACACACTGCCCACTTGCTGGGCCTACTGGGTTCAGCAGCGTTTGTTCATTCCTTCCCAGGTTGGAATTTTCACATTGGAATCTTGGAAGGAAACAAACTTTCAATCTACATCACTGGATTATCTGTGAAGCTATGCATACTGTTTCTTAAATGTCTATTCACTCATAGACAACTTTGCATTTTATATCTGGCTGCCGCAATTTTATCATTTACTAATTTCTTTCTCCAGGAAAACCACAGTACATAGGGAGTTAATAGATTCTAGGCTCTAGTGCTGACTTGATCACAGGTTTCTGTCTTTTGCCCTCTGCATACCTAGGTTATGCTGTACAATTGGAGGCATTGTACTGATCTCTTCCTACCACACTGAATATCGCATGATATCCTGAAAGTGATCTAGATGAAGTTGTGCCAACAACATCATGACCTGCTGGATTCCACACTTCCCAGTGCAGCAGAGCCCTGACCTCACTCTCACATGCCTTATGTCCCTGGAATCACGTAACAGCCACCGCCAGGCAGTCATCGCAGAGGTAAACTTCCACGTATTGAAACCAGATTTCCACAGCTTTGTTCACTGGCTTGAAGCTGTAGCTGAAACATTTTATCTGCTTTTAAAGCAGAAAGAAAAGCATATAGGAGAAGAAATGTCAATCGTTTCTTATAATAGGGAAAGCAGAACATTTCCTGAAGCCTTTATAAAATCCTATTTACATTCCAGAACTGCATCAGATGTCCACGCTTAGGGGCCGAAGAAGTAGAATTCCAGGAGTCATAAGGAAATATTCAAGTTGGTAATTTTATGTAGATTTTAAAACAGCAATCTGCATCTCTCACCTCACTTCCACACGAGACTGGAATTCCACGTTCTGTCTCTGACACCCTCCAGCCACAGTTCCCACAGTTATACGAGGCCTCCTTGCCCCATCCCAGCCCTCGGCTGCCTCTGCGGGTGGAGATGGGGAGGAAGGTCTGTGACTGATGAGATGAGACTCAGTGAGACAAGAGACCTGTGCTTCCTCCTGGGTGGACCGGGGCTGAGTTCACAAGCTGGTCAGGGCTGAGCTCTAAGGCCACGTTCTGGCCACAGGCCACCTTCCGGGTGGAGGAGCAGCAGGGAGGGCCCTGCTGGAGCAGCTGGGCCCAGCCACACTCAGCTTTGCCCACCAGTCAAGCCCAGCCTCACAGAAGCAGGTTCAGTAAGCCCCCCATGCTTCCCCAGGGAAAGGGCTTTGTTTCATTTATGGAGGACGATGGTTCCTCACGGGAGTGGGCAGACTCTGGAAGCCTCTGAAGGGTGAAATTCTGCAGCCTGGGAAGGCTGAGAGGCAGGAGGGTTGAGGAAAGGGGGCATGGCTGACCCCTGACTTCCACAGGTTTCCTGCTGGTCAGGGTTAGGTGGAAGGGGGAGCTGGCTGGCTCTGAGGGGCATGGACCTGAGCTTCCTGCAGACAGGGGCCTTGGGGTAGGTGGTGTCCAGCAACTCACTTTGGTCTGGTCACCTGAAGAAACCACTTCAGGGCATAAATACTTCTCTGAAGCTGCTCAAGAGTATGGTCAGGCATCTGCTCTGCCGTCTGTGAGACGGCTTGCCCTGCCCTCTCTTTCGGGAAAGTGAGAGGTGGGCCCATGGATAGAGCAGGGAAAACAAAGCTGTGTCAGAGACTCCAGACTGTGTGTGCTCATGACACAACACCCGGGAAGGCTTAGCTGATGGAGGGGCGGCCTCTGGTGACAGCCAGCATGGCTCCAAGCTGACATCCTACCTTCCTAAGTTCTGGTTCCACTGCCAGCTGCCAGCTCCCACAGCCGGGCCAGTGGAGGGGCAAGATCAGTGGGCTCTGAGCACCCACTGCAAGGGGAGTCCTCTGCCAAAGACCCCTGGTTCTTAGCAGGTGCTTGGAGAGTGGGTGTTTGCAGGGATTTGGTTAGCTGTTGATAGGAATTCGGGGAAGGGGAGGAACAGGAGGCTCTGAAGCCACGTGGCCCCTGCTTATATCCTCCACAGCAGTGAGGAGAGAGTATAAGGAGCCTGACTCCATCTGCTGCACCTCCCGCTCTCTGCTCACCTAGAGGTCCCAGGGCCACTCTGCACAGCCAGGCGGGAGGAAGGACTCCAGCTGTATCATGTGCATTGGCAGAGGGACAGTGCTGCAGTGGGGATGGGGTGCTCACCCTCCCTGGAAACTCCTCTCTCCTCCCCCCAAATCACTTCATGCTTGGGGCCTTTGCTGCTCCTCCTCCTCTGCCCATGGGGCTTCTTAGTCTCCAGAGACCTAAGTTCACATAGGGCTGGGCAAGATTGAGATCAGGGGACACCTAACCTAGCCAACTTGTCTCAGAGTTTCCAAGAAGACCCCCATGCAGGGGCAAGGGTACGGAATGTAAACTGAGTCACCATGGGGGATGCAGGTCTGTGCTGCTGACATAAGCTGTGTATCTTCAGGGACGCGTTGACTCAGGGAGGGAGGCAGCTCTGGTGGACCTGCGATGCTGTGCAGCCAAGTCCTGTGGGAGATCACGTAGCTTTATTAAACATTTTGATAAATTCAGTCACACATGAGAGGAAACCCTCTGTGAATCGCAGCATTTCAGGAATCCACTTCATGAACCTAACCTGGGCATAACAGAGTGGCAGCCTCCTGGAATAGAACTGCAATCAAATAGAAAGCCATAGAAGCTCCCTTGGTGTAATGGTGATTGCCTCTTTTGAGGATCAGTGCATTTCCATTCCAATAATTCTGGGTGACACACTCCATGTGCCTCAGACCAGGGCACTGATGATGGGCCTCAGAGGATTGCAGTTTGGAGCAAGCCAGTCTGGGAGAAGGGGCTGGTGTCTGAGAACATGAGGATCTGCACACATGGTCACATTTGGAGTGACTGAGAAGCCTCTCTCATTAGGATTGCATGATGCAACTGCACAGAGACACAGTGACCTTGTTCCACTTAAAAATCCAAGTGAGCATCAAGGTTTGATGAAATCCTTTCATCAGAAAATAACTTGCTTTGGTCTGCTGAGACCTAGAGGGAAGAGAGGATTTAGAATTCTTGGAACTTTCTGTGTCTTTGTAGATTGTTAATGCATTTATTAAGCTATTTCTAAGTGTGTCTATTGCTGGTGAGTGTTTCAACCTTGAATATCACTAAAATTCATTTTCTCTGCTTCAAGCCAGTGTTCTGAGGGGGAAATGCATTCTGTGCCCTCCATGGCAAGCTTCTCTCTACCCCTCATTTTCTCTCTCCTCTTCTCCCTTCACCCTCTGCCCATCAATGACTTCTCTTTCTCCCTCATGCCCTGTCTCCCTCCCATCCTGCCCCTCTCTCCTCCTACCCTTGGTCTCTATTTACTTTCCCGCCCAAACCTTCTCCACCATCTTCTCTCTAAACAGATAGGAAAGAGGGTCCTGGTGCTGTGTTTCTTCTTCACTCTGTGCCTCTGTGCTGCAGGTGAGGGAGAAGAGTCCAGGACAGTGTTTGAAATGCCCGAAGGGTAAGAGGGGGTTAGAGAAGAATATCGAGAGAGTTGCTCTATCAAAACACCGGACTGTGCAGGTTGGCAGATGCCCATCTCTGCAGAACAGTAGCTGATTGTATCTGAAGGGGCAAGAGCAAGTGAGCTTTAGCTCACACCCATCACTGTCAGCAAACAGGGTCTCAGGCAGCGTAAAGGAGAAGCTTTATTCTTGTCATTTTTAAGCTGATATCAAGCGATTTATCTTCATGCCTGATAACAACACCTCTTGCAGCTACTTTGACCTTCAGCCATCTTCTGCCCTGGCCAAGTTTATGGTGAGGCCACTGATCTCTGGCACCTGGCACACAGGTGGCTCAGCTCTCTCATTGCACCCAATTATTTTCACCAGAAAACAAGGAAAACACCACGTGGATTCCCTCGGGATGAGATCAGGTGCACGCTGCCAGCTCAATGGGTCCACCACCCACCAGAGACTCCAGCCCAGTGTCGCAGCCGGCGGGGCGGCACCCACTGCTCTCCCACTCCAGACCTGATTTCACATTCACATGGAGCCACGGTCAGGTGGTCTTCGGTCCCATAAAGGCAAGTAGAGACACAGATGGGTCACATGGCTACAAGAAACGTCCAAACTGATGAGGATCAGGATCCTAGGGAGTTGCCAGTTCCACTGCTCTGGAGTTCAAAGTCTTCCTCTGCCCCGTAGCTTGCTGTGCAAGCTCCAGCAGAGACTGTTACCAAATCCAACAACCACAGCTTTACACACCATGGGATCTCCAGCAAGTAAGCACACATGCTGTCAACACTTCAAGCCAAAAAAGGGAGGACAGCACAGGAACACTGCCAGGCTCCCTGCAAACATAACAGGCCAGCCCCAAAGACCCCAGGAAGCGAAGTCTTCTTACTTTTTCATAATTCAGGGCCATAAAGATGCCTGATGTAAACCCTCTTACATACAGGTGAGGAAGTTGCGCTCAGAGAGGTACAGCAATTTGCCCAAATTCACATGGGGAATTAGGGCCTGTGATGGCATCAGAAACTCAGTCACCTAAACATTGGCCCATGGCTGCCTCTGCCGCACTCTGTGGGTGTCTCTATAGTGGAGATGGTATTGAGTTGTTCAGTCAGGTCTTACTGAGCATGTGTTGAATACCAGAAACTCCAGCATTTCAGTGATGAGCAAATCAGTCCCTTCCCTCATGGAGCATAGTGTGTAGGACACACACTGTAAGCAAGTGAACGCTCACTCACTCAGTGAACAATGGACACAATGTCCACTACCGAGGCCCCATGGAGACCAGCACAGGAGCAGTGCCTGGGTCCAAGGAGCCTCCTTCCATCAGGGGGGTCTATGGGAGGAATAGCCAGGCCAGGACTGGCAGGGAGAGCACCCCAGCAGGGGAGGGCCTGTGTGGAAACTACGGGGCAGAGGAAGACTTTGAGCAGCTAAAGGGGGTCAGTGTGGAGGGACTGGGCAGTGCAGGGTGTGGTATCAGGGGAACCTGGGGGGCCGGCAGGGGCCATGGCTCCCAGGAGCTTCTGGAACAGGTGAAGAAGTTTGAATTAAATACAAAATGCCACAGGATGCTACTGATGAATCATAAGTAGAAACAATGTTATTTAACATACGTTCTTAAAGATCACGTGTTTGTATGTGACTGTATGTGCATGAGTGTGTGAGTGTGTGTGGTGGTCATGCATGTGATTGTGTGCGTGTGTGAGTGTGTGGTCATGGGTATGGAAGTGAGTATGAGTGTATGCAGTGCTGTGTATGTGTGTGTGGCAGTGTGCATGTGAATGAGTGTGTGTGAGTGTATACGTGTATGTGCAAGTGGAATAGACTGGAGGGAAGCAGGAATGTGAGCAGGGTGTGTATCTGGCAGGCTGACACTGGCTGTGGTCATATCTAGATGAGAGGTGTCTGTGGCTTAGAGTCAGATGATGGCTGTAAACACAAAGAGGTACCCAGAGATTCAAGGTATACTTTGAAAGTGAAATGGTCAAGGCTGAGAGATGTGTTTAAACTGAGTGATAAGACAAAGGGTGGTGTGAATGGTAAGTCCTACATTTATGGACTCAAGCAACTGGTTGGGTAGTGGTGCCATTTACTAAGATAACCAAGACTTCAGTGAGAACAGGCTGGTGAGAGAAGGCGGCATTTGGGACACCTTCTCTGGGGGTGCCTGTGAGCTCTTCGAGAGGGTCTGCAGGGTGGGCCATTTGAAGAGGGTGGGTCTGGTCTGGAGGTGAGGCTCTGGGCACTGTTGGCAGGTGGATGATCCAGATGCCACAGCGGGAATGACATCACCCAGGGAAAGTCATGGTGTGGGATGTGGATTCAGGAATGACATCACCCAGGGAAAGGCATGGTGTGGGGTGTGGATTATGTGCTATCCTCCTAGAATGTCCTGAAGAGGCCAAGCTTTTCCTTAGAGAGCCTGGTGCCCCCTTTGACTTCCCAACATAATTGTGTGTTATTTAAACACTGCCTCCATCTCCACTGGTGGTGATGCTACCCTGCCTCAAACCTCTGAACTGTAGCAGGTCAGGTGGCAGGTCAAGGGAAGGACCTGCCATTTCATTGAGATAAAATTGACATATACAACTCTATGTATGTAAAGTGTGCAGCATGATGTTTTATATAGACACACATCGTGAAATGATTACCACAATCAAGAAAATTAACATATCCTTCACCTCACAAGTACCTGTGTGTTTGTGTGTGTGTGTGTGTGTGGTGAGAATACTTGAGATCAACTCTTTCCAAGTTCCAAGTGTCAAACACATTATTAACTAGAGTCCCCACGCTGTACACTAGGTCTCCAGAACTGACTCATCTTACACCTGCAAGTTTGTGTCCTCTGACCTTTGACCATCATCTTCCTGTTTCTCCTACCCCCAGCTGTTGGTGGCTTTCATTCTACTCTATTTCAATGATTCCAACTTTTCTAGATTCTACATATAAGTGTGTAGTATGTGATTTTCTGTGCTTGCTTTATTTCATTTAACATAATGTCTTCTAGGTTTATCTATCTCATTGCAAATGGCAAGATTTTCTTCTTGTTAAGGCTGAAAGATATTTTAGTACATGTGTCTGTGTGTGTGTGTGTGTGTGTATCACGTATTCTTAGTCCATTCATCTGCCAACCTATGGAATAAAAGACATCATTTTCAAACCATATATCTGAAAGGGGGTTAATATTTTAAATAAATAAGAAACTCATACAGCTCAGTAGTAAAATAATAAGAATAATAACCTGATTAAAAATGGGCAAAGGACCTGAATAGACATTGTTCCAAAGAAGACATACAAATGGGCAACAGGTATATGAAAAAGTCCTCAACTAATCATCAGGGAAATGCAAATTAAAACCGCAAACAATTATCACCTCACACCTGTTAGGATGGCAATTATGAAAAAGTCAAAAGGTAACCTGTGTTGGTGAGGATATGGAGAAGAGTGAACCCTTATTCACTGTGGGTGGGAATGTGAATTAGTAGAGCCCGGATGAAAACAGCCTGAAGCTTCCTCAGGAAAAGACAAACAGAGCTTTGATATGATCCAGCAGGTCCCACTTCTGGGGACAAACCCATAGGAAAGGAGGTCAGTGGGTAGAAGAGCTGCCTGCCCTCCCATGTCCACTGCAGCACTGCTCACTGTAGCAAAGACAGGGAAACAACCCAAGTGTCCCTCAGCAGAGGCCATTTGTTTTTAAAGCTATCAGGCCACACCTGGCCACAACATTGTTTTACTTTAAAAAAAAACAAAACCACGTTCTAGGGCAGGTGAAATCTGGGTGTACTCACATCTCACATTAGCATATAGTGCTCCACTGCAGAACATGTGAACTCGGCAGCTCAAGACAACCCACACAACCCACAATTATTCTATGAAAATGGTTGACTGAATAACTGTACATTTAAGCAAGTCTCAACCCCACTGTGTCTCAACCCCTACTGCCTGTGCTATCGTTAAGAGGAACTGTCCCAAGTCACTCTACCCTGTTTTGCCCAGAACCCTCCTGGTGACAGGCAGCCTCAGTGCCTTCTTCCTCCTCACTTTCTTCCCTTATAGAGTTCAAATCTCACATCTTTAGGTTTGTTCAGAACTAACCAGCAAAACTGCACCCAGCTGTTTTCCTAACATCTTCCACGTGCAGCTCCATGTATCACAAGGAAAGAGATTCCTGAATGTACAACCGAGCCACACCAAGTACAAAGCTGCACATCCTAAAATCTGCCCACTCCCTGTAGTAGCTGCTCCTGCAGCTCTCGCTGTGGGCTCGCATGGCCACTTCAGCTGTCTAAACAGAAACATTTGCATCCCCAGCTCCACTCCTTTAGCTCCTGCACAGTGAGAAAGAAAGAGCGAGTCAAACATGAAATCCATTAATATATTAATTCAGCTCAACAAGCAAAACCCAAGAGCCCCCAGCTCAGCAGAGCCTACCAGGCATGACTAATCAGATCCCTAGCTGAAGCGACGCTCTCTTCCTCGGTCCTTTCTGGAAGTGTGCCGGTTATGCAGCTTCTTCCCCCGAGCTCAGGAGACTCTGAAAAATGCAGTTTAAAAGGATGTAAATTAGGAAAATGTAAATACCCCTGGCTCCCTCACACAGGACTAGGTTTCGTGGTGGGGGAAGTTGCTTTACCTCATCGAGTCTTGGTTTTCTCATCAGTGATGACTTGCAGAGTTTTGTGTGAAGTCCCAGGGCCCTGGCCCCACTACAAGGAGCTCGAATTTAGCAGGTCTGCAGTGGGCCTGGGCAGCTGTAGGTTTAAAAGTTGCACAGTGACTGCGATGCTACCCAGCTGAATGGCATCAGCTTAGCTCATGGCTTCTCAGATGTGACGTGCAGACTCCGATTCAATATCTTTAATGTAGGCTCTGAGGTTCTACATTTCTAACAAGCTCCTGGAGGGGCCAGTGCTGCTGGCACGTGGACAACTCTTTGAGTACCCAGGTTCCAGGTCTGTGGCTCCCGGTCTTGGCTGCACTTCAGATTGGTCCAGTACCTCCTGACTGGATAAGATCTTATGGGAC
This sequence comes from Homo sapiens, assembly GCF_000001405.40. Taxonomy (NCBI): domain Eukaryota; kingdom Metazoa; phylum Chordata; class Mammalia; order Primates; family Hominidae; genus Homo; species Homo sapiens. Next base: position 14,970,270 of record NC_000018.10, read on the forward strand.
TGTTGGTCAGGAATCCCTACCCTAGCCAAGCTGCAGGAGTGTGACTCAAGCTGGCTGATTATCTGGATCCTCTGTGAAAGTTGATCCTGGTGCTCAGTGACTCAAAGACTGTGGAAAGTCAGAGTTCATGAATCCAGATTACAATGACATGCGAGACTGTTCCTGGTCCCCGAGATTCAGTTCCCAGAGCTACTATGGCTTATTAGGTACAGGTGCAATTTTCCTTTTGTAAGATGCTCCATATTATTCCAAATATGGCCTTTTTTATTTGTAGAAAAAATATCTTTTTGTCACTGACAATTAAAGAAATATAACTGATATTTCTGTAAGATGTAACATCCCATAATTCTGCTCTCCCTGTATCAACCTGCATGTTAGTGTTATCTTCCTTATGGGGAAGAGGTGATAGCAACCACCTGCCTGGCCCCACACCTCCACCCTCACCTGAAACCCCAGGCATGGAGAACACACTTGTCACCTCCCCTGCCTTGTGTTTGAGTTTCTCCCTCCGTAAAGAAGCGCTCTAAGGCTGGGTTTTGATAAAATGACTCCACTGATGGAGGAAAACTCCTGCCCAGCTGACTCTCACTTCTGGGAAGGACTGGTCCTGGCCAAATCATGAAGGAGCCAAGGCTTAAAGAAGGCCTTTCTTCATTCTTTTCTTCCAGTTATTTGTTCAGTTTTCATCTCCAGCCTCCTCAGCATTTGCCTGATAGGAACCTATTGATGAAATATGTCCCAAAACCCTTCACCAAAGAACTATTTATCCGTCTAGATCTTCAGTCCTGTCTGCTTTCTAATATGACCAATAGACAATCCAAGTGTGTAGTCAGTATTGGCTATTGACACCAACGGCCAATAACAGCTTAATTACTCACTGTCCTGAGGCTGCGTGCTCTGATCCAGAGACAGATTCTAGCAGTGGGTTTTAGGTACGTTTCTCAGTATCAGTCAGTACCTGGGAGAAACTTAGGATTCTTATTTCTCTCCCCCTTGCTTCCACGTGGCCCATATAGACACTTTATTACTAATCAAGGGTGAGTTGGGTGGCAAGTAATAACACTGCCCATCCCACATGCTTTTCTTACAATGTAAGCTTAACTCACCAGCCATGGAATGATGGTGTCTGTCCCCTCTCATTCAGTCTGGCTGGATCTTTGCGACTGCCCTGATTAACGGAGTACAATGAGAAGGACATGATTTTACTTCCAAGGCTAGCATGCGAAAGGTGATATGGCTTCAGCCTGGTTCTCTTGGGATGATCACTCTTAGAAGAAATTTGAAGAAGCCCAAATAGCCACATGGAGAAGCCACAAACAGATATTCTGGCTGGCAGCCCAGCAGAGGTCCCAGCCAGCAGCCAGCATCAACTGCCATGTGAAGAAGTGTGCCTGCAGGGGGTTTCAGACCCCAGCTGCCAAGCTGCTTCCAGCCTCCCGGTCTTCCAAGCTGAGGATGCAGACAGTGTGGAGCAGAGATAAGCCACCCTACAGTGCTGTTCTCAGATCCCTGGCTCGCAGAACTCAAGAGCACTATAAAACAGTTGCTATTTTACATTGCCAAGTTTGGCATTGCTTGTGGCATCAAGGACAGGAAATTCCAAGCTCTCGGTCAATGGTTAGTCATATTGTCCTGGGTTTGTTTTCAGAGAAAGCACATGACAGAGTGGCCCCTTTTCTCTCTTACCTCTCCAGTGACTGCAACGAGAAGTGCCAAGGGCCAGACAGGCTTTCTCTCTGAAAGTTCTCTTTTCCTAATACAGCAACCAGGCTTGGCTGGTTCTGCACTGAGCACTTCAGACAAGCAGGGTCCCTTGTGCTGTGACTCCATTTCCTCCTGCTATTGTAGGAATTCTCTGGTCTGGTTGATGGAGTTAAGCTTAAGGTCTGATTGTGAGTGCATAAAAAGGAATATACTGCCCAGCACTTGGTTCTAAGCTCTGAGCTGCCTTATGCATATTCTCATAAATTCTCATGAAGAATTTCCCATTGAGTCCAACCTAGTTTAATGGAATTCTGTTTGGAGACTTGGAACCAAAGCCCCAATTAATAATAAAATGTTGCTTTGCTTTCCTTTGCCAGTTTAGCCTATGCATGTATTTTCCTCAGAGAGCCCACGGAGGAGAGAGAGATGGCTAAAACAAGAAGAGATCGGTGGATGACTACATCTGCCGGCCAGAAGACCACTCTGATAGCTTTCATGAGGATGACTGCGTCTCCCAGCCAAAAGGCCACTCTGATAGCTTCCATGAGGATGACTGCATCTCCTGGCCAAAAGACCACTCTGATAGCTTCCATGAGCTCTCCCTGGGGCATCCATGGAGAAGATATTTTTGAGGGAGAAATCCCCAATGCTTCTTGAATCTTGCAGCCCACACAGGGATTTCCTACAAGCAACCCAGCCTTGAGCTATAAAGACCTGATCACTTTCCTGGGTGAAGACAGCAGACTGACTCAGTTATTCTGTGGATAGGTGACTTGATCAATGAGTTGGCGAGAGTTCTAAGATGTGTCTTTCAGGCACATATCTCAGATTTGTAAAATTATTATTTATTTATTTAATTCATTTTTTTTTTTGAGATGGAGACTCACTCTGTCACCCAGGCTGGAGTGCAGTGGCACAATCTCGGCTCACTGCAACCTCCACCTCCCAGGTTCAAATGATTCTCCTGCCTCAGCCTCCTGAGTAGCCGGGATTACAGGCACCTGCCACCATGCCCAGCTAATCTTTGTATTTTTAGTATAGACAGGGTTTCACCATATTGGCTGCACTGGTCTCCAACTCCTGACCTCAGGTGATCCACCTGCCTCAGCCTCCCAAATTGCTGGGATTACAGGCATGAACCACTGTGCCTGGCCTCAGATTTGTAAGATAATTTAAACAAGACTCAGTGTCTCTGCATCTCACACTGGTTGTATATTGCATTAAAATGGTGATAATTCTCCCCTAATCAAACTGTGCCCAATGCTGGCAAGGACACTAATGTTATGAAGACAAGAGGTAGCTGAAAAATAAAGAGACAATAGCCACGAGACAGACCCAGAGGTCAGGCAGGGCAGGGTTGCCGTGAGGACATGGCTCGTCCCACAGGACCTGGGAACTGGTGGTCACAGCAGTGCAAGGTCCTGTTCTCTCCTCTGCAGGGACAGACAGGCCACCAGCCTGACAGAGACGGCATTAGTGGGCAGCTGCCAGGAACTAGCAGGGATTGCACTAGACTTTATAGCGCCATAGTTCAGAATTGCTGGATTTGGAGACAAAATCCAGGTTTGAATTGTGATTCTATTTCTTACTGCTCCGTGTCCTGGGGCAGCCAGGTCAGCTCTCTGAGCCCTATGGTCTCCATGGCTGAGTGAGAATGCCCGCCTCCACTCAGAACCAGCCAGTGTGGTGCCAGCAACCTATCTAACACAAGCAAAGAGGATTTCTTAATGAAAACATTTTGTCTTGCACAAAACAATACTCAATTTAAGAAACAGCAAATGCAGAAAAGGAAAAAGAGGATTAGAAAACTATAGAAAGAGCTCAGTGCATGGCAAGAGTTTAATAAATATTAGTTCTTCCCATTTAGTTTTGCTTTCCAACCCAACAAGCGTGCTTCGAAAGACAGAGAAGAAAGAGGGATTATGGCAAAAGCAGTGATAAGAGTTTCTTGCATCTTCACAGATCAAGCATCTTGGTCTGCAACCAGGTTTTTCTGAACAAAGGGTTAGGAGCCAAAGTTTGGGGTGGTGAAAGCCATGGGGCCCATGTTAGGATGAGGACAAGTGTGCATATGGGTGGCAGGTGGTTTTGCCCAGAATGAACTGGAGGGTGATGATCCTGGATCTGGCAGTGAAGCGGCAGTGTCTGCTCAGCAGGAGCGGGAGGTGTGGAGCCACTTCGTCACACTCTCAGCTGCACGGCTTTGGGCCACAGCCTGTAGACACTGGTGGAATCTGCTTAGAGCTTTGAGGAGAGAATTCCCAGAGCCAAGCTATGGATGGTACTAGGAAGTGAGCGACCAAGAACAGCTGCTCTTCACCTCCACAGGCAGGGTGGGGCAGGGTGGGAGGTGAGCTTTGCCAAAAGCCAGGCTGAAGGTGATGCAATGCCTGCACCATGGCCAGGAGCAGAACCACACGTTCTTTTTGGTTTCTGTATAACTCTTGCCAAATTTACAATAAACCCTGCAAATCTGCTGGAGCCTCTCTCTTTCTTTCCCAACCTTTGCAATGACCTGTCTTGAAACTCCTTGCCTGATTCCCCGCTTCTTGTTTTTCCCTGTTCCTCCTGCTCCCTTTTTCTTTTCAGCTTTCTCTCCAATCATGTTCCTCTCTATTCTTTTTCTTTTTGCTAACCTGCATGGTGAATATTTGCTATTTTCCTGCTCAGCAGAACCTGCTCTCCCCACTCTCAGCCCATGAGTGGGTGGGCGGGGCTTTAGCACCTGGTGATGTCACTTGAGAACCTAGTTGGCTGAGCCCAGACTTATTAGGTGGTCAAGTCAATAAATGCCCATTATCATGTTTAAGCTGCTTGTGGTTGGGTTTTCCTGCTTGGCACCAAGAGGCCTGAGTCATTTCCATCCTCGGGACCAGCCCATGCCCCATCTCCAGCTTACACCTCACCTCATTCCCACCCCTAAACTGCAGTCAGGCCGAGGTGCTGACAGGCTGCCCCCATGCCATGCCACTGCTGTTCCTCAGTAGGTCCCTGCCTTCCTGGCACTTCTTGGTATCATGGTTTTCTGAGCCACAGTGCTGTTCTAATTGTGAGGCAGTGGTATCTGCCTGGCTTCCTCCCCAGCCCCACCCCCAGCCCCTGCTGTGGGGACTCTGCCTGAGCTCTGAGGGCAGGCGGGGCACCCTGCTCCTTGCACAAGCACTATTCCCACCTCTCTTCTTCGTTGCTGTCCGGCTTCCCCTTGCTTTTATCCCCTCCCCTTCTCCTGCTTCCCATTGGTCAACTCTTCTCCCAGGGCCTCCCAGGGCCTAGGTCTGAGCAGTGGAGACCTCCACGAGGAGGCAGAGGGCAACCAGGCAGGCTCCATCCAGAAGCAAACAGGCCTGGACAAGATGCAGATTCTCCCAGGCTCTGCAGGGCCTGGCAGGGAAACTGCTGCACCTGAGCTGCCTTCAGGGGAGTCCTCAGAATAAGGGGAGCTATTAACAGGCAGATCAGTGTTTTATGAAGACAGTTATGATCTTGTCACTGTCCTCAAGGAGCTTCAGGTCCAGGAAGGAAAAACGAGCCACCTGGGAAGCAGAACTGTGTGATCACCTGGCGAGCAGGGAGGAGCCCACCCAGACACCACAAAGACAGGGAGCACTGGGAGGGAGAAGCGGGGCCAGGCTGGGGAGGCCTGCAGAATGGGGCGGGGCTTCCGGTTTCAATGCTTACTCGCTGAGTGGCCTTGGACAAGTTACTTCATCTGCCTGAGCCTTACTTTCCTCGTCTGTAACATGAAAATGCCAAATATACCAGCACCTGGATTGCCACGAGGATGAGGTGATTACATTGCGTATGGTCCTGAAACAGTGGTGTCCCTCTCCCCACCCCACCTTTACCCAACCTCTGGTCTTCAAATCGACCTTGTAAGGCAGGTATTTTTATGTTTGCTTTGCAGATGAGAAAACCAAAGCTCTGTATAATGACACATCCGGGAAATGTGAGGACAGGGTTCAAATCCAGGTGTGTCTGGGTCAAACCTGAGCATTCCCTCCAGCCCTGCTGTCCCCTCTCTGCATCTGATCTTGGCTGGGGTCAGTGTCTGGCAAGCACACTGTCTGGCTGGCTCAGGCCTTTTGCCCCAGCTGTGGCCTTCACCCCCAACTAATTAACTAACTGACAAGCTGTTTATGAAGCTGCACTCCTGGTGACGTTGTTGGTGGCCATGATAATCATCCTGTTTTTTCACTTATTCAGCCACCTTCTGAAGGGTCTTTTTATGAGACCGTTTAATGGATTATCATTGTTCTGGGCAGTTTATTATGCAAATGAAGCCTCAAAGTGCTCCATGCTGTCTGCTGAAATGTGTTTTATAATACATTTTTTTCCACAAATCAAAATAAACTAGTGTAAATGACAATGGAACTAGAAAAGCTTTGCTCTTTATAAAAAGGGACGTGTGAGATTCTTTGAAACTGAGCGCTGGCGGAGTCTGTACTCTCTGACCCTGGAGGAAGAGATGCTGTTCTTTGAAATGAGGGTTTTCTTTCTGGAAGAGGCTTTGTGAGCATGGAACAGCAAAGCCCAGGATAGGAACTGAGAGAGGTCACCGAAGTGTAGACACCCTGGCCTCAGTCTCTGGAGTTCAAAAAGGCTGCAGTCAATTGTTGGAATTTCTTTTCACATGAAGAAATCTACATTCTGTGTAAATAAACCACTTTAAAAATGTGTGTGTTGTCTTAGTTACACAGACATTTCTATAAAAGTACTTGTAATTGTGTCTAAAAGACTGAAACCATTTAAAAAAACACCTTGAAAAATATTTTTCTCTGCCTGGTTCAGTGAACAGTTCCTACAAGCCCCTTTTCTCTCTCTATTGGAAAATAATAATTCCAGATTTTGTGCCAATCCGTCCACTAATCTAAACCATGACTCTTCTGTGGGCCGCGCACTCATGCCCTTCCTCACTTTAATCATACGCCCCTGCTGGGAGGGCCGCGCTGCTCCTCCCCCTGGTGGTTGCAACCCTGCCTGTGAGTCATTCTTCTGACTCTGCTGCACCCAGCCTGGTGGTTTACAATAAACTCCTCCATTCTCAGAGGCCAGGGAGGCAATGGGAGGAGAAGGGGTCTGCACAGAGAAGCCAAGCGAGAGGCTCACATGCTTGTATGTCGTTAGATGAGAAACACACCCCCAAGCTGGGTGAGCAAAGAGTCTGAACCTCATGCTGCTCTCTGTGTGTACATGGAGAGTATCCTCAGCTTGCCAGAACCCTGACTCCACCCCCAGGCCCCAGTGTGGAAGATCCATCCATGGATGATCATGGTCCAAACCAGCTCCTCACTTGAACTTCCCTTCCCCACACTCTTTTCAAATTGCACCAGGATTCCCTATGAATCGTTGATGTTTCCCTAGCACTGATTACATGGTCTCCTGGATGGAGAAGAATAGGTTTAGGAAAGTACATCTTTAAGCATATTCAGGATAGAAGTCCAGGCCGAAGACATTCATAAAGGGGTCACCAGCAACATAAATAAGCCAAAACAGTACTGGGACTCCATAAACTGAGAGTGCTCTTTGGATGTAGCTCTGGTTTTCAACAGGTGATGGCCAGGGCGCTGGCAGGCAGCAGCAAAGCTAGCACTCAGGCCTTCTTCCCCACACCTGAAGCCCCCAAGACCACTTCCAGCCCCCACCTGATCATTACATAGGGGTCTTCTCTCAAATGATGTGCAGGGTGTGGGCAGTGGCATCATTGCCCAGGCCCTTTATCTGACCTGTGCAGGTTTGGGATAGGAGGACCAGGATGGAGGTGAGGAGGAGCTCAGGCAGAGTGGTGTTTTTCTTTGTACTTAGCATTGGGTGTGTTTGGCCCAGGAGAGGTGAACGTGGCCAGAGCAGAAACAAAACGAATCAGCAGGGTTATACAGTGCTTGCTGAAATGCTCCACTATCCAGGAAATAAGCAGACGTTGGTCATCGGAGTAGAGACAGCTGCAGAGCGCAGTGAAGGGCCATTTTTAGGGTTGCAATCAGAACAGAGCAGCTTTCCCCTTACCAAATGCCTGGCATCATCTCTGTATCTGTGGCCCCACCCTCCAGGACAGCAGCAGAGAGGGGCCCTACACATTCTCCTCCCGTAAGTGCTGGGACATCGGGGTAAGGGATATGAGACTGCGTATTTTCCCTTTAACACTTTTCTGTATTTGAATACCTCAGGAAGTAACACTATTTTCTCAGTTGAAGGATTGCTCAGAAGTCTAGGACTCCCCTTCACCTCACCTATGCCACCAAATCCCCTGCTGAAATAAAGTTCCAGGGTGTTTGGCCACTGCATGTGGTCAGCTGCATCCCTGGTCCCCCCTCCCACAGGGAGGCCTCTTTCCCTGCATTTGTGTCTCTTGCATCCCTGTCAAAGGGGCCTCCCTGCTGGGGGCCATGAAGGTGTCAGGCAGGCCTTGACACAGAGCTCCAGAAGGAGAGGGACCGCTGAGAGGAGGGACCAGCGGGGCTTCCCCACTGCACTGTGCAGGGCTCTGCAGCCTCCTGCCCTGGGTGAAGAGCGCAAGCCACCTTCACTTTTATGTTATTGGAGAAGGCAGAATGGAGGTGGGTTTCTAATATGGAATAAATAAGAGAAAGACAGGCAAAGAGTTTGAGAGTAAGTTTTTAAAAATTCCTTGGTAAATGACTGAATGTAAACATAAATCCCGCCATTCAGCTAGCTGGAAATAGTCCCAGCAAGAGCACGAGGGTCCCAGGGGCTTTTTTGCCACCGACAGCACAGCAGCATCACTGGACTTTGCTGCAGGCGAACATGTGTTCAAATACCACCTCCGCTCACAGGTGCTGCCTGTCTGAATTTAGGCTCCAGGCTTCTCATCTTTTCAACGGAAGGGATAATAACGTTCACCTGCACAGTGCTCTTTTGAACAAGAAACAAGATTACGTATGCAAATATCTTAAGTGCCATTACTTTTAAACAAATGGAGTTTGTTAATTTTATTATTTCTACTTTTATTATTCCCCAAGTCATTATTTGAACACCTAGAATGGTGCTTGGCAAATAGTAGTCACACAATACATATTTGTAGAACAGATCTTTGAACAAATACATAGTAAAATGAATGAATTAATGAATACCAAATTACTGTGAAAAACGTTCAGACCGAAGAAAAATTTGCTGAAAAGGAACCAGCTTCCCTTTCGTGTCTCTCCCAGCTCAGGCAAGCAGCCCACAAGGGGGCGCTCCCTGAGCCTTCTAGAGGCAGAGCGGCCTGTTGGGAAAGGTCTGAGGGTGTCAGTGGGAACTGCCTGCTTTGCTGAGGAAGCAAAGGCTTGTGTGGGAAGGAAGATCACAGCTGGTCCGCAGCCTCAAAGAGCAGGAAGCAGGACAGAAGGAGCCCCTCGGTGTACCCTGCAGCCCCCAGCCAGGGAGAAGCAGCAGGAGACAGAGCTACTTCCTCTAACCAGTGGTGGTTCCTAACTCCAAGACATCCTGGACATTGGTTCTGAGCAGCAATCATTGCAATTTGCTCTTTTCTGCAGCCGTGAAACTACCAGGATAAAGTAATCAGAGTGATCCCATGATGTGCTGGGGCAAACTAAACATTTCTCGTCAAAATAATGGTCAGTTTCCTACTGAATGCTACATGATAAGTGCAGTATGTTTGATTATGACATCAGTGAGTTTGCTACTTAGAGGATATTTATGGGTGATACATTGAAATTTACCTTTGACCATCTGTTTTGGCAGAAGGTGTCTCTCCAATATCCAAAACTTGGATAATCCACATTAAAACTAATTTTATTGTGGCTAATTTTTGTTAAATGTTATTAAAAATAATAATCACATTGTATTTATTAAATATTTGTTAAATTTTATAGAATTTATTAAATTTTGTTGATCACCACTAAAAGATACATATATATTTAATGTATATTAATATACAGCGGCTCATCTTCCTCCTGACAAACCTAAAGTTGGTGGCCTCAATTATGATTGTTGTTTTGATTTGGTGGTTGTGTTGCTGTTATTATTCATATCATTATCACCTTCTGAAGCATGCAGTCCTGGGCAAATGGGAAAGGCCCAGTGCCAGGTCATGGAGGGCTTGCAACTGCGAAGGAAGAAAAGAAAAAACAGGAAGGGCCACTCTGCTCCTCCCACTCCACACACAGAGTGGCTGACTACAGCAGGCTCACTACAGGACTGTGCCAGAAGCAGCGTTGTCTCTGCACTAAGTGCTTCATCTTCCCTTTCTCTGCATTTCTGTGTGTGTATATGTGCATGTGTGTAAAGAAGACAGGTGTGTGGGGCTGTTGACCGTGAGATGCTCAGAAGAAAGTCCCTGGGTCATACTGTATTCTCAACTTTTAATTATGTTCAGACATTTTGCAAAATCAAAGACTAGAAAATATCATTTAAAGTAATCCAAGCTTGTCCAACCTGCCTTATTTTGTGGTGGTTGTTTTGTTTTAGGCTTTTAGCAGCCCAAAGCCACAGTTTTTAGTTTTGGTCTCTAGTGATAAGTGGAAAAGAGGGATGAGGAAGCGGTTTTACCGGCCCAACCAGAAACAGGAATGAAGAACCCAAGACTGTATTTTGTCCCTTAGACACCCATGTGAGCTCTTGCACAGACTGAGGCTTCAAAAACAGTCACTGTCACTATTATTGTGAAGGATCTGATAGTTGAGGAGTTCTGCCCTTGACGAGGCCCTCACTGTGGAACACCTCCATCTCCCAGAGCCTTCTGACCCATCCTCATCCCCTTGCTCCAGATCCTGGAAGGAGAGGGGTAAATGCAGAGGGTGATTCTGCCCCCATCCTAAGGATCCCCAGGATCTGGGGAGGTGGTATGACACTGACATTTGGGCCACAGTGAGTTCCTGTAGTTGCCTACAGTGGGGATATTAGGGTACATGCTGTGGTTTGGATGTGGTTTGGTCCTGCCAAAACTCATGTTGAAATTTGATCCCCAGTGTGGCAGCATTGGGAGGTGGGGTCTAGTGGGAGGTGTTTGGGTCATAAGGGTAGATCCCTCCTGAATAGGTAAATGTCCTTTTGTGGGGGTGAGCTCGCACTCTTGCTTTCTCAGGAATAGATTGATTTTCACTGGAGTGGGTTGTTAAGAGCCTGCCTCCCTTGGTTTCTCCTGTTTCTTCTCTTGTCTTGTGGTCTCTTTGCACACTTACTCGCCTTTTGCATTCCACTAGAAGTTGAAGCCATATGAGGTCCTCACCAGATGGAGCTGACAAATCTTGAACCTTCCAGCCACCAGAATTGTGAGCCAAACAAGCCTCTTCTTTTTATAAATGACAAAGCCTCAAGAACGCTGTTATAGCAACACAAAACTGATTAAGACAATAGGTTAGCACAGAAAATAAATAGCAAAGAAGAATTTTCTGGGTGAAGGCCTGCTCCTCCCCACCTCCATTCCATGCAAGACACACCTGCAGGACATCCTCCCACCCTGCCCTTCTCTCTGTCTCCACTTACAAGATACAGAATCACAGAATGGATAAGAACTCACCAACTAACTATCTGCCTTCAGGAGACTCACCTAACACATAACGACTTACATAAACTTAAGGAAAGTGGTAGAAAAAGGCAACAGTAGCTAAAAGAGACAAAGACAGGAAGTATATAATGGTAAAGGTCTCATCCAACAGAAAAATATGACAATCCTAAGCATACATGAACCTAACACTGGAGCTCCCAAATTTATAAAACAATTACTAGTAGATGTAAGAAATGAGATAGACAGCAACACAATGATAGTGGGGGACTTCAATACTCCACTGACAGCACTAGACAGGTCATCAAGACAGAAAGTCAACATAGAAACACTGGATTTAAACTATACTTTGGAACAAATGGACTTAACAGATATATACAGAACATTTCATCCAACAACCACAGAATACACATTCTATTCAACAGCACATGGAATTTTCTCCAAGATAGACAATATGATGGGCCATAAAACGAGTCTCAATAAATTTAAGAAAATTGATATTGTATCACGCACTCTCTCAGATCACAGTGGAATAAAACTGAAAATCAACTCCAAAAGGAATATTCAAAACCATGCAAATACATGGAAATTAAATAACCTGCTCCTGAATGAGCATTGGGTGAAAAATGAAATCACGATGGAAATGTAAAAAATTTCTTCGAACTGGATGACACAACCTATCAAGACCTCTGGGATACAGCAAAGGCAGTGCTAAGAGGAAAGTCTGTAGCCCTAAACACCTACGTCAAAAAGTCTGAAAGAGCACAGACCGAATCTAAGTTCACATCTCAGGGAACTAGAGAAGCAGGAACAAGCCAAACCCAATCCCAGCAAACAAAGGAAATAACCAAGATCAGAGCAGAACTAAATGAAATTGACACAAGAACAACAACAACAAAAAACACAAAACATAAATAAAACAAAAATTGGCTATTTGAAAAGATAAATAAAATCGATAGACCATTAGCAAGATTAACCAAGAAAAGAAGAGAGAAAATCCAAATAACCTCACTAAGAAATGAAACAGGGGATATTACAACTGATACCACTGAAATATTAAAGATTATTCAAGGGTACTATGAACACCTATTGGCATATAAACTAGAAAACCTAGAAGAGTTGGATAAATTCCTGGAAAAATACAACCCTCCTAGCTTAAATCAGGAAGAATTAGATACCCCAAGCAGACCAATAAAGCAAGCAGCAATATTGAAACGGTAATTTTAAAATTACCAACAAAAAAAGCCGAGGACCAGACAGATTCACAGCAGAATTCTAGCAGACATTCAAAGAATGTCTTCTCTCATTCAAAGAAGAAATGATACCAATCCTTTCACACTATTCCACAAGACAGAGAAAGAAGAAACCCTCCCTGATTCATTCTATGAAAGCAGCATCACCCTAATACCAAAACCATGAAAGGACATAACCAAAAAAGAAAACTACAGACCAATATCTTTGGTGAATGCAGATGCCAAAATCCTTAACAAAATACTATCTAACTGAATCCAACAATATATCAAAAAGATAATCCACCATGATCAAGTGTGTTTCATACCAGTGATACAGGAATGGTTTAACATATGCAAAACAATAAATGTGATACACCAAATAAACAGAATTAAAAAAAAAACTCACATGATCATATCAACAGATGCAGAAAAAGCATTCGACAAAATCTAGCATTGCTTTATGATTAAAGCTCTCAGCAAAATAGGCATACAAGGGACATACCTTAATGTAATAAAAGCCATCTAGGACAAACCCACAGCCAACATAATACTGAATGCGGAAAAGGTGAAAGCATTCCCTCTGAGAACTGGAGCAAGACGAGGAGCCTACTCTCACCACTCCTCTTCAACATAGTACTGGAAGTCCTAGCCAGAGCAATCAGACAAAAGAAGGAAATAGAGGAAATCCAAATCGGTAAAGAGGAAGTCAAACTGTCACTGGTTGCTGACGATATGACCTTTCTCCTTGAGAACCCTACGGACTCCTCTAGAAAGCTCCTAGAACTGATGAAAGAATTCAGCAAAGTTTCCAGATACAAGATTAATGGACACAAATCAGTAGCTCTTCTATATATCAACAGCTACCAAGCAGAGAATCACATCAAGAACTCAATCCCTTTTACAATAGCTGCCATAAACAAAACAAAACAAAACAAAACAAAACAAAACAAAACAAAACTTAGCAATATACCTAGCAAAGGAATCAAAAGACCTCTACAATGAAAATTACAAAACACTGCTGAAAGAAATCATAGATGGAGCCAAGCACGTTGGCGCATGCCTATAATCCCAGCTACTCGGGAAGCTGAGGCAGGAGAATCACTTGAACCCGGGAGGCAGAAGTTGTAGTGAGCCGAGATCACACCATTGCACTCCCACCTCAGCGACAAGAGCAAAACTCTCTCTGAAAAAAAAAAAAAAAAAAAAAAAAAAAAAAACAAGAAAGAAAAGAAATCATAGATGACACAAACAAATGGAAACACAACCCCATGCTCATGGATGGGTAGAACTAGAACCAAAATTGTGAAAATTACCATTCTGTTAAAGGCAATCTACAAATTCAATGCAATCCCCATCTGAATACCACCGTCATTCTTCACAGAATTACAAAAACAATTCTAAAATTAATATGGAACCAAAAGAGTGCCATGTAGCCAAACCAAGGCTAAGCAAAAAGAACAAACCTGGAGGCATCACACTACTTGATTTCAAACTGTACAATAAGGCCATAGTTAGCAAAACAGCATGGTACTGGTTTAAAAATAGGCACATAGACCAATGGAACAGAAGAGAGAACCCAGAAATTAACCCAAATACTTACAGCCAACTGATCTTCGACAAAGTAAACAAAAACGTAAAGTGGGGAAAGGACACCCTTTTCAACACATGATGTTGGGATATTTGTCGAGCCACATGTAGGGGAATAAAACTGGATTCTCATCTCTCACCTTATACAAAAATCTACTCAAGATGGATTAAGAACTTAAACCTAATTCCTGAACTATAAAAATTCTACAAGATAACACTGGATAAACCCTTCTAGACATTGGTATAGGCAAGGATTTCATGACCAAGAACCCAAATGCAAATGCAATAAAAACAAAGATAAATAGCTGGGACTTAATTAAACTAAAGAGCTTTTGCATGACAAAGGGAACAGTCAGCAGAGGAAATAGACAACCCACAAAGTGGGACCCCTGACCCTGACCCGTGACCCTGACCTTTACCCATAACCCCTAACCCCTGACACTGAACCCTAACCCCTGACCCTAACCCCTAACCCTTAACCCTTAACCCTAACCCCTAACCCTAACCTCAACCCTCACCCTCACCCTAACCCAATCCTAACCCCTAATCCCTAACCCCTAACCTCTCAACCCCTAACTTAAACGTTGACTCCTAACCCCTAACTCTGACCCCAACCCCTGTCTCCAACCCCTGACCCTAAACTTAACCCCTAACCCCTAACCCTAACACCAACCTTAACCCTAGGTTCGTTACTACGTTTGTATTGACTATGTCAATGTTGATTGTTATGATCGCTGTCTTAGGACTGCACGGCAGCGAGGGGATTGCGGATCTTATATTAATATTTTTGTATTGAGGCAATGCATTAGCATTACAGGTGCTTGTTACATGAGCAATGGGGGTGTCATATTTCGGGTGTCATGTCTGCATTAGGAATGCTGCATTTGTCTTCTGAGGCTGTGGTGTGGATCTCGCACTGCGGCCGCCTCGCCTTGGCTGGGGAGAACCTCGTTAGGAAGGATTTAGAGGGGCTTTTGGTTTCCCGTTTTTCCACAGTGAACCCTTCTAACTGGTCTCTGACCCTGATTATTCAGGGCTGCAAACAGGAAGGATTTTATTCATCGTCGATGTGGCCCCGAGTTGTCCCAAAGCGAGGCAGTGTCCCCAAGGTCTGTGCTGAGGAGAACGTGGCTCTGCCTTCACAGAGTCCCCTGGGGCTGTGCTGAGCAGAACGCAGCTTCACCCTCGCGGTGCCCCCGGCCTCCCCAGGTCTGTGCAGAGGAGAACTCAGCTCCGCCCTGGCGATGCTCTCCGGGTCTGTGCTGAGGAGTACGCAGCGCACCGGCGCTGGCGCAGAGAATGCCCAGCCGTCATTCTTGCACTCTGCATGCCCATAGGCTTAATACCACATGGAAGTTGCTGAGGCTTATAGCTTGCACCCTCTGAAGCAGTAGCCTGAGCTGTATCGGGGGTCTTCTGAGTTGAGACTGCAGCTGAAGTGGCCAGGATGTGGGGAGCAGTGTCCTGAGGCTGTGCAGAGCAGTAAAGTCCTGGCCCTCAAAAGCATTCTTTCCTCTTAGGCCTCAAGGTCTGTGATGTGATGGACTGCCATGGAGATCTCTGGAATGCGTGCAAGGCCTTTTCCCCATTGTCTTGGCTATCAGCATCTGGGTTTTGTTTTAATTATGCAACTCTCTCTAGCAAGTGTTTTCTCCACAGCCTGCTCAAATTTTTCTCCTGGAAAAAGCTTTTTCTTTCTTTGTCACATGGCCAGTCTGCAAATTTTCCAAATTTTTCTGGTCTGCTTCCTGTTTAAACATAAATTCCAACTTTAAGTCATTTCTTTGCTCCTGGATCTGAGTATAGAAGCAACAAGGCCACACCTTGAATGCTTTCCTGCTTAAAAATTTCTTCCATCAGACACCCTAAATCATCATTCTTAAGATTGAACTCCCACAAATTCCTAGGGCATGAACAGAATGCAGCCATTTAACCAGTCTCTAAGAAATTTCAAACTTTTCCTCATCTTTGTCTTCTGAGCCCTCCAAACTCTTCCAACCTCTGCCTGTTACTCACTTCCAAAGTCACTTCCACATTTTCATGTATCTTTATAGCAAAACACCACTCTTCAGTACCAATTTTCTGTGTTAGGCCATTCTTTTATTGCTGTAAAGAAATACCTGAGGCTGGGTAATTTATAAAGAAAAAAATGTTTAATTGGTTCACAATTCTACAGGCTGTACAAATGTGGTGCTGGTGCCACAAATGTGGTGGGAGGGAGGTGCCATACCCTAAAACAACCAGATCTCACAAGTACTCACTCACTATTGAAAGGACAGGACCGATTCATGAGAGATCTGCCCCCATGACCAAAGCACCTCCCACCAGACCCCACCTCCAACACTGAGGATTATATTTCAACATGAGATTTGGACAAGGTCACTAAGTGCCTTCTTGTCCCTGGGGAAATGCTGATCAAAATCAGTGCTGAGCAGTGGAGCTGACAAATCCCCCTCGCAGACATTCTCGCTGCACTGGGTACGTGTCTGCCCAGGAGTGGGGAACACAGGGGCTGGACACAGGTCCTCCTCCTTCTGACCCTGTGTATTCCTTTACTTAAAATGGGAGAAAGATACTTAGACCAGGACAGCTTCTCAGGTCCCTTCCACTCCAAACTCCCTGACCTATGACCCGGTTTCCTGCATGAGGCCTGGTGTGTAAAAGGCTCCCCTCTGCTGTACCCATGTGGCTCTTTGCTTGCATAGAGGAGGAACAAAGGAGTGATTCTGGTTTCATAAAAGAACTTATACACTTGGCCTCCCTTAATTCGTGCATGTCACTGGCAGCTGTTTATTGAGCACTGATGGGATGCCAGGCCCTGTTCCAGGCAGGATTCTCTTAGGTCCCCATGTGCCAAAATCTATATTTTACAGGGCTTAACTACAGATTTCTACACCCTCCCAGTGATGTGAAACCATTTCACCACTAATCTGAAAGGGGAGCTCCCTCTGTAGTCTGTGTTTGCCCACCTAGGACTTCAGGGGACCCAGGGCTGCTTCCCCCCATGCTGCTCTGCTCCAGGAGGCCCAGCCTCCCTCTAGGTGATTGGGAGAGAAAAGATTCCCTTGTGGTGACTGAGGTGAGGGGGCTCAGAGCCCTGCAGCCTGGTGCTGAACCCCGGTGTTAGTTCAGAAATCAAAGCCTGTGCTTTGAGTTCTTTGAGATTAAGCTCACAAAGGGTCACACAGCAAGGTGGGAGACTGGGGTTTGAGCCCCAGTCCTGCCTCTTTGCTGCTCACAGGCTAGTGGGAAGAGACCATTACTGTTCCCCACAGGAGCCCAGTAGCAAAGTGCCAGGACCCTGGACCTGTGTGGGGCCCTGGGATGCCCCCCGTCTCAGCAGGGAAAGCGGGCCTCAGTGGTGTGTGGTTTGCTCCCTACAGCAGCACCCCTGTCGAATCCTGGGGTGCACTGTGCTTTCCTTGAGGGGAGAAGTGTTGAGGATTGCCTGGCTGCCTGGAGAAGAGGGTGAGAGGGGCAGCAAGAAAGGCAGGGTCTCCAATGGACCTTATTCCTCAGGCACTGGGAGCCCTTGTAGGTTCTTGAGAAGAGGAAGAGCCATGTGAGGCAAGTGGACTTACCTGTGGGGTGTCTGGGTGATTTCTGCTCATAGTCGACTCTGAAGAAATGGCCAGAGATGAAGAGATAAGGTGTTTGGACAGCTGCCTGAACCTTGATGTAAGGAGTAGGATTCAAATGTGACTCTGAAAAGGCAAGTGCCTGCAGGGCAGAGGGGAGGTGGGCAGGCCTGGCCAGCAACAGCCTTCGGAGCTGGGCCACCTGTACCCTCAGTCCAGCAGTCCCCAGGGAGAGAAAAGCTGGGGTGGATGGCGCTTGCTGACTGCTTCCTTTGGCCCTAGCCCATGGGACACACGAAGTCTATGGGCTGAGTCCAGCACAGCCTTTCAGGAAGCACCCACTCTGCCAGTCCCCCCGAGGCAAATGCACTGACCCCTGACACCTGGGGCTGGTGCTGGCCACTCTGGACACAGTGCAGTGGGAGTGGGAGAAGGAGGCCCCCAGCAGCTCATTGGTTAGCAACTGACCTTGGGGTAAGAAGGAGTGCTCACAGATGGGGATGGGCAGAGGCCATGTTTGCCACTGTCCTAAAGCCTAGGGCAGTCTGTGGAATGTGGGTGGGGTGAGCTGGCTGCATGGCTGTATCATAGGGCCTGTTGGAGAGAGTCCTAAGCTGTGGTGGGGTCCACCCAGTTGGAGCTTCCCGGCTGCTTTGTTTACCTAAGCAAGCCTGGGCAATAGTGGGCACCCCTCCCCCAGCCTCGCTGCCTCCTTGCAGTTTGATCTCAGACTGCTGTGCTAGCAATCAGCAAGACTCCGTGGGTGTAGGACCCTCTGAGCCAGGTGCAGGATATAATCTCCTGGTGCGCCATTTTTTAAGCCCCTCAGAAAAGCACAGTATTCAGGTGGGAGTGACCTGATTTTCCAGGTGCCATCTGTCACCCCTTTCTTTGACTAGGAAAGGGAACTCCCTGACCCCTTGTGCTTCCCAAGTGAGGCAATGCCTCGCCTTGCTTCGGCTCGCACACAGTGCGCTGCACCCACTGTCCTGCACCCACTGTCTGGCACTCCCTAGTGAGATGAACTTGGTACCTCAGATGGAAATGCAGAAATCACCTGTCTTCTGCGTCGCTCACGCTGGGAGCTGTAGACCAGAGCTGTTCCTATTTGGCCATCTTGGCTGTGATCCCTTCTAGGGTAATTATTAAAACATTAAGAAATACTCTTTAATCATATATGATAAAACTTGTAGAAAATCAATAACATACAAGTAAAGAAGATCAAGAAGCCAAAAAAAAAAATAATTCCAAGTATAGAAAGCATGGTGAAAAGTGATGGAAGAAAACTGCAGAAATTTAAAATGAAAAATTAAAATACAACTCTATAATTCATGATACATAATTCTTTGCTGAACCCTGAATCTGTCAGGACATATGTGTGATCTTGGATAACGCATTCAACCTCCTCAACATTGAATTCTCTTGAGTGTAAACTGTTTTAGAGATGTTCCTCACCTGGTTGCATGAAGCACATCTGTGTGTGTTAAGGCACTTCCCATAGCATCTGCGACACAGAACAGCGGCAGCTGTGCTCTTCGTGGTCCCTGCACACAGACCCACAGCAGTATGTTGTGTGTTTTTTTATATAAAAGGCTTTGAAAATGTCCCACAGCTTCCTCAGTAACTGACTGTCAAAAGGGGCAGCCTTCAAAAGTAGAATTCTGGCAAATGTCTTCAAAAGACACAAAATTCTGGCAATGGGCTCATTTCTCCTCCTGCCTTGCTCTTCTGGATGCATCCATTCTCTCCCACAGCATAGTCATTTTCTTCCACTCCACTGTAGAAATTTTCCTTCTAGTGGCAAGAGTGACGTGAGTGATATGCGGAAATATCTTTCCAAGCCTGCTTGGAGAAGCTTCCTCTGCCTGCTTCTCTTTGGCCACCTCCAGGGCTGCTCTGTCATGCCCAACAGCATGGACCTCACTGCAGTCACTTTGGAAGCTTCCCTTTAAAGGAAGCTTGTGCAGGAAACATCATGCATCGAGCAGCATGGGGACAGGGGCTGGCCAGCTGGGCAGGGCTCACACTCCTGACACCCAGACTCCAGGATACTCCTCTGTCCCCACCCAGGGCAGATCCCTGCCCTAAAAGTTTTCCCTCTCATGTCCAGCAAATGCTGCATGGAGCCCTGGAATTCTATGTGGAAAGCTAGGAAGAGGGAGAGCTGAAATGAGGATGTAATCACCCTTTCCAAAGAGGTCAGTCCAGTACTACCCTGTGCTCCTGGGCAAGCTCTCCAGGCTGAGGAAACAGGAGCAGGGGTTATGTCAGGTGAAGGTGGAAGTGAGGGACCTCCCATGAGGTGTAGAATATTCCACTAGGGACACCTCATACCCTTCCAGGATTAGACCTTGAGGCCTGGAGATCCCCAGGCAATTAGTATTGAAGGTCGAAAGGCCAATGACAGGAATAGGAAGGCCCACCGTGTCATTCACAAAGCACTTCCAAACCCATCACCACAGGTGACCCTCACAACAACCCTGTGAGACCTGCAGGGCAGGGGCTCTCACAAAGGAGGAGTCGGAAATGTCAAGATTTTAACACCTTCTCCAAGTCAGGATCAGGAAATGCTGTCCCAGCACTGACCTATATTCCCTATGCTTCCTCCCACAAAAAAGCTTAAGGTGACTGCCAACTTGTGGGCAGAGACCCTCACTTTCCAATCCCCACGAGGGGCTGTGCAGTGGGGAGGACAAGGCCCCTTCCTCTGACTGTCTCCTCCAAGACCCTGTTTTCTGAGGAAGGTCACTCCTCAGAAACTGTTGGCCTCTGCAAATGGGGGCCTGGACCATGTGGAAAGATGATGTGAAGGTCACACCTGGCAGGGACCAGTGCTGGAGGGCAAACCTCACCTTTAAAAACTCACACTTTTTATTTTAAATTTATTTTTATTTTTAATTTCTATGAGTACATAGTAGCTGTATATATTTATGGGGTACATGAGATAGTTTGACACAGGCATGCAATGTGTGATAATCACATCAGGGTAAATGAGGCATTCATCACCTCAAGCAAGGGAAATGCTAGATGCTTATGAAACCATCAAATCACATGAGAACTCACTATCATGAGAACAGCATGGGGGAAACTGCTGCCATGATTCAGTTACCTCTCACTGGGTCCCTCCCAGGACACATGAGGATTATGGAAATTACAGTTCAAGATGAGATTTGGGTGGCAACACAGCCAAACCATATCACATTATAAAATTAATAATGTGAAAATAGCAGTGGGCCTGAGTCCTGGCCCCTGCCATGTGATGCCCCCTTTTGGGGAGGGCCTGGCTTCTGTGCCATGCAGAAACTTCCCTGTGCTTCATGTGGGCTTGGGGTGATCCAGGTCCTCCTGGGGGAGCTGGGCACTGTGGGACATGAAGGTCCCTGGCCTGGAATCTCCATTTGCCTCCTTACCCCATCAACGAAACACCAGAGGAGCCAACTCAACAAACCTCAATCCTGGACCATAGGTGCTCAGGGCCCCGTGAGCTGCCCTGGGGCAGAACACTGGGCAGTGGCCAGTGCTTCCCCAACAACTCCCCCATGCACAGATGCCTGGTGGACACACTTCCCTTAACCCTGCTCAGCTGGAGCTCAGCCCCCATCCTAGTACCTCTGCCTCTTCCTCCAGGGCAGGATAAGAAAACCCAACTCCAAACCCATGGAGAATCCCCATCTTGGGCGAGGCCCTGGCTGGGACTCAGCCTCTTGTCAGCCCCTCGAGGAGCTCCATCTTTCCCTGTTTCCCTGCCCCATGGGACCCTGGGCCTCTGGGAAAGAGTTGAGGGTGTCGTCCACTCAGCAGGTACCACATGATCTTTGGGAAAAATTTGTGTTATACCTGCTCCTGGTGGGATAGGAGCCTCCGGAGCTGGGCAGTATTTGGGCTGTAGAAAACTGAGAAGCCCCTGACCCATCATGCATCAGAGCCCACTCCCAAGATGTGGAGCTGTCAGCTGGAAGAGCTGGGCAGTGGCAGGGGACCCCGGACCCTGAGGCCTTCCTCCCTTCCATTAGGTGACCCTACCATGTGGCCTCAGCTCTAGGGAGGTGGGCCCTAGCCAGAGGAACTGCACAGCAGCATCCTGGGTAGAGGTGCCCGGAGGGCAGGCCTGCCTTTGAGGCTGTGAGGCAGGGCTGCGGCAGGCAGTGGCCAGTGGAGGGAACAGGGTGGGTGCCAAGGGGCTACATGGCCTCTCCTGGACATGGGGTCAGGCTGGGGGACATGGGATGGGCAGACACTGCCATCTCGACTTCATTGGCCCATCTGTGGGCTGGGAGGGCAGCTGGGAGTGTGGCCAGCTGGGAGGTAGCAGGACTCTTGAGGAAGTGACGGTCACCTGCATGAACTCAGAGCTAGAGGGCTGTGGCTCTGGGACACACAGGGTGGCCAGGGGGAGGCTGCAGCGCCCTCTGCTGTTGGGGATGAAAGGTGTCTGCCTTGAAGTGAAAGGGTCCCTGTTCAGCTCTAGGCTCCTGTGGGACCCTCAGCAGGGATGTCCTGAAGGCTCCTAACAAGCTGGAAAGCAAGGAAGGTGCCTTGCCGGGAAGTCAGGATCGCCCAGGCAGGGTGGCCGTCCCATGGCCTGGCTGTGTGAGGCCCTGGGGGTAGCTGTCCGCCTACCCTGCAGGGAGTGCCTCTCCTCAGCCATCAGCTGATCCAGTGCCCAGAAGGTGTCTTCCTCTGGCAGATACAGGAGGAGGATGGCAGTTAGGCAGCTCATGTCCCTGTAGTAGCCCACCTCCTGCAAGAGCCAGAGTCACCATGGAAGCATGTCACTTGAGAGGGCTGAGGCCATCTGGGAGGACTCATGTCACTGGAGAGGACAGAGGTCACCTGGGATACCTCCCTCAGGCCCTAGGGGATTTGGGGTGCAGACTCTGCACCCCTCCCCTGACCCTGGGCATGAGGACTAAGCAAGTCCCCCACAACTCAGTTGAAAAGGGACCTGGAGGGACTTCTGCAGTGAGTGTCCAAACTCACATGGTCCAAAGAAGCACAGGCAAGGATCATTCATGTCCCCTATCCTGGGCCAGGCTGGGAAGGCCACGGTGCCAGGCCTGGGGCAGAACCTGTGAACTGCACCCACCACAAGGGCAGGCGGTGGGCCACTGATCACCACACAATGTGTCCTGTGATGGCCCAGAGGCTGCCTGCCAGGCAAAAGAGGGCAGGTGGGTCCAGACCCCATGTGGGCAGCCCATGGAGTGAGCTCAGTGGCTCTCCCTGCCTGGAATGGTCTGGTACCAGAAAAAAAAAAAAAGGTTTATAGAGTTAAAAAGGTACAGTAAGGTAAGGTTAATTTATTGCAAAAGAAAGAAAATATTTTTAATAAACTTATTGCAGCCTAAGTGTACAGTGTTTATAAAGTCTCCGGTAGGGTAGGTCATGTCCTAGGCCCTCATATTCACTCCCCACTCATCACTGACTCACCCAGGCAACTTCCAGTCCTGCAAGCTCCATTCATTGTGAGTGCCATATACAAGTGGACCATATTTTACTTTTTTTTTTTTTTTTTTTTTGAGATGCCCAGGCTGGAGTGCAATCCCGGCTCACTGCAACCTCTACCTCCTGAGTTCAAGTGATTCTCCTGCCTCAGCCTCCCAAGCAGCTGGGATTACAGGGGTGCACCACCACTCCCAGCTAATTTTTGTATTTTTAGTACAGATGGGGTTTCGCCATGTTAGCCAGGCTGGTCTTGAACTCCTGACCTCAGGTGATCTGCCCGCCTCAGCCTCCCGAAATGCTGGGATTACTGGTGTGAGCCACC
Organism: Homo sapiens; assembly: GCF_000001405.40. NCBI lineage: Eukaryota > Metazoa > Chordata > Mammalia > Primates > Hominidae > Homo > Homo sapiens. Next base: position 14,993,601 of record NC_000018.10, read on the forward strand.
ATGGCTGGCCTTATTTTACCTTTTATATTATATTTTTACTGTGCCTTTTCCATGTTTAGATACACAAGTACTTACCATTATGTTCCGATTGCCTACAGTATTCAGTTCAGTCACACGCTGTGTAGGTGTGTAGCCTAGGAGCAATAGACTATACTTGTATAGCCTAGGTGTATAGTAGGCTATACTGTCTGGGATTGTGTAAGTACATTCTATGGTGTTTGCACAGAAATGCCTAGCCATGCATTTCTCCGAACATATCCCTGTCATTAAGTGATATATGACTGTATAGTTTTGTATCTGTAATCGTACACATACAGTATAAAGCAGTTTGCCTTAAAATTACACTTACTTAACACATGGCTATACAATTTTATAAAGCATTGATTTTGTTTATAAACCCCACAAACGTCCAGGCGCGGTGGCTCATGCCTGTAATCCCAGCACTTTGGGAGGCCGAGAAGGGCAGATCACAAGGTCAGGAGATCGAGACCATCCTGGCTAACATGGTGAAACCCTGCCTCTACTAAAAATACAAAAAATTAGCCGGGCATGGTGGCAGGTGCCTGTAGTCCCAGCTACTCAGGAGGCTGAGGCAGGAGAATGGTGTGAATCCGGGAGGCGGAGCTTACAGTCAGCTGAGATTGCGCCACTGCACTCCAGCCTGGGTGAAGGGTGAGACTCTGTCTCAAATAAATAAATAAATAAATAAATAAATAAATAAAAATAAACCCCACAGACTTCCTCCTTCAGCTTCTTCTTCGACTGGTTTTGAGTATATTGCTTGAATATATTACTTTGGTTCCTCTGTTTTCTTTTCTGACTGGCTTAGCCCTTAGCATAAGCCAAAATCACTGAACAAGTTATATCCCTGTTTCTCTAGAGAACTTGATTGATAATTGAACTATGATTCAAGAGTTCTAAATATTGATGGGAGGAGAAGGCGGAAAGTCGCAGTCATCTCTAAGAATCTGATGAAAATTCACAGCTAGTATGGCACTCTCAGGTGAGATTTTTGTCTCATTAAATGGGAAATAGCTTTGGGGTACTGGCTTGAGTCAACAGGGTCATATGAATCAGCTATAAATTGTCACCTGGATTAGGTCAGAGGGGTCATAGGTATCCCTGGACCTTGAAATAAGGGCTCTGTCTTAGGGCAGTCACCCATCTCTTTGAACTTCAGTTTCTCAAAATGAGAATGACAATGATGAAATTTGCCCTCTGGAAGCAATGTCCTGAGGTGCTAGCCATCCATTTGGAAATCTGTGTTCGCTTGTGTGCACAATGAAAACAAGTGTAACCTGTCCATTCCACTGACTCTTCAGAGGTTGCTTTTACCACTAGGACTTGTAGTTCGGTTTACCGTTGGAGTGCTTTATTTAAACTCTAATCTAGTTATATAAACACACTTCAGCACAATTTATAGGCTTGCGATTCTTTCTAGCATGGCTGGCTCTTTTTTTTTCTTCTTGAAACAAACTCTTGAGTCTAGACTTTGTCAGGTTGATACATGAGTTTGGGGACTGTTTATAAGGAAACCATATACATATTCCAGAAACCTGCCTTGTTACTGATCTGCAATAAAGATGATAAGCCTTTGACTCATAAAAAGACACCCACGATATCCTTTGAAGTGCAAACCCTGATCTACTACTGAAAAGGGGCACAAAGAGATTCCTCAAAACTGGCCTTGTTGCTTTAAGAAGAGGTGACTATTAATGAGAGAGCAACTCTATGGGAGAGATCTTTCTCATGATACAAACTGTTAGCAATGCAAGAGGCTGGGGAATCTGTAAATAGTGACTTTCCTCCCGGGGGAAGTGCTTAAGCAAGACTGATTGACCATCCTCAAGAAACAGTATGAAAGGGATTCAATCAATCAATGGGAAAGAAGATGGATTTGTAGGTACCTTTCAATTCAAATATCCTGTCTTCGATTTCTCTAATAAGCCTAGGAAGACAGGATTGTGCTAATGACTCAGTCCTAAGGAATAGATCCGTGTAAACAGTGAATGTGGCCACCCTACCATTGGTGATGTAGTGCAAGTGATGGGGGTATAGTGTGGTAGTCCACTGGGTGTTTTAGGCCAAGTATGTAGTCCAAAGAACACATTTCTAAACTTTTAAAACACAGACAAATTATACTCAAGAAATCAATGTTCAGTGACTGTTTCTTGCCACTGCAGAAAAAAAACTAACATAGAAATGGACAAAGTTTACTTTGCCAATCTGTCATAGACTACAGACTATTAGGAGGGGGATCTCAGTAAAGGTCAGGCCTAAAGCAATGAGGAGAGAAGGGGAGCTCTTGGTCCTTCAGAGAGGACCGATGTCACAGCGTGATGACAGTCCAACTAGTACCAATGCACATGAGAAGCAAATCAGTTCCTGAAGCTTGATGCTATATATTCATCACAAATAAATCTGAAATGCATTACCTGTTCTCTTCTGAATCTCATATGGATCAGTATCTAAAGAGCAATAAAGTTCAGGAGCTGTGTCTTCCAATACAAATGACTATATGACTATAGATATAGATAAACATAGATGTAGATCTAAGGATATATGTACATACATTATTTTGGCCAATAATTTCTTCTCTTTCAACTACCAGAAAGTAAAAATATAGAGATGAAACAGTGGTGATTTTGTTACTTCTTTCTGGGTTTTATTGTTGTTATCATTTTTCTTTTCTTTTGTTTTTTTGAGACAGGGCCTTACTTTATCACCCAGGCCAGAGTGCAGTGGTGTGATCACAACTCACTGCAGACTTGACCTCCCAAGGCTCAAGAGATCCTCCCACCTCAGCCTCCTGAGTAGCTGGAACTACAGGTGTATGCCACCATACCCAGCTGATTTGTGTATTGTTTTTGTAGAGACAAGGCCTTGCCATGTTGCCCAGGCTGGCCTTGAACTCCTGGACTCAAGCAATCCACCTGCCTTGGCCTCCCAAAATGCTGGGATTACAGGTGTCAACCACTACTCCTAGCCTTCTTACTATCTCCTGTGTACTGATGACTCACATCCTACTGTGGAATAGATAGACTGCTTTTGCCTTCCCAGCATTGAATCCTTTTTGTCTAGAAATAACACCTTAGTTTTCCTTTGGGGAACCATATCACTCTACGCTTGAGTGATTCTGGTGGGACAAACCCCATTGCTGGCTCCAGATATGAGCTAGTAACCTAGGTATGCTGATACGGTTTGGCTGTGTCCCCACCCAAATCTCATCCTGAATTGCAATCCTCTTAATCCCCATATGTTGAGGAAAGGACCTGGTGGGAGGTGATTGGATCACGGGGGCAGTTTCCCCATGCTGTTTTCATCATACTGAGTGAGTTCTCATGGGATCTCATAGTTTTATAGCTATCTGGCATTTCCCTTGCTTGCTCCTCTCTCTTCTCTCTCTCTCTCTCTCTCTCTCTCTCTCTCTCTCTCTCTCTCTCCCCTCTCTCTCCCCCTCCCCCTCCCCCTCCCCCTCCCCCTCCCCCTCCCCCTCCCCCTCCCTCTCTCTCTCTCTCTCTCTCTCTCTCTCTCTCTCTCTCGCTTGCTGCCATGTAAGACGTGCGTGCTTCTCCTTCTGCCATGATTGTAAGTTTCCTGAGGTGTCCCCAGCCATGCCGAACTCAGTCAATTAAATCCCTCTTCTTTATAAATTACCGAGTCTCAGGCATTTCTTGACAGCAGTGTGAAAATGAACTAATACAATAAATTGGTACCACACATAGGATACTGTATAAAGATACTGGAAAATGTGGGTGTCCGGCAGTGGTGTCAGGATCAGCGTCTCCATGTCGGGCTTGCCACTCCGCGCCAGGGGCGGCCACGAGGGGCTGCCGGCTGCCAGCGCTACCTTGGCTAACTTGCACACTGTTGGCCCATCGCTGGGTGGCGTGGGCACGGGCAGGGCGGATGTCCCCAGGGGCGCGGTGCTGGGTCCCACGGCCACGGCCACGCTAAGCAGGAAGCTCTGCCGGCTCGTAGAGGCGCCCAGCGGCTGCCAGCTCGCGTATGTAGCTGCCCAGGGGCGCCGCGTGTGTGGCCAGCTCACACTGCGATAGTTGGGAGGGGGATAGCAGCAGCCCCTCCAGGCCAAAGCACAGGAAGTTTTCAGCTGAGCCTGGACTTGGGAAGCCCAGGAAGAGCACGCTGCGCCTGCGCGACAGGAAACCCACACGAGCCATGGGCGAGAAAGCGAGGTGCACCGGGCCACTGTCACAGCAAAACTGCAGCATGTGGCGGCACACGCTGCCCACGCGGCCGTACACGCAGCGCGCCTTGTGGACGTCCCAGTCCTCGCCGCGGCACAGGCGTGAGCAGTAGTAGGTGTAGCAGCTGTGGCAGGACTTGACGTAGAGGCAGGCGTTGAACATGGTCTCTGTGTGCCAGCAGCGCGCACTGGAGCAGGTCATCAGGTCGTCTTCGTCGGCGCTGGGTTCCGGGGACATGTCAGCCGCCTCTCCCGGGGCCGCGGGCTCCTGGGTGATGCCGGTGGAGGCTGGGGGCGAGTGTGGCGGCACCAGCGCGGGGGCCCCGGAGCCCGCGGGCCGCGAGTCCAGCAGTTGGCGCAGTTGGGGGCCCAGGCAGTGGGCTGCCGGCTCTGAGGCCTGGCCGGCGGGGGGTCGCAAGTCGATGACCAGGTCCGTGATGAGCTCGTCCAGCTGCTCTAGGATCCGCTGGCGGCCAGAGGTGGGGCCGTCGGGGGCCGCATGAGGAAGTGGCCGCGTGCAGCCCCCGGGCAACTCCCAGGCCCTGGTGCGCGCTCGGTGGCGTGCAGGTCATTGTCAGTGATGGTGATCTCGGGCATCACGTACCAGTTGCGGCCCGGGCCCTCACCCGCGCGGCCCTTCTCCGTCAGCGACGTCTCGGACAGGGACAGTGGGGCATAGCGTCTGGGCGAGGTGGACAGGTTCACGACGACAGGTGGGCACCAGCCTTCGGGGGACACGCCTCGCGGCTCCCGCACCTCACGCCCCAGCAGGTTCTCATAGCTGCGGCCACGGCCCCACTGGTCTCGGCACGGCCCCACTGGTCTCGGCACGGCCCGGGGCCAGAATGTTGTCCCAGGAGCACGAGTAGTGGCGGCTGTCGGTGGCCAGCCGGGGTGGACTGGTGCCGGTGCCGCCATGCCAGGAGGCGAGCAACCGGTCGGGGTTAGAGGACTGCACCACTTGCAGGGTGCGGTAGGGTCGCAGGCCCCAGTCCGCCCAGGCTGGGCTGCTGAGCGGGTGCGCCTACGTCCGAGCAAGGACGTCACGCTCACGGTATTTTCCGAAGTCCTCCGTGTAAAAAGGGCGGGCGGTGCAGTGGGCCCGGGGCTCCTCAGGGACATAGCGGGGCCCGTAGGGCAGGCCGTAGGCTCAGGGAGCCTCCCCATAGTAGGAGCGGGAGGACGGTTCCTGGATTGGGAAGGTGCGCACCTCTCCTGCGTAGTAGCCCCCCGTGCACCTTGGACTGGGCCCTGGGAGCTCCTCCGACGGATAGGGCCTGGGGCAGTAGGCGTCGAAGGTTGGACCGGGACTGGCCGCAAAGCTGCCCCGGAAGCCTTGGGGCTCCTCTGTATAGAAGAACTGGTGGGGCCCGGCGGGGTGATGAAGGGCAGACTGCGGCGCTCAGCGTAGTCACGGGGCCCAGGCAGGGGCTCGTCGCAGTAGAACGCCCGGGGATCCGCACGGTATGAGTCGCTTGGCGTCGGGGTGTGCGACAGCGCCATATGGCGGGGCCCGGGCACCGTGAGGCCGTGGAACTGCGGGGCGGGGCGGGCCCGCAGGACCGCAAGCCCCAGGCGGCGTGCTGGAGCACTGCGTCCTCTGGCTTGATGTCCGGAAGGAGCGCACGTAGGGGTAGGGACCCGCGGGTGGCTCGGGAGGTGCGCAGCGGCCCGCGGCGGCGCACAGGGGCGCGATGTGGCCGGGGCCGCCCAGCTGCGGCTGCAACTTGATGGGACGCAGCTAGTTGGCAAGGGCGCGGCGATGCCTCGGCCCGCGCCGCACGCTGGGCCTCCCGCCCTCGGCTGGGCAACACCTGCAGCAAGGCGGGCGCGGGCGTCAGGCCCGGGGGCGCGCGGGGCGCGCTCTTGGAGTGGGCGCGGCGGTGTGGCTCGGCCTCGCGGGTCCGGGCGCGCGGCACAGCGGGCTCCAGGGGCGGTGGCTCCGGCAGGGTCTCCATGGTTGGCCGGTCCAGCGCCTCCAGGAAGTCGAAGCTGCCGCAGTGGCGCTTGTTGAAAGGCGCGGGCTCAGCAGGCCGAGCCAGGGATCGCTCACATGGCGAGCGCTTGGACGCGGGTCCCGGGGTCGCCACCTTGATGTCCTGGTACACGGTCGACACCAGCAGGTCCGGAGCGTCCGTATGGGTCATCTTAAAAGAGGTCCTCAGGCTGGCGGCTCCAGCTCACACTGCCTTGCGGGGCTTTTGCCCTGGGGGGAGACGCGGGTCAGGGCAGCCCCATCCGCAGCCCAGGCCCCGCTTCTCCCCCACGCTGGCCCGGCTTACCTGGGGCGCAGCGGGCGTAGCAGCCCTGGCTGCGGGCCTGGGCCGAGAATGCAGGCGCTTCCTCCATGCCGGAGTCAGAAGCACCTGCGGGAGGAACCCAGCTGTCCAGGCGCCCGTCCTGCCCCTCCCCCGTCCTCTCCCTGCGATGGGGCGGGCGGGCCAGAAAGGCTTAGCGGTGGCTGTGGTTCCCGCAGCGGGAGCTCCCGCGTGAAGCTCCAGGGCCTCCCCTCCCCCGACTAGTGACCGCAGGGCCGGCTCGGGTGGACCCCTTTCCGGGTGGGGTAGGGGAGTGGGGGCGTGGTCCTGGGGCTGCGCCCTCTGGTGTCCGCAGCTTGAAGGACGGGCCGCATTTGGGCCTTATTTATAGGTGTTGCCCCACGAGACGTCAGTGACTGCGCCCCCGTCACAGCGCCCACTGCAGAGCGACCCCTCCGATCGTGCACAGTCGAAGGCGAGTCCCTGGGCCTCAGCCTTAGCCGGCTCTGCACCAAGTGGGTGACACCAACCACCCCACCTGCTGGCCGGGCCGAGCACAGAGCCCCGCCCCCAGCACTGCAAGGACCCACGCCTAGGTGCCCTCAACTTCCCGTGAGCCCCAGGCCAGAAAAATGCCCCCAGAGAGCATACCTGGGCCCTAAATCTCCCTTTCCTCTGCCGACACCTTTTCTGACCCTAAGTATGTTTGGGTGGTTGAAACAAGGCCCCAGCTTTGTGTAAACGCACAGGACACCCCCCTAGGGTTTGCACGGCAGTCCCAAACCATCGAGCCACGAACTCGTGGCAGCCCCTCTCCTCTGAGCTGCGCAGCAGGCCCGGAAGCTGCCCACTGGGGGTGGGCAGGGCGGAGGGTGGGGGAAGCCCCACTGCTTTGCAGGAGAGGGCCCTCCCCATTTCGCTCAGAAGGTTCCATGGAAACCTGCGTTTCTTAGGCCCCCACGCTGCAGGCTGGCCAGGGTTCAGATGTGGGTTGCCAACCCCTCTGTGGTCCCAGAGCCAGCTGGGGGGTGAGTCAGAGAGTGGCCACAGGCCTGGTCTCTGCACACCCAACACCTGGTCTGGGGGGGGTCTACCCCAGAGTGAGCTGGGGAAAGCGGGTACCTGGCCAGGCCCCTTGCAGGGCAGAACCTCAGGTGGATAGGCCTCTCAGGGTCTGGCCGGGTCCCCCCTCTGTGTCCCAGGTGTGCAGGGGCTTCCTGCTGGCAGGGCTGTTTTTCTGGGTCAGGGCCACGAGTCCCGGGCTTTGTGCCCATCCCAGCCTCCCCCACCCACCCCATCTCCCCCCTCCACCCCACCCGTGGCAGGACTGTCTACCCTCTTTCTCCCTCTTTCACCCTAAGCTCAAGGCCAGGCCAGAATCCGGCTGGATGACAGGGTGTGAGGCTCCACCCCAGGGAGGTGACAGTCGGCCTTGCTGGCTGCGGCTGTCGGTGACACCCCCTCCCGTGGGGATGGGGGTGGGGTCGGCCCTCTCCTGGGCCTAAGGCCTTCTGAAGCCCACGGAGATGGCTGGCGGCCTTCCCCACCTCCCAGCCCTGCCTTGCCTTGCCCTGCCCTGGCTCGAGCGGCCCTTCAAGGGATACAGCCGGTGTTGCCTGGGGACGGGGACTCCCCATCCTTTCGGCCGCCCTAAGGCAGCCTCCCCCGCCCATGACAGTGACACACTCAGCAACTCGGCCCCTAGCCCCTTACCTGGGTGCTGCTCCAGCTGTGCCCTGGTGGGCTGTGCTACCCCCAGGTCGACTCCTCCGTGTCCCTGGCACTGCTGCGTCCCCGGCACCGGCAGAAGTTTCCAGGCAGCAGCGTGGATCCTGGCCTGGCTGCTCAGTGTTGCCCCCGATGGCAGCTGAAGGGGCTGTACTTAAAGGGGCCGCACCCAGTGGGGGCTGCACGGTGGAGCTGGGGATCCTGAGCTGCACTGGTTCCAATTTGGGGCTGTGCAGAGCACAGGGTCCCTGCAGCACCCCCAAGACACAGACCTCAGTGTCTAAGCAGGAGTCCTGTGGCCCGGAACAGCCTGCCAGTCCCGCCAGTGTCACCCCAACATACTTGACTGAGAGGAGGGGCCCAAGCCCTGGCCTGGGCTGCAGAGATTGGTCAGGGGCATCTTGGAATTCGCATCTCCTGTCGGGTGAGGCAGGAGCAGGTGGGCTACTCTCTGCCCCACTGGCCTCTCCCCAGCCCCTATTGGCTTCAAGGCTGCCAATGCCAAAATCTTGGCGGGTTCCTGGGGCCAGATGGCCCCTGAAGTCTCTTGTGTCCCCAAGATGCCATCCTCTCTGGGTGAGGCCACTCCTGCATCCGGTGTCCCTGCCAGCCTGGGAAGGCCTGCACGTGACCTACCATACCTGCCTGGTAATGTCCTCGTCCCACTCTGCCAGCCCCTCCCAAAGGCATTGGGCCTGGGAACGTTCTATCTTGGCAGAGGGGTGGGGAGCCAATGCCCTTGGCTCTGAAGGGCAGGACCTACCCCATTCTGAGCTGCTCAAAGCAGGGCCCACTGAAACCCCAACATAGCCATCCATGGTGCGATCCTGGCAAGTTCACATACTGTTGACCCATCCCCACACCAGGAGAACCCCTGAACCCGGCCCTGACCTCATGGGCTGTGGGCTAAGGGGCCAGGCTCCTAAGCTTGCTGTGGGCCACAGCACCTGCTCAGGGACTGCAGTGATTGCCCCACACCCTGGGGCCACAAAGCTCCCAGGCACAGGAGCCTCCAGCTTGGCCACCTCCTCCCCTTCACTGGCACACTCTTCCTGCCCGCCCTGCAGGGTTCTCATGGCAACAGTAGCTGTGGGGGTGGAGGCTGGGTGCTGCTGACAGCTGGAGTGGGCAGGGGCCTGAAGGCAGGGGTGGGGGGGCAGGGCTGCAGGCGGCTGCCTGGGAGCCTTGCAGAGTGGACTTCCACCTCCTGGGGCTGAGGTCCCCAAGTGTGCTGGGTGCAGCTGCTGAGCCCTGGCACAGGTGGGCTGGGATGTACCCAGGGTGTGGCCAGACTTGGTGGGACGTCCTCACACCACTGCTGGGCAGCCTCCTGCCTCAGAGGACTTCCCTGCCAACCCATGGCAGCCTGGGCCGGGGCAGCGGGAGCAGAGGTGCAGGGAGAAGAACAGACATGCAGAGTGAAACAGGAGTGCTTTATGGTCTGAGTGGAGTGTTTGGGAGGAGTGCCTCCCAGATCCTGCCTGTGGGCTCACCTGAGCGGGGGCGCAGCTGAGGCCACTGTGGGAAACACAACCCCCACTCCCAGGAGAGGCCTCACATGCTGCCTTTGGTCTCTTGCCAGCCTTGCCTAGCATGGGGCCTGGGCCGCCCTTTAGGGTGGGTCTGCATACCGGTGTTCAGGGCTCCTGGCTGGAAGCGGAGCCATAGGCATGCTGCGGCCCTGGGTGAGCGTGGAGGGCAAGCAGGTGCCGGGGCAGTGTGCACCCCACAGCCAAGCGGCCCCTGCCCAGCCTCTGTAAACAGACCCTCACGGGTCCCTCCTGGGCCTCAGTCACATCCCTGAGAAACACTGGTGACTGGCGGCTTTGCCCCGAGAGGGCCAGGGTGTCCACCGAGCCTGGCTGAAGCCAGCTGTCCCCTCATTTCTTGCAGAGCAGGCTCATGCCAGGCCTGGAGGCCCAGCACCTGCAGGGCCCAGCCCGGGGACCACCAATGCCCAGCCTCTTCCAGCTCAGAAGTGCACACGGCAGCCGCCGGGCAGCGGCAAAGGCAGGCAGAAGTGGCCCTGGGGTGGGGGGCGTGCCTGTCACTGCCTGGGGAGGCGTTTGCCTCTGCACACCCCCAGGGGTTGTGGGATCTCAAACCAGGCCGGCAAAGCCCAAGTGTGGGGACATTAGATGCCTCTTCCAGAAGCCTCCTCCCACTGCACCCACCCAGATCAGGCCTGCGGGAGGGACCCTGGCCTCCTGGCTGACCTCTGCGCCGGGAGGACTCATCTTACTGCCCTGCACTGTGTGTCTGATGCCTCGCTCTCAAAGTCGGGGTCATCCATGACGAAGGACAGCATTTGTGCAGTGATGGGCCCCTCGGGGTCACTCTCGGACGAGGAGGCCTGCTCACCCTTCCCTGGCTCAATCTCAGCAGGGGGCCTGGTGCTGCTGCACTTCTCCAGACCTGTGCCAACAGAGGCACCACCTGGTCAGGGGGGTGCTGCAGCCCTCATGGGAGCTGTCCCCCTCTGTGGCTTCGAAGCTGGTATGGAGGACCTTTGTGGACAAGCACAGGGTCAGTCAGGGTCCTCCGGAGGTGTCCTGAACTTCCCCACCCCAGTCTCCAGGCCGCACCCATGGGGACACCTGCCCTTACCACTTGGTCTCTGGCTCTGAGCACTGCTGGGGAGCTGGGGCAGGGCCTTTTGGGGGATCCGCCACTTCTGCTTCCTCCTCACTTGAAAGAGTGATGTCTTGACTGGGGACAGGGCCCGCGGGCGGCGGGGGACTCCCACGTGGCTGGTCTTTGAGGTCCACATCGTCCTGGAACCCTGCCACCATCGGGTTGCCGCCCAGGGCCTCCCCATCACTGCGAAGCAGGGGGCAAAGCAGTCAGAGGCCACAGGGTAGGGATGACCGGCCGGGCTCACAGGCCTTGGTTCCAGGCACCCTGGTACCCAGCACACCCTGGCCGTGGGGCCACCACGCCCCAGGTGCTGTGTTGTAGTGGAGAGGCCCCCTCATGGCCGTCACAGGGCTTCTGAGCAGGAGGGGGTCAGGGGCACAGGGTTGGACACAGTGTTGCCCTGCGGCCAGTCAGTGGGTGAAGGATGTGGAGCTGTGCAAGTGGGCACTCATGGATGAGGTGGGCCCAGCTCAGGGCCACCGGGCTTTCTATCCTTTGCGTATTTCTGGAGGAAGCCACCGCCCCACAGCAATGGGTGAGGCTGAGGTGCTGAGGCCACTGCGCGTGGAGCCTGTCCAGTGGAGTCCACGCCTGGGACCAAATGCAGGGCTTTGCTGCAGGCAAAATTTGGGGCAGCTTGGCAGACAGTGGTGGGAGGGGCTGGCAGATGGCTGGGGAGGCGGCTCTAGCTCCCAGCTCTAGGACCTGCAGGACGCCGCCCCTGTCTCTGCAGCACCTGGGCCCTAGCCCTGCAGAGACCATATCTGGTGGCCTGAACCTCCCATATGACCTGGAGTGGCCTCGCCAATGGCCTCCATGTGGAATCTGCCCACAGAAGACCCCAAGGTGCCCCTGTCCTCTCCAGGGTGTGGGCAGAGCAGGTGGCCAGGCCTTTCTGATGTCTGGAAGCCCCGTCAAAGCCCTTCCCTCATCTGCTCCAGCCACAGATCTGCTCTGTCCTCAGCCAACAGTGACCAGCCAGCAGGGGGCCCCTTCTGCGCCCCCAGAAAGCCAGCCCCACTTGCTGCTTGGGCGCCCTGGAGGCTGGGGGCAATGGGAGAGGAGGCCCAGGCCCACCCCTCCCCGAGTCGCTGTCCTGCTGGGCAGCCTTGGCCCCCACCTTCTTCTCGTCCCTGGCGGGGGTTGTGTCTTCCAGGAAGCTGCGGTCCAGGCGGTCATCGGGAACAAAGTCCTCCACACTCTGGACTGTTGCTGGGGCCTCTGCGGCTGGGACTGGCTCTGTGAACAGTGATGCTGGGTCCTCTTCACTCGGCACCAGAACCCTCACTGCACCCAACCCCAAGCCGGGCCCACCCGGGATGTGCCCATGGGACTGGGACAAGCAGGAAGAAGCGCGGAGCGCTCCGAAATCCAGGGCCCCACCTGTGAAGGCGTGGGGGACTGGGACCAGTTTGGGAGGGGCAGCTCCAGGGCCTACCTGGAGGTGGAGGGGCTGCCTCGGAGGCAGGTGACGTCCCAAACAGCCTAGAGATGATGCTACGCCGTGGGGCGGGGGCTGAGGGGCACGCAGGTGGGGGCAGGGCCTCTGAGGGTGGTACAGGGGTCACAGAGGATGGTGGGGCAGCATTGAGGGGCAGCTGTGGGGCAGGCTGGGGTGTGCCGGGGCTAGAGCTCCCTGTGGACACGGCGCCTGGAGGCACCACTGGTGACTGGGAGCCTGAGGATGGACTCTGCCCCTTGGCCGCCAGTGGGGACGCATGGCCATGACTGTGAGCCTCCATCATCTCCAGGAAGCTGGAAGGCAGAAGGCAGGTGAGAAGCCTGGCTCCCCTGCCTCTCCCTGAGGCCCTCAGGTGACAGGGGGCTCTCTGCTGCTGCTGATGAGACTGTGAAGAGCTGCTGTGTTCTGGGCCACCCACCCCACAGGGGCCATCATCCCCATCCACTTCCAAGGGCAGCACCTGTGTTGGCTGTGAACACAGATTTCCAGGAAGCAGAGCATTGCAATCTCTCCCACCACAAACCTGGACCATCAGGGATGTTTCCATAGCAGCATCTATGCCAGTGAGGAATCTGGATGTGATCTGTGATGCTCTCTCCGCCTTTTCCCTTTCTCTTAGGATGGGACAGCCCAGCCTGGAGCAGCTAGTGTCCTGTAGTGACTCCAGTTTGCTGCTCTCTTCCTTTCTTTCTTCCTCCTGCCCTCTGCCTCCTCTGCCTCCTCTGCCTCCTTCACCTTCTACATTAGTAAACTCAAGTCACCTGCCTGAGCCTGAGAGTCTCATCTAAATCACAGAGTTCCAGTCAATGCCTCCCTTCCTCTTCCCAGGGAGTAACTTCAATCTTCCCTGCCTGCCGTGGGGAGCTAGACCCTACCCCTTATTCCCTGTGGGACCATCCACAGCCTAAGTTTCCTCACCCCTGTAATGGGACAGCAGTCCTGCCTGCCCACCTGGCAGTGCTGATTCCAAGCCTGGGGCCCTCCTGGGCAAATCGCCAGTGTGGGTGACATGGTGGGTGTTTGTGTGTGTGGAGGGGTGGGGCTGCCATCTGGCCATTTACAGACCCCATCCTTCCTCTCTTCCCATGCTTGTCACATGTCAGGAATCCCTCTCCGTTGTGCCATGAGGCATTTTCAGATCCATCATCTTATTGAGCCTCACATCTCCTTGGTGAAGTTGGAGTTATTGTCACTATTTTACTGATGAGTAAACTGAGGCTCAGAAAGGGGAAAGTCATTGCCCAAGGTTCCACTGTGGATTTATAGCAGAGCTGGGATAAGGATGCGTGTTCTATATACCCACTGGGGTGCTGGCCCATCTGCAGCCAAGGCCTGTCTTCCTGATTCCACGAGGACCCCTTCCCATTCCTTTCCTTCCCATGACAGCCACTGTCACCACCACCCAGGGTCTGTGCTCACTGTCACACCACCCTTCACTGACCCCTACAGCTGGGCTGGAACCCACCATGTCCATAAGATTGATTTACATAAATGGTGGTTGGGCTTCAAATCCACTGTCCCCAGACTGACACAAATTGCACCCCAGAACCAGACTGATGAAGCCACCATCACTCGGAACATTGCTGCACACCGAGGCTGAAGGAAATCACAAGCAGGGACTCACATGCAGCTTTCTAAGCACAGCCCCAAACCCAGAAGTCATCCATGGCTGATAAATTTGACTCCATGAAAATTAAAACTTTCTATAAAAAAACCCACAAAGTCAAAGATCTGTCAACAAACTCAAAAAAGTTCTGCAACATACATAAGAGATGACAGGCTAATGTTCGCACTGTATGTTAAAACCTACTGCAAATCACCCAACAGAAAGCCCACAGCCAGACTGGAAAAATGAAGAGACAGTTCAAAGACAAACAAATGCAGATAATTTCTTAATGTAAGACAAGATTAAAATGTTTGTCAACTTTGTGTGTGGCCCTGGGTGTGGCCATGAATGGGTAGTCACTAGTGGTATTCAGATATTCCCTTTTTTCTCCTCTTGGCACTTGGTGCAACTGCGTCTTCCCACCTGTGAAATTATGTACAGTCCTGCATCTTGCTTTGGAGGAGAAAGTGTGAGCAGAAGTGGGGGAAGCCGCCTGTGAGTCCTGGTTGCTTCATCAGTCTGGTTCTGGGGTAAGGACAATCATGTAGTGAAACGAAGTCTTCAGGGGACATGTTGTGTTTGAGAGAAATAAACCTCTGTCATGTTGAGTTTTGGGGTGTGTATGTGGTAGAAGCAGAACCTAGCCTATTCTGACAGATTCCTCCAGCATTGCTGGTGGGTTGACAGTATTAACATAAAACATTTGTGTGCCTTTTATCTCAAAATTCCACTTTTAGGAATTTATGAAACAGACACACTCACATTTGCAGAGAGCATGGATAAAGAGAGTCATTACAACTTTGACTGCAATAGCAAAGGACAGAGAACAGCCTACACACCAATCAATAGGAAATTAGTTAAGAACATTGTGGAACATCTATAGAATGAAATGATCTGAACCCAGAAAAATAAAGAGAGTAGACGTTTGTGCACCGATGTGGTGTTTATCCCAAGATTAGGGCTGGGTTAGGATGTTAGAGATCCCAGAAGCTAAAAAGATTAAGGTACCCTTTTAAATTATATATAATTTAAAAAAACATAGGTACTTCATTAATTTTTAAAAATGGGTTTAAAAGTACATTTAAAATATTTTTATTAAAGTAGATTATCTCTGAAAAGATATGCAATAAATGGATATATTGGAATTCTAAGGCTGCTGTAACAAATTACTACACATGTGGTGGTTTCAAATAAGAAAAATTTATTCTCTTGCCATTCTGGAAGCAGGACTTCTGAAATCTAGGGTCCGCAGGTTGTACTCTTGCCATGGCTCTAGAGGAGAAACCTTCCTTTCCTTTTCCAGCTTCTGTTGGCTCCTGGCACTCCTTAGCTTGTGTCAGCACAACTGCAATCTGTGCTTCCATCATTATGTGGCTTTCTTCCCTAGGACTCTCAGTGTCTTAAATCGCTCTCTTTCTTAAACCTTTCTCTTAAAATACCAGTCATTGGATGCAGGGCCCTCCCTAAACCCAGCATAATCTCATCATGAGATCCTTAGGTTAATTACATCTATAAAGTCTGATTTCCAAATAAGGAAACATTCACAGGTACCAGGGGTTAGGATTGAACACATGTATTTGGGGGACACATTCAACCCACTATCATGGATAACAGTGGTTTCCACTGGGAAGGTGGCAGTTCGGGAGTGGAAGAAAGATGAATTTTTCACTGTGTATTCTTTTGAACAACTCATGTTTTAAAAGACATTTTCCTTATTTGCAAACTACGCACCCAACAAAGGTCTAATATTCAGAATGTATAAGAAACTTAAATAATACTATAAGCAAAAAACAACCCCATTAAAAAGTGGGCAAAACACATGAACAGACCCTTCTCAAAAGAAAGAAATACAAGTGGCCAAGAAACATATGAAAAAATACTCAACATCACTAACCAGAGAAATGCAAATAAAAAGCACAATGAGATACCATCTCACACCAGTCAGCAAAGCTATTACTAAAAAGTCAAAAAGCAACAGATGCAGGCAAGGCTGCAGAGAAAAGGGAACACTTATGCACTGTTGATGGGAATGTAAATTAGTTCAGCCACTCTGCAAAGCAATCTGGAGATTTCTCAAAGGACTTAGAACAGATTTACAACTTCACCCAGCTATCCCATTACTGGGATTTGTCCATCAAAAAGACACATGCATTCATATATTTATTGCAGCACTATTCACAATAGCAAAGCTGTGGAATCAACCTAGGTGCCCATCATTGGTAAACTGGATAAAGAAAATATGGTACATATACACCATGGACTACTACACAGCCATAAATATGGAAATCATGCCCTTTCCATGGATACAGCTGGAGGCCATTATCCTAAGTGAATTAATGCAGGATCAGAAAATCAAATACCACATGTTTTCAGGTATAAATGGGAGCTAAACACTGGCTACACGTGGATATAAAGAAGGGACCAATAGACACTGGGAACTACTTGATGGGGGAGGAAGAGAAGGAGGCAGGGGTGGAAAAACTGCCTATTGGGTACTATGCTCAGTACCTTGGTGACAGGATCAATCATACCCCAAACCTCAGCGTCACACAATATACCAAGGTAACAAACCAGCACATGTGTCCCCTAAATCTAAAATAAAAGTTCAAATTATTAAAACAATTTAAAATAATACATACATTTTTTTCCTGTAAAAATGTTTTTAATCAAACACAAACCTGTCTCAGCCTCCCAAGCAGCTGGGATTACAGGGGCGCACCACCACTCCCGGCTAATATTTGTATTTTTAGTAGAGATGGGGTTTCGCCATAGCGGGTCTCGAACTCCTGACCTCAGGTGATCTGCCCGCCTCAGCCTCCCGAAATGCTGGGATTACTGGTGTGAGCCACCATGCCTGGCCTTATTTTACCTTTTATATTATATTTTTACTGTACCTTTTCTATGTTTAGATACACAAGTAAAGCAAAAAGCCGCGGCGGCGGGGAGCAAAAAGCCGCAAAAGGCGCGGCGGCGGCGGCGGCGGCGGCGGCGGCGGCGGCAAAAAGCCGCGGCGGCGGGGGCAAAAAGCCAGGGCTGGGAAAATTTGATATCCATACGTCAAAGAATGACACTAGACCTCTAACTTTCACCATGTATGAAAATCAACTCAAAATATGTGAAATATTTAAATGTAAAACCTGAAACTATTAAACTACAAGAAAACTGGGGAAATGCTTCAGGACGTTGGGCTGAGGAAAGATTTTAAAAATAATACCTCAAAAGCACAGGTTGCAAAAGCAAAAATAGACAAGATTAAATCAAACTAAAAAGCTTTCACACAGCAAAGGAAACTATTAACAGAGTGAATATACAAACTACAGAATTGGATAATATATTTGTAAACTACACATCTGACAAGTGATTAATATCCAGACTATATAAGGAATTGACTCAACGGAAAAAAATAAACCAATTAAAAATAAGCAATAGATTTTAATAGCCATTATCAAATGAAGATTATAAATAGCCAGCAGGTATATTTAATAATGTTCAATATCTCTAGTCATCAGAGAAATACAAATCAAAACCACAATGAGTTACCACCTTATTCTCTTTAGAATGGCTATTACCAAAAAGACAAAATAAAACAAGTGTTGGTAAGAATAAGGAGAAAAGGGAATATTTACATACTACTGGTGGGATTCTAAACCAGCACAACCATTTTGGAAATATGAAGGTTCCTCAAAAAATTAAAAGCAATTCTACCATGGGTATATATCTAGAGGAAGTAAAATAAGTATGTTGAATAGATATCTGCAGTCACATGTTTACTGCAGCACAATTTAGAATAGCAAAGATAAAAATCAACCTAAGTGACCAACAATTAATGAATTCATAAAAAATAAACGTATTGTGTGTATACACACACAAAAACACACACAGTCAAACACACACACATATAATGGAATATTATTCAGTTATAAAAAAGAAGGAAATCCTGTCTTTGTGACAAATAGATGAACTTGGAACTTGGAGAAATGTCTGTTAAATGAAATCAGCCAGGAACAGAAAGACAAATCCTGCATGATTTCACGACGTGGAATCTAAATATGTATCATAGAAGTAGAGAGTAGAACAGTGATTACCAGATACTGGAGAGGGGAGTGGAGATGTAAGGATGGGGAGACGTTGGTCAGTGGGAACAGAGTTACAATTAGATAGAAAGAATAATTTCTCATAATCTTTTGCACAGTAGGGTAACTATGGTTAACAGTAAAATATTGTTTATTACAAAATAGTTAGAAGAGGGGTTTTTAAATGTTTTTACCACAAAGAAATGATGCATGCGTGAGGTGATGGATACAGTAACTACTCTAATTAGATTATTATACAACATAGATATGCGTCAAAATTTAAAACTGTACTTCATACATAAGTGCATATACAATGTGTCAATTAAAAACACAAAAAAAATTAGCTGGGCATGGTGGCGGGCGCCTGTAGTCCCAGCTACTCAGGACTCAGGAGGCTGAGGCAGGAGAATGGCCTGAACCCGGGAGGTCGAGCTTGCAGTGAGCCGAGATCACGCCACTGCACTCCAGCCTGGGCGACAGAGCAAGACTCCATCTTAAAAAAATAAAATAAAATAATAAATAAATTAATTAATTAATAAATTTTGTTTAAAAGTTTGCTCTCAGGCTGAAAAAAAAAGAGAAATTCACATCTAGAATATGTACCAAACTTTGAAATTAGTAAGACAAAGACATCAAAGTAAAAAAATTGTCAAAAAGAATTTATCAGAAACCTCACAAAAAAAGAATATTCAGTTGGCTAATCAACATATGAAAGTACGTTCTACTCTGTGAGATATCCTGAGAATACAAATTTAAACCACAATTAGATATCTCCGTGCTTTTGCTAGAATGACTAACTCATTTTTCAAAAGATAAATAATAACAAAACTGATGACGATCTGGAGCAACTTGAACTCTCATACAATGTTGACGGGAATGTAAATTGATATTATTACATTGGAAAATTCTTTGGTAATATATGTTTATCAATAGATGCATATACTCTGCCCTAGCAGTTCTACTCTTAGATTCTCTATATACCTAAGGGAAATGAATTACATATTTACCAATACACACATTTACATATATACACACACACACACACACACACACACGTGAATGTTAACAGAATACTATTTGTAATAGCCACAAACTGGAATCAACCTAGTAGAAGTAAAATGTACTGATGATTTAATATCGTAGATTATTAAGAATCATATCACAGATTATTAATAAATCATGTAAATCCAGTAAAAAAAAGGAAGGTCTACTGATACATACAACACTTTGGACAAAAACATTATGCTAAGTGAGAGAAGCCAGACACAAAAGTCATGTATTATATCAAGCTTGTGCAAACCATAGCACATAGGCCACATGTGGCCCAGGTGATTTACATGGAATCCATTTTTCTTCATAGCATCTCGATAAATTCATCTTATCAACTGTCTTAAATATACAACACTAAACTAAATCTACAAAAGTTAAATAATGTACCACAAATTACACAATTAGGACTGATTCATAAGTGTGAAACCTGTGTGGTCTCATGGGGCTTCATGCTGAAAAGGGCTCCACAAATGGTTACTGCTTTGCTGTTGTCATCGTGAAATTTTTAACACTATTTCAACAAGGGGCATTGCATGTTCATTTTGCACTGTGTCTCACAAATTATGCAGCCAGTTTCATTTACCATAAACAGGTGAACTAAGGTTCAAATTCATACATATGATTTTAAAACAAAACAAAACAAAAGCATCTATGCCCTTGCCAGAACAAACATAAGAATTTTGATATAAACTGAATGTAATCCGCCTTTGACTTTGGCATTGAAAGTTTTAACTCTACTAAATGTAGGTAATTTTGATATCCTGTTGAGACATTTTTATCTATTTTTACACTTAATCTTGAGAAGAGCCATTGTCATAGATAGAAATTTAAAAGTTAAACAACATAGATTTTTGCCTTGAGACAAAATACTGATTTTTTTCTCTTATTTTGATAATATCACATAATGAAAGCACTTTTTCATTGAGAATATTATGATGTATTTTATTTTTTATTTGAGTCACTGTAATAAAAATGTCATAAAATTATAATTTGAGGTGCTACTCAGACACAAAATTAAAGAGGGTTTATGCTGAATCTTTAAAGACTCCTCAAATCTTACTTGATAAGTTTATTTATAACAATGCTTCCTGGAGATCCACAACTTACTTTAGAAAGTTTGACTTGGATCATGATCTTTTGACCAAATGTGATGTGGTAATATTATATAAAATAAAATTCTAACTTGCAACTTACTGCAGTTTTTTTCCCACTTCTGCGATGACTTGCCTTATTACAGTTTCTCCATATTATCAACTTACTGATATACTTTAGATAGCGGAATTGATTTTCAGCAGCCAATCTTTTCCCTCTTACATTATTTATTATTTCACAAATTCAGTTGAGATGAGAGAAAATCATTTCACTTGATTTATACATAGACTAACCTCATTTTCAGGACATTGTACAGTATAATTTTGGTATTTAGTCAGATGACTAAAATATTGAGCATGAAGATTACTCGTAATGAAAATGATGAATAAATAAAATCCCTATTTGATGGTACACAATACTGAATCTCTGGTTACATCTCATTATGAGAAATGAAATCTACCAATAGTCCAGACTAAAAATTTGATTAATTTCCAAGGTAAGAAATATACAGTTAATTCCTGCTAACACTAACACAGAAAAAGTGAATAAAGATTATCAAAAACTTTTTTAATAAAAGAAGCATTTCTGTAGTTAAAGTGATTAAGAAGAAATGAGGTAAATGAGAACAAACTTTATGAATCAGGAGAAAAATAATCATTTGTAAAAAAAAATCCTCAAATGCAGTCATCTTATGCTAAACTCTGCTCATATTTTTTTCAATAAACAAGCAATATTATATGCAAATTATTATGTAGTTAACATTTTTGGAAATTTAATTATAATGAAAAGAGTTTGGAGTTTTTTTGAAAGACATAAATTGAGTCTTTATTCAGATACCAACTACATGATTGTAGGCATGACATATGTTCTAGATCACGGATTTTCATCTGTAAATTGGGGAAGCTAATTTCTTTTTAAGATTATGTCCCAGTACATTATTGCATATTGTATATACTTTGCATTATTGCCTAATTCCTTGTGCCTGAGTTTATTGTATAAATTACTGAGGGCCAAAATTAAGTTGTAAACCAACATTGAAAAAAGAAGCACACTAAAATCAAATAGTAAGCTGAAAAATAACTAGTTTAAATTTCATCCAGATGTATCTGCTCATATGTCATTCAAAATCTTCGGCCAATTATTATTTACATTTAAAAAATGCAAATGATATCTGCTAGTACATTGGGAGTTTTACTATTACAACATTTAATAATCTTCTGTGAAGGTAAGACAAAATTGGAATGTAAAATAAGAATATTAAGGCTTGTTTCACGCAAAAATCTATAGTAGTGACACTTTTGATCTTACCAAATCATATGTTTTGGTCCCATTGAGGACTATCACAGATTTGAAATGATTTAGAAGCATCCCTGATCAATGAATTATTTACTGTGCACTTAAATATAGTAGCTACCATGGAGAAATGTACCAGAACTTATGGGATTTTTGTTATTGTTTGGTGTCTTCACTTGGGTGCCATCAAAAGTAGAGGCTGAGATAAGGTCTTAGGTGTGGGCTGGTTACTTATGAGGAAAACACAGAAAGTTAGAAAATGGAAATAGGGAAAATGTGATGGAGGGAAATCCAGTAAAATGTTGCAATATATTGCAATTTCAAGGTGTCTGCTCTACAGTACATGGACTCAATTCAAAACATATGTTTCTCTTGAGAAACATAAACGGACGTTTACGTAAAAGATAGGAGACCAGATTATTTAGTTAGGGCCCACAAGATCCTGTGTCTCAAATTATTGAGACTTATTATAACAGAAATGATATTTCCATCTTGGTTCTTTTATATTACCTAAGAATATATCCTGGAGGTTACTGCATATTTGTATCAAGAAATTCTGCCTCATTTGTTTTTATATTCCTCCATGTAGCAGAGAATATTTAAGAAGTCCACTGCTGATGGACCTTTGAATTATTTCCAATGTTTTATGTTTACAAATGAAATCATGATAAATATTCTTGATGATATGTCACTGTGAATTATTAACAGGTTGTATATGGGATATATTTCATGGTAATGTCAGGTAAAGGCATAAATGTATATGCAGTTTTTCAAGATGGTGTCATAGTCCCCTTCACAAAGATTTTGTTATTTCATATTCTCACCAACCATGTGCAAAAATGTCTATTTCGGTATAATTTTACCCACAGGGTATGTTGTTAAACTTTTGAGGTTTTTTTTCTATTTTTATAGATGAGAAATGGCATCACAATGTTGTTTAAATTTGTATTTTATTCATTATTATTGAAGGAGGAAAATATTTATAATGTATATTGGGATTTTCCATATGGAATGCTTATATATTGTGCCTGCTTTAAGATGGTTTTTGGTCCTTTATTTTTATTTTTTAACTTTTATTTTAAGTTCAGGGGTACATATGCAGATTTATTATATAGGTAAACTCATGTTATGGGAGTTTGTTGTACAGATTATTTTGTCATACAGGTATTTAGCCTTGTACCCATTAGTTGTTTTTCCTGATCCTCTCCCTCATCCAACCCTCCACCCTCTGATAGGCTCCAGTGTTTGTTGTTCCCCTCTATATGTCTATGTGTTCTCATAATTTAGCTCCCAGTTATAATTGAGAACTTGTGATATTTTGTTTTCTGTTCTTGCATTAGTTTGCTGAATTTATAACTGCGTGAATTTATAACTATAAAAAACTACATGTACAAGATGTCCAAGATGAACAAAACTATACAATAGAGTTCATTTCAATATACAACATGTATTATATTCAACAAGGCTCAAATATTTTGATAAAAGGAAACAGAGACCTCTTTTTCTAGCAGGAAGATATTTTTTCTTGGGAAGTTTTGTTTATGCTGGCTTGAATAACACTATGGTGAATGTCATAAGATTAATTCATTTTTAACATCTCTGTAAAAGCCAAGGATGCAGTGTGTCCATGGGGAATTTAAATCATACATTTTAATACACATATTAAAATTACAGATTCTCAAGTAATGAGAGCTATATATATGTACGTATATAGCTCTCGCATACTAATTTTTGATCTTGCAAAGTAACATCTCAGATTCTTTGCAGTTTTGAACTAAACAGAATCAAATATACATTAAACACCAGAATAATATTGAGTATCACAACTGAGTAAGATTACTTCCATTATACAAGTATGTCTCAACATTATTAAATCTATTGATATACTTCATCACATGAAAAGATTGAAAAAATAAGGCAATCGTATTATTAAATTTCAAAACAATTTGATAAAATGTTGCATTCATTGCCAATAAAAAAAAAACCACTTAAACTAAAAAATAAGAAATTTTAACTCTATTACTATAAGCCACAGGTAGAAACCTACTATAAACATACTTAAGAGAGACAAAAACAAACATTTTAATATACTTAGCAAAGGAGAAAGATTCACACCATTGGAGCCCTACTGCAATAATACATAATAAAATAGTGGAAAAATTTTTATTATAATGAATAATAAAACAGGGATACCTGCTATCATTCCTTTATATTTTTCTATAAAATACTATAATCCTAGCTAACTCTGAAGATGACACTCAATATTTGTAGATTAAATAATTACTATACGAAAATATGGTTTTCAAAGTGTGGCCCTAAACCAGCAGCAGCTGCAGGTTCTAGACTTATTAGAAATGCATTGTCCAGTGGCTCACGCCTGTAATCCCAGCACTTTGGGAGGCCGAGGTGGGCGGATCACAAGGTCAGGAGATTGAGACCATCCTGGCTAACACAGTGAAACCCCGTCTCTACTAAAAATTCAAAAAAATATTAGCCGGGTGTGGTGGCGGGCGCCTGTAATCCCAGCTACTCGGGAGGCTGAGGCGGGAGAATGGCGTGAACCTGGGAGGCGGAGCTTGCAGTGACCGAGATCGCACCACTGCACTCCGGCCTGGGCGACAGAGCAAGACTCTGTCTCAAAAAAAAAAAAAAAAAAAATGCATTGTCTCAGGCTCTATCACAGACCTGCTGTACCCAGTGATTTTTGCTGTAATAAGCATCCTGGGTAATTCCTATGCACCCTAAAATATGAGAACTACTAATATAGAAAATTCAAGAAATTGTAATACATTTCAAGATAATTAAAGATAATAAACTGAAAAAATATTAGAACAACATAAAATCCATAACATACACCGGAAATATAGCTTTATAAATACATGTATTAATGTCTTACTAAATGTCAGAAAGATATACAGAGCTAAAAGCTTTGTAAAATATGTGAGATAATATATAAACATCACCAGTATATAAAAAATACTCAATGCAAAACAAATAGAGATAAAATATATGAAGAAAACAAATGAATGACCTATCAAATATGTAAACATATTCCAAATCAAACACTCATGAAAATTAATGCAACATTATAACTTTTTTTTATTCATTACATTGACAACACTGAACGACCTAATACCCAGTATTGTCTAGGCCATAGAAAAATTCACACTCTTTGAAGTTATCGTGGAATTGTAGATTGTTAAAGCTTCTCCTGGAAAAGGGATAATTTAGCATTACTCATTAAAATTAATGTCAGATTTGTTCTTTGCCCCCAAATTTATACTTCTAGCATGTTATTCTATAATGATTCTTAAACGTGTAAAAACATGAACTTCCGTGTGTGAATCAAAGTATTATTCACTGATAGCAAAACACAGCAAGAACCTAAGTAATCTTTAAGCAGAAAATTATATAATAAATTTGTGTGTGTGCATGCAAATGTGTAGAAATGGAACTAGCAGAAATGACCTCTGAAAAATGAATAATTCATTGATAGAAGGGGAAAAAAGAAACAGCATAACCAATTTGAGAAAGAGAATGTTTCTCTTTCCAGTGTCATTGATCAATTTCAAGACCCCGTCTTTTCTCATGGGCCTTTAGACTGGGTGGGGGCATGTGTCCCAGAAATTGAGATTCATGGATCAGATGCAGCTTGTTCATCTTGTTCGCTGGTACAGGAAATGATGCGGAGCTCTTCCAATGGATTCAGAAAGAGTCACAAGTGGAGATTAAATTTAAGTGGATTTTAGCTGTCACTGAAAAGGAAGAAGAGGTCATGTAAATGAGTTTAAAATGATAGCACTTAAGAGCCTTCATAATGAAGGAATGTATTCCAACTTAGATAACAGGACCATTTTAATAGCTAATTTGTTCACTTTTCTGATTTCTTACTAAGTCCACAACATTCATTTATAAATTTCTTTAAAGTCTTTACATATGCAGTTGTTGAAACAAGACAAAAAGAAAGTCAACCACACAATAGCAATGAATACCTCTATCCTTATTATATCTGAAATAGTTTTCAGAATTATCATAATTAAATGAACTAATATTAAACATGTTCAAAATATATAGCTACAGGATTATATGAATAAGTGTCACAAATTACAAACATAAGTGACATTTGTTGATAGAACAAAGCAGTGCTTTTTGTTGTTAAAAATACTCACATTTTAAATAATTTGTGGATGTTAAGTTATTCTGGGGTGAGAATAGTAGCAACTGCTCAATTCTAGATCACAAAAATTGTGCACCCATTTCCTCTTGTAATGCGATAGGATTAGTTGTTACATTTAAGTCTCTGATCTATATTGAGTTAATTTTTGTGTACAGTGTAAAACAGTTGTCCAATTTCGTTCTTTTGCACGTGGATTTTCAGTTGTCCTAGCCTTGCTGAAAACACTATTCTTTCCCCTGTTGAATTGTTGCAGCACCTATGTTGAAAATTAATTGACCATAAATGTGAAGTTTTATATCTGGATTCTCAAATATATGCCATTAAATAAGTACAGCATTGTCTAATTATTGTAGTGTTGTGGTAAGTTTTGAAATCAGGAATAGTGATTCTACCAAATTTGTTCTTTTTCCAGATCATTTTGGCTATTCTGGATCCCTCAAATTTTCATATAAAATTAAGGATTAGCTTGTCAATTTCTGTAAAGAAACCATCTGAGATTTTGACAGGGATTACTTCAAATATGTAAATAAAATTGGAAAGTACTAATACATTCTATATACTAATATTTTCTTAATAATGCAAATGCCTTAGTTCATGGACATATTGATCTTGTGTCCTGCAATCTTGTTGAACTAATTTCTTAGTTTTAATAACATTTGTGGATTCTTTAGTATAATCTATATACATATTAGTATGTTCTCATGCTACTGATAAAGACATACCTAAGAATGGGTGATTTACAAAGAAAAAGAGGTTCAATGGACTCACAGTTCCACGTGGTTAGGAAGACCTCATAATTATGGTGGAAGGTGAAAGACATCCCACGTGGCGGCAGGCAAAGAGGGAATGAGAACCAAGTGGAAGGGGTTTCCCTTATGAAACCATCAGATCTTGTGAGACTTACTCACTACCATGAGAACAATATGGAGGAAACTGCCCCCCATGATTCAATTATCTCCCACTGGGTCCCTCCCACAACACGTGTGAATTTTGGGAGCTACAGTTCAAGATGAGGTTTGGGTGGGGACACAGACAAACCATATCATTGCAGGGGCCCTGGCCCCTCCCAAATCTCATATCCTTACATTTCAAAAACAATCATGCCTTCCCAACAGTCCCCCAAAGTCTTAACTCATTTCAGCAATAACTTAAAAGTCCACAGTTCAAAGTTTCATCTGAGACAAGGCAAGTCCCTTCTGCCTATGAGCCTGTAAAATCAAAACCAAATTAGTTACTTCCTAGATAAAATGGGGGTACAGGCATTGGATAAATACAGCCATTCCAAATGGGAGAAACTGGCCAAAAAAAGGGATAAAAAAACCCATGCAAGTCCAAAATCCAGCAGGGTAGTCAAATCTTAAAGCTCCAAAATGATCTCCTTTGACTCCATGTCTCACATCCAGATTACACTGATGCAAGAAGTAGGCTCCCCTGCTAGGCAATGCCCCGGTGAGGACACTGTGTGGGGGCTCCAACCCCACATTTCCCTTCCACACTGCCGTAGCAGAGATTCTCCATGAGGGCCCTGCCCCTGTAGCAAACTTCCACCTGGACATCCAGGCATTTCCATACATCTTCTGAAATCTAGGCGGAGCTTCCCACACCTCAATTCTTCACTTCTGTATACCTGCAGGCTCAATGCCACATGGAAGCTGCCAAGGGTTGGGGCTTGGACCCTCTGAAGCCATGGCCCAAGCTGTACCTTGGCCCCTCTTAGCCATGGCTAGAGAGGCTAGGATGTAGGACACCAAGTCCCTAGGCTGCACACAGCAAGGGGGCCCTGAGTCCAGCCCATGAAACCATTTTTTTTTCTCCTAAGTCTCTGGGCCTGTGATGGGAGGGGCTGCCATAAAGGTCTCTGATGTACCCTGGAGACATTTTCCCCATTGTTTTGGCTATTAACATCTGGCTCTTTGTTACTTATGCAAATTTCGGCAGCCAGCTTGAATTTCTCCTCAGAAACTGGGTTTTTCTTTTCTATCACCTCAGGCTGCAAATTTTCTGAACTTTTCTCTGTTTTCCTTTTAAAACTGAATGCTTTTAACAGCACCCAGTCACCTCTTGAATGCTTTGCTGCTTAGAAATTTGTTCTGCTACATACCTTAAATCATCTCCCTCAAGTTCACAATTCCACAAATCTCTAGGGCAAGGGTGAAATGCCACCAGTCTCTTTGCTAAAACATAGCAAGAGTCCGGCCGGGTGCGGTGGCTCAAGCCTGTAATCCCAGCACTTTGGGAGGCCAAGGCAGGCGGATCACAAGGTCAGGAGATCAAGACCATCCTGGCTAGCATGGTGAAAACCCGTCTCTACTAAAAATATAAAAAATTAGCCAGGTGTGGTGGCGGGTGCCTGTAATCCCAGCTACTCGGGAGGCTGAGGCAGGAGAATGGCGTGAACCCGGGAGGCGGAGCTTGCAGTGAGCTAAGATCCTGCCACTGCACTCCAGCCTGAGTACTCCGTCTCAAAAACAAACAAACAAACAAACAAAACATAGCAAGAGTCACCTTTATTCCGGTTTCCAACAAGTTCCTCATCTCCATCTGAGACCACTTCCACCTGGATTTCATTGTCCATATCATTGTCAGCATTTAGGTCAAAGCCGTTCAACAAGTCTCTAGGAAGTTCCAAAATTTCTCACATCTTCCTGTCTTCTTCTGAGCCCGATCCCTTCAAACTGTTTCAGCTTCTGCCTGTTACCCAGTTCCAAAGTTGCTCCCACGTTTTAGGGTATCTTTATAGCAGTGCCCCACTACCTCAGTACCAATTTACTATATTAGTTCGTTTTCATGCTGCTGATAAAGATATACCTGAGACTGGGTAATTTACAAAGAAAAAGATTCAGTGGACTCACAGTTCCACGTGGTTTGGAAGGCCTCACAATTATGGCAGAAGGTGAAAGGCACATCTCACATGGCAACAGGCAAAGAGGGAATGAGAGCCAAGGGAAAGGGGTTTCCCCTTATAAAACCATCAGATCTCGTGAGACTTATTCAATACCATGAAAACAGTGTGGAGGAAACTGCCCTCATGATTCAATTATCTCCCACTGGGGTTCCTCCCACAACATGTGGGAATTATGGGAGCTACAATTCAAGATGAGATTTTGGTGGAGACACAGGCAAACCATATCAATATATAAGACAATGTCTTCTGCAAATAGACAATAAGTTTGAACATTTCTCCCCCTTGCTCTCTCTGCTGAATTACCACTTATTCTCCACATCCATCCACTGAATGTTGCAGCCCCTGTCAAGCAGCTCTGACTATGGCTATTTTCTGTGTGTGCTACTAATCAGTCTCTCTCTTTGTCCCTTTAGGCCCCTGGGTGCCAATGGCTTTTTGATTTTTTTAGCCCTGAGGGACCTCATTAACTATTATACATTTCTTATAGTCTTGCCCATACAATTTTCCTACCTTAGAATATCTTTTAAATTATATGTTAACATACTAATATGTATAAAAATCTAAGACATAGTCTAAAATGATAAAAATAATTTGCATTGTGAAAAAATATATTACTTCTTTCAATCTAAGTATGGGAAACCTTAAATATCTAAGGCCCTAAATCCTATGCTACTGCTAATTTGCCTTTGCTTTTAAGGATTTAGAAATATTAATGCAAAGCAAGCACAGTGAAACAATATGTAGCATTTATACTGAGAATCACTATTTTGAGAAATTTCTAACCTTAGTGTATGTTGGGAATTTAGAATCTATTAAAACGTCATGAAGAGTGCTGCATTTGTCTTTCAATAGTGATACATGTAAGGCAAATGCATTAATTGGCTTTTGAGTCAGAACAGTTTTTTTATGAATTACATATTAGCTGCAGTTCAAATTAATCCATATGCCTCAGTTTTATTTGAGAGCAGAAAATGCCAGGTTTGAATAACTACCAATAAGTGACATGTCAAAATAATTCATATTAAAGTATTACATATACTTCAATATCCTCAAACATATCAGTCAATTTTACAATAGCTTCTATTGAAATTCATCATAATTTTCAAAGAAAATTAGGCATAGAACAATTATTCTCTCCTTATCATTGTGTTTAGTGTCTTAGAAATAAGCCAGTTACTGAGTGAGAGAGATTTTGAAAGAAAAAAGGCATTGTAAAACAGCACCTTAGGTGGAAGAATTACAGATTTTAATTGAAAAACATTACGCTTACATTTCAATAGCTGGCATTTCTCACTTTTATATAAAATTTTAATAATAATGGGTATGATGAAAAACACACTTGGTAATAAGATTTTGCATTTAAAATCTATTAAAATTTTATTAGTTTCTCAAATCCAGGAAGAAGATATTTTTGCATATAAGGTACATATTTTCCCTCCTGTTGTTGCTCCAGTGCTATTTCTTATAAGAAACTCAAGCTCTTTAGCATTTGTGCCTGCCTTATGAAATTTACTACTTTTTGTTTTTTTTTACTATTCTACTTATCATCTCAGTTTCATTTCGTTTTCCCACCTCCTCTCCATAATTCAGCCTGTAGAGATGTATTACTAGCCTGTGGAACATGATCTTTCAAAACATGCAGCCAATTGTGCAGAGGTCTGTATCTTTGTTGCTTTGATATTTCCAAGCTAAAATAAGGCAGATGTCATTATTGGGGATCACTTTGAAAAGATCTTAAATCATGGGTAATTCCTTCTTTTTGTATGAGGAATGATTGTCCACGGAAACTAGGAAGGCGAAGACACATAAAATCCCTGGGCCCATGTATGTTGATTATAAGAAGGTTGCAGGACCTGAACAATGACATTATGTCTGTGGATAATAAATACAGATGACTTTATAGCTTCCAAAATATGTTCCAGAAACAATTTTATGTTACATACATTATAGTCCTCATTTAATTAACAAACACATAGTTGCAAAACTTTCCCAAAAACTCACATATACCCAAATTCACAGCATTCTAAAAACAATTGC
This sequence comes from Homo sapiens, assembly GCF_000001405.40. Classification (NCBI taxonomy): domain Eukaryota; kingdom Metazoa; phylum Chordata; class Mammalia; order Primates; family Hominidae; genus Homo; species Homo sapiens. The sequence continues at coordinate 15,024,126 of NC_000018.10, forward strand.
TAAACCATCCACGTGGTACTTGCCAAATGATGGCCCCAGAACTATTCTGCTGACATTAATGCATTACCCATTATATAAAAAAAGGGACAAGGATGAGAGGGGAGAGGGGAGGGAGAGAGTTTATTTTAAGGGAACAGTGTGAATGGCATTCCATTTATCCATCACCATCTGTGGCTGAAAGGAAGAAGGCGTTTATCTTTTAGCTTAAGTCAAGTGAGGAGGGGAATTTCAGGAGAACACACACACACACACACACACACACACACACACACACACACAAACTCACCCATATAACCATACAACAAAACAAAACAAAGCCTTTGAGACCTTGATTTAAGCGCAGGATTTCAGGAGATACGAGTATGTTGTAGCTTACTGAACAAGGATACAGCGATCTATGTGTTTTACAATGACAAAGCAAAAGCATGAATTTCCCAAGGACTAGATTTAAGAACATGCTAGGCTTGTGTTATTGTAAAAGGGATCTTGATCAAGACTACCATCAAGAGAGAAAATGCAGCTGCAGCAAGAGCAAGAGACAAGGTGAAGTCCAATGGCTCACTTCAAAAAATAGTGGCCAAAGGACCCCAGAAAGAATATAAGAGTAACCTTCACTGTCATCCTACTGGAAGACAATTCCACTTTCAACATTCATTCACCAAGTCCAGAGAGTACCAACACCATCTCTGGTGTACCATACGCGTAAGCCTGTGTTCACTACTCCAAATATCAGCTTACCTGGGCCCTATCTGTTAGGCAAGGTAGCAGAAGAGAAAGTAAGGTAAGGAGAAGGAAACAAAAGCCATCACATTTCTCCCTCCACTACAGACTCCTAACACTGGAGTGAGCCCAAGTTAGGGGAGACAAGAAACGTTAAACAGATACATGTTTGTCATTCGGACTTTTTACAATGGATTGGACTATGTATTGGTACTGAATGAGTAGGACCATTTGAAATGTCAAAACATCAATTGCTGAGCATGTAATTATCAGGAGTGGTATGTTCTGCTAGAGATTTTATTTAGTGAGACAGAGAAAAAAAGAATAAAGTTGCTTTCTCCTGCATACTAGTGAATCCAGGATGATTTTTTCTTATAGAAACAATACTTTTCACATCCTGCTGTTTAGACAAATTCACATCAGCCCTTTTCTCACATATAAAATACATATCTGTTTTGGCACTTACAAACACTGAGGAGCAGCAATTTCCTTTCTTCCCTCATCACATTTTTGACATATCAATATAACCTTAATCAATTGATCATTGCCAACATGCTAATCATAAGCACTAGCTCAGCCCAGGTTTATTGCAATTAGGTTATTTCACAAGTTGAAAACATCCCCTGGTGGATTTTAATAAAACAGGGAACTTTGCTGTGAAACTCTAGTTGTGATATGTTCAAAAAGCACATGTTATTAAAAATTTTAGGGATTTAAACTTTTATATACATATTATGTGTTAAAATTAACATTTCAATATAAATACAATAGAAAAAGGGGGAGCAGATACAAAAAGAAGCTGGCAATACATAGATTTTTTACATGTTATCAAGATATGAAAATATTTTAATAAAGTACTGAATCTGTTTAAAATATCGAATTCTACTCATGTGTTAAAAGCGTGTTTTGAGTAGTTAGGACGCTCAAAATGCTGATTACATCTCCAGCACGTAGCCCGTGCTGGATATTTATATATCTGGTCCTACCTATTTACGAGAAAAATAAGAAACAGAAAAAGAAAGAAGCAGAAATTAAAAGGATAAGGAAGCTAAAAAGGCAGGCAACGAAGAGATAAACTCTATGATAGTGTTATTATTTATTTCAGATGTAAAGTTATATTACATATTCTTTTTAAGTCTATTTGTCCTCTAGCAGCAAATGTACTCCTACTTTTAGGATTATAAATCAAAACTATTTATTGAGAAACTGTCATAAGTCAGGCACTATATTCAAGCTATGATTCTTTTACTATTTGAAATAAGGTTTAACCAGAAGGTTTACATGGAGTTAAAAAGTGACCAAATATTTAAAATGACTCAAACTGAATATGCTTTGTTTAGTTCAGGTCCATTAAACATCAAGGGTAGACATGCCAGAGTTGCTTGAGTTCAGTACTGAGCTTGGTCAACTATCTCCTGCTGATAAATAACAAAGAGGCAAAGATGACATTGAAACTAAATGATCCTGAGAAGGTGAAGGTTGAGCCCTCTTGAAGCACATCCATAAATATATGCACACACACACACACACACACACACACACACAAGCCCCAAGTCACTTGGTCACTTCATAGGAAATAACTTCAACTACCAATGTGTATGTTTTGGGAAATAAACATGGAAGAAGATAGGTCAGAGTCAGCTTAGTGTCATCATCAAAAAATGCCTGTACTACTTGGCTCTTCTTTAAATACGATACTTGGGTTAGGAACAAAGACTCTGCTGGAAAAGCAGTTTAATTATCACCAGCCTTCTCAAAGCAAAGCACAAAACAACTACTGTGGGATTTCAAATCTGTCATCAATCTCTCTTATACTTCATTCATCACAAGGCCCCTGTATTTAACAAGCACTAGGCCTCACCCACTTCAAAGACCATGGGGAAACCCACTTCAACAAAAGTCTCCTTTGAGCCTATGTGGAGTGATTTTACTTTTTTCTTACTCTTCATCCCAGAAGTTAATTCCAGAGTTGGTTGATACAATAATCTTGAGCAATCGACTGCAGACCTAAACACTTCTTGGCTGACTTTATCCCATTTGAAATGCATAAAGTTACTGTGATTCAAGTTATGCCCTAGGTGTTGATTTTTTATGAGCCTATAATCCCAGAGATGTAACATTTGATTTGTTCACATGGTGTCTATAAGAGTACCTTGCAGTGATAGAAAATTAGAAACAACATTTATTAATAAGTGCCAGGTTTCAAGGACTCCTGATCCATCCCCATGACATAAATCCTGGAATCTGCAGCATGTATATTTGAAATACATTACCATAAAATATTTATAATTACTTTTTAAATTCTCTTGGACTTGTCTTGGTGTCAGAAATATAATATTTATTTATTATTATTTTTCTCTTGGCTCATTTCTCTGTGCATTTTCAGAGAATAACACTTGACCTAAACATTTGCATTTTTAATTTATTTATAATAAAAAGAACTGATAATTTGCCAACCGAGACATTATGGTGATCTTCACCACAAGACATAGATGCTATGTATCTATGTGTGTACATACTGTGATGCAAACAAAGAAAGTAAAATGTGGAGCAACTAGATAGTTTGTCCAAGGTCACACTGAAGGAAAGCCAACACCCAGGAATCTCACTCTGTTGCCTGTTTGCTTAACAATACCTTAAGCTGCCCATCTATCAACTGCAGCTCAGTTCAAATCCATCCTCCTTCGTGATCCCTTCTCTGACCTCTTGGACTCCAAATCCTTTGCGGCATCCCTACGACATTGGCTGTGTTGTTTATTTAGAACATATCATGTACCATTTTCCATTGTCAGTTATCTAAGTGGACTAAAATTTCTGGTAGGCAGATCCTAAATCTTGGATTATCAAGGACCTACACCCAATATCATCCGTAAGACTCAAAGCTAAGCAGTTACTCGATTTTATAAGCTCTTTAGAAGAATCAAAACTGGAGTATATAAAAAGCTTTTCTAAATACAATTTTGAATAATAGAGTCATAGATTTACTATCATTAATACTTGCGTATAAAGAAAGAAAACCAAAGGATTTATTTACTTTTGCATCTTATAATTATCCAACTCATATCTACCAAAAGTAGGTACTGATTACAGACCAATGTTTCACAAGCCCCAGTGAGCACGGATTGCTTAACACAGAGAGAAATTGTTATTCCCTGATACACAGACTGAGAAACAGAAATGATTAAGAAAGGCCTACCCGCCTGTGGCCAACCTCTTTGGAAGTAGAGGATATCTACATCATGTTTCCTTTGATGTTAGGAATGAGGACTCCAGACTAACACAGATTGTATTTTCCCTGATACTAATCATAATTTCCTCAAATTTTCCAGTTCCAACCACTAGATGTCATGCAGAGACCACAAAGTAGAACATCTTAGTGGTTTTCGTTGTTTTTTTTTTTCCCCACGTCGAGCATTACCAATTTTATTAACTTCAACATTTAAGGTGGTTTGGAAAAATTTTAAGTAACAGGCACTAAAGACACAGGTCAGTGCAATTTATTTCACAGGCTGGGTGCATAGACATTATGGCAAAAATGTATAGAATTAAAAGTACTACTTCATTCATAGCAAAGCATTATTTCTGGAATCTGAAAAATTCATGCAAGTGGGTTCCAAAAAAATAAAAAAGATAGACAGAGAGAGAGAAATTCTAAAGCCTCCCTTCTTTAGCAATCATGTACTTTACCCTGGTAGACAAAACTGGAATTCAAGAAAATAGAAAGAAAGCTTATATAATAGAAAAAAAATTAAAAGTTTTGGATTAAATACTAGCTTGGACATGTGCTAATTGAGTAAACCTGCTGTAGTACTTAACTTCTGTAAGTATCTGTTTCCTGGTCTGTGAAATGAGAATACCTGACATGCAATAATTGGGAAGTTTCAATAAAACATTGTGTATATATATATATATATATATATATATATATATATATATATATTTTATATATATGTATATATGTATCTCAGGACCTCAGAAGAGAATTAAAGAGTTATAGATTCTGGAGTCAGCAAGTTATGAGTGAGAGGTGAAGCAACTGGAAGAGGACTAAGTTGTCCAAAAAGACTGCAGCAGATTAAAAAAAAAAAAAAAAGAGCATCTGGCTTTAGGCATGGGAACATTTCAGAAATGGGTAAGCAAAAGATAAGAAAGAATCTACAGATACCAGTTTGGGTGTATAAGTAAAAAGATAATTTCAAAATCATTTCTTTATTGTTTATAATTAGATAAGCCTCCACTAGTGGGAAATGAGAGTAAGAAGACAGAAAAAAAATTGACCTCTTGAGAATAAAAATTCTCAAGGAGGTGAAAGGAGATGGGATTCAGACCTGGACAAGGCTGATTGGAAAGATAAAGGATCCCTCCAAGCATACAATTAAAAATACAAACAATAATAAACCAAAATAAGTTTAAGGGAGGCCAACAGAGTTTGAAGAAGTAAACAATATAACATCTCACCCACCACCACACAAAACTAGCTTTTTAATCAAGAGAAAACTTATAAAATGGGAATCATGGCCTTTATCCTAAGAGCCATACTGGATGTAAAAATCTCTCTAAAGTACATGATACATATTTAAATATACACATATACATACACACATACACATACGCATATATAAGTTTTTGAAAAACAAAATTATGAAAAATTTTTCTTTTTTATGCATCTTTTGCTTGTATCAATAAATCCTACAGTCAACTTACAATGAAGGCCAGTTCTTCTCAAACACCATAATGCTCTGCCTAAATCATTCATTTAAAAAATCATGGGTAAAACTTTATGAATAAAATGAAGTATACTTTATGTTAAATAATTTTGAATTTTCTCTATTTAAAAATAATATTGAGATTATGACTCCAGTAAACAAAACTGAAATGCTAAAGATTACATTTAAATAACACATTCTTTATTATTATTATTTTCTTATTTTAAGTTTTACTTTAAGTTCTGGGATATGTGTGCAGAACATGCAGGTTTGTTACATAGGTATACATGTGCCGTGGTGGTTTGCTGAACCTAACAAACTGTCATGTAGGTTTTAAGCCTCGCATGCATTAGGTATTTGTCCTAATGCTCTTCCTCTCTCCCCTTGCCCCCCACCCCCCGACATAGTGCATTAAAACATCAAGTATTGTAATTTGCAGTTTGTGATACACCATTTAGGCTAGAATAAGAAACCTTTTAAGTATGAAATAGGAAGACATAAAGAAATTAATTAATTTTTAAATTTAATTTTAAATTTTCAATTAATGTTTATATTTTAATAATAATGCTTATAGTTTAATATTAGCTATTGATGTTTTATCTATAAAGGTAGACTATGAAATTTACTTTTTACATATTTCAACTTTCTTAGTTTTCAAGATTTTTCAAATCATGTACATATTTGATGATTTTTATGATTCATTGAGGTAACTATTTGATAATATTGTTCAAAATGACCACATTAATTATGTTTTTAGTAATGATTTACTCCCCAAAAGGTATATGTTTCCACCTTAAATTCCTGTAAATAAAATTCTTGTGATAGCTTCTTAAAAAGTAAGAGAAAAGAAAGACAGAGAAAACTGATTCCTTTCTACTTGGAGCTTGATTTCAAATATGTAAACCCCAACTACGTAATTCTGTACACAGGGATCTCATTATTTATTTTCATAGTTGCTGCTTTGTTTAAAATTTTGTCTCTAAAGTTTGTATTTGGCAAGACAAATAGAAATAAGCTGGTTTATAATTTTTCTTATTCTAAGATGTGCATGTGTATATGTGTAAGTATGTTTTAATTTCTAATGGCCTGTCCAGATGATGGTATCACTCCTGGAGACATGGCAACCCATATGAGAATGTTTATATACACTGGGGTGGAGAAGAACAACCATGCCCACATCCTAATTTAAATCACCTTCACCTTTGAAATGTTAAAACTGTATGTGTCCTTTTCAATTTCTCTCTGCTCCTCCTTTTCTCCTATGCTCTTGCTCAGAAAACATTTAATTTCAACTCAGGTGTATTTATTAGAAAGAATCCTTCCATTTTAATTTTTTAAAAGTCATTGGAAGCAGATCCTGTGTCCTTATAAAATTCCACAATAAAACATTTACTTTTGTAAGCTATGTGTACCTAGATGGTGATATTATTGTTAGGAAATAAAATGAGAGCATTTGGTAACTATGGCAACATGATATGTTTCAAAAGAAATATGAACTCTTTTTCCTTGACGAAATCAGATATTTTCCTTGGCTGGTACTTAGGGATCCAAGTCTAGAAGAGAAATAGGAGTTTTAAAGGCTCACTATTTTAGTCTTTTTTTTTGGGGGGGGGAAATTGTTCACTTAGCCACATCTGACAAAATAAAAGATTAAATTTGAGGCTGCAGAAACAAAACTGCAGTTGTAATTTGCCAGCACCTAGTCCATGTTAGGGTAAACAAACACAGTCAATTCCCATTTGTCTAAAGTTTAAGCAATAATAATTTTCAAAAATGGAATTTCTTGCCTTATTATTTTTTCTCTGAAACGCACAAAATGAGAATGTGTTAGTCTAGTCTCATGCTGTTGATAAAGACATACTGAAGACTAGGCAATATACAAAGGAAAGAGGTATAATGGAGAACTCACAGTTCCACATGGCTGGGGAAGCCTCACAATCATGGCAGAAGACAAGGAGGTGCAAGTCACATCTTACGTGGATGGCAGCAGGCAAAAAGAGAGCTTGTGCAGAGAAACTTAACATTTTTAAAACTATCAAATATCATGAGACTCATTCACTGTCTTGAGAACAGCGTAGGAAAGATCCACCCCCATAATTCAATCACCTCCCACCCGGTTCCTCCCAGGACATGTGGGAATTGTGGGAGTTATAATTTAAGATGAGATTTGGGTGGGGACACAGCCAAACCATATCAGAGAATATTCCTTACATAAAGATATATTGAAAAATGTTACTTCTTGTTTCAGTCATTACACAATAATAGAGTCCAACTTCTAAGTCAATAGTTTTAAACAAACAATTTATTTTCACCACAAAGATTCCAAAACACTATGTGACTGTGAATTATCATCCTAATCACATTAATTTTTTGGTATAATTTTAGGGTTAGTTTGGATTATTTATGTATGGGTTCTGTGAAAATTATGACAGTAAAATATGCCTGTAGCCATTAGCCTATAACAGGAGATCTCATTGTGAGCTCAAGGAAGAAGTAAACACACTGAAATTTCTATATTGGTGCAGGATGATGGTAATTGCAAGAAAGGGCTTAAATAAAACAGTAGAATAAAATTCAATCTGATACAAAAAAGTCAGAGGCAAGACAAAAATAGTTTATAAATATAAAATAAGGAATCAAATCTAAGCTTGTGCATGAATAAGATAAAAAAATTATCAAATTCATGTTCAGTCTGGTAGGAGTGACCTAGACAAAACATGAGGAAGAAAGAGGGACTATCTCAGTAATTTTATGGGATTATTATGACTTTTAAAAATATTTGATCTTTTGAACATCTCACAGGATAAAATATTGAATTAATTAGAATATTTAGTTGACTGAAACACCCATTTTCCTACTCATTTTAAAAAACTGAATTTTAATGTGTATAAGTATAGATTAATGAACGTATACATAAACAGAGAAAGAGAGAGAGGGAAAAAAACATTCTCTGCATATTGTTTCTTCTTGCAAGAATGTTAAGAACAAAGGTTTTTCTTTATGTCTCTCTCCAATTAAGTTAAAGATGGTGGAGCTGCATACTAGTTGCTATTATAATAGCTTTTGCATAACATTTTATTCACAGTTGGGAAAAACAAATGAGCAAATAAACATTGAGATGTAAAAGCAGTATACCACTACCTTTAATGTACCAGTCTTTATTAGGTAAGAGAGTGTATTGATGTGTATATTATCTTCTGCTTTATGAGGTAGCTTACTTTCACCTGCTTAGGTGGGAACAGATAGATGATAGATGGATAGATAGATAGATAGATAGATAGCCAGATAGATTAGATAGATAGCCAGATAGATTAGATAGATATATAGACATATAGGTAGATGGATAGATAGCGTCTTAGTCCATTTTGTGCTAATGTAGCATACCTTAGACTGGGTGATTTATAAAGAACAGAGACTTATTTCTTACAGTTCTTGAGACTGGGAAATCCAAGGTTGAGGAACCTACATGTAACAAGGACCTTCCTCCTGTGTTATCCCATGGTGGAAGGCAGAAGAGCAAGACAGCATGTATGCATGTGACAGAGAAATAGGAATAGTGCTGAACTAATCCTTTTATCAAGAACTCACTTCCTAGGTAGCTAACCTACTCTCAAGATAATGGCATTAATCAATTCATTCAGCAGAGCACTTGTAACCTAAGTTACCTCTTAACAAAAACATTTTTGTCAACTAAAGTACAGTGTTCATGAGACAAATAAAATTCATTTATATCATATATAAAGTAACTTAGGTTAGCACATTTTCTTCCTCTACTGACTTCAGTGAGGTTGTGTCACACATGTGAAATACAGTTAGATTTTTTTTGCTTAGTTGGTGTCAGGGATCTCCAGACATACTATATGTTTCTTTTTAAATTTGCATACATTAAGGTTTACTATTTCTTCTGTAAAGTTCTGTTGGTTTTGACAAATATATAATGCCATGTATCCACTATTGCAGTATCATACAGCATAGTTTTATTGACAGAAGAATCATTTGTGCATCAATTATTCTTCCATCCTCCTTTACTCCCCACAAACATTTGGCAACCCCTGATAGGGTTCTTTCTTGTGGAATATCACATAATCAGAATCATTAGTCTGTATCCTTTTCAGATTGGCTTATTTCACTTAGAAATTTGCATTTAAGATCCTTTCATTTTTTTCATGGTTTGATTACTCATATCTTTTTATCATTGAATATTATCTCACCATATGGATGTATCACAGACTATCTGTTCACCTCTTGGGGAACGTCTTGATTGCTACCAGTTTGGGGTAATTATGAATAAAGCATCTATAAAAATATAAATAGAATTTTTGTGGGCAAAAATTAACAAATAAGTTTAGTGAAAATCTAGGAGCATGATTGCTGAATTATATGTTTAGCTTGATAAGAAATTGAAAAGCTTGGGAGGCTGAGGCAGGAGAATGGCATGAACCTGGGAGGCAGAGCTTGCAGTGAGCCAAGATTGTGCCACTGCACTCCAGACTGGGTGACAGAGTGAGACTCTGTCCCAGAAAAAAAAAAAAAAAAAGAAAGAAATTGAAAAGTTGCCTTCCAAGGAATCTGTACGGTTTTTCATTTCCACCAGAAAAGAATGAAAGTTCCTGTTACTCTGCATTCTTCTCAGTATTAAGTATTATCAGATTTTTAGATTTTAGCAATTCTAATAAATAAGTAGTGGTTCCTAATTGTTTTAATTTGCAATGTTCTAGTAACAAATGATGTTGACCATTTTTATTTTCTATCTGTGTATCTTCTTTGATGAGGTGTCTATTTAATCTTTTGCCAACTTTCAAATGTGATTGTTTTCTTATTGTTGAGTCTTAAGTGTTTATTGTATATTTTGGATACAAACCTTTTATCAGATGCATGTCTTGCAAATTTTTTCCCAGTCTATTACTTTTTAAAAATTATCCTAACAGTGACTTTCACAGGGCTGAAGTTTTTAATTTTAGTAACATCTAAGCTTTCACAGAATCTTTTTGTGGTTGTATCTGAAATCTTATGGCCAAATTCAAGGTCACCTAAATTTGCTCCTATATTTGTAGTTTTGCATTTAAATCTATGTCCTATTTTAAGTTGATATTTTGTGACGCTCTGAGGTTCGTGTGTCCAGGTTCATTTTTTTATGTGTGTGCAGAAGGATATCCCATTGTTGCAGCACCACTTACTGCATTTATTGCAAAGACTATTCCTTTGCTATTGAATTGCATTTTGCTCCTTTGTCAAAGATCAGTTGATTACATTTGTATGAGGCCTATTTCTGGACCCACTAGTTCCACTGAACTATGTGTGAATTCTTTAGTCAATACCACACTGTCTTGACACTGTGCCTTTATAGTAAGTCTTAAAATCGGGTAGTATGCATCCTCCAACTTTATGGTTTTTCAGTTTGCATTGAGTATTTCAGGTTTTTTGACTTTTCATATAAACTTTATATATCTGTTTGTTGATATCTAAAAAAAGTATTTTTCTAAAAAATTGGGATTGCATTGAATATATTCATCAAATAGGAGAGAATTAACATCTTAACAATATTTAGTGAAGTAATGTTGAACTTATCACACTTTATTTAGATCTTCTGTAATTTCTTTTATCAGAATTTTGTAGTTTTTCACATGTAGTAAAAGACATGTAGATTATTAAAAAATTTTGTCTGATTTATATCAGTATTTATTTTCATGTCTGTGCAATTGTAAATGGCATTTTTAGAAACTAATATTGTTTCTCATTGCTCACTGCAAAGGATGAATTTCATAGTAAGTAACTAACTTTTGTATATTGACCTTGTTTTCTGAGATCTTATACTTAAATTAGATTTTAAAAACTTCTTGTTTTTGCAAATTCCTTGAGATTTGTTATATAGATAATAATATAAACTCAGCACAGATAGTTCTAATTCTTCCTTTTCTATCTTTTTTATTTCTTTTCTTGTCTTATTGCTCTAGTTAAGACTTTTAGTATGATGTTGAGTAGAAATGATGAGAGAAGTTATCTTTGCCTTGTTCCCAGTCTTAGAAGAAAAGCTTCCAGTCTCTCAACATTAAATATGATTCCACCTGTAGGATTTTTGTAGGTGTCTTCATCAAATACAGGGAGTTCCCATCCTCTCTACTTCTAATTTGTTAATACTTTTTATTATGAATAGGTGTCATGTATTTTCAAATGCTTTTTCTGTATCTATTGATATAATTATTCAATTTTCTTCATTTGTCTTTAATGTGGTAGATAACACTGACTTCTGGATGTAGAACAGCCTTGTGTCCCTGGAAAAATTCCTTCTAGATCATGGTGTAGAATTATTTTTATATGTTGTTGTTTTATTTGTCAATATTTTATTGAAAAATTTTGAATCTGTGTTCATGTGAAATTTTCACCTGTGTTCATAATCTTTAGTTTTCTTTTCTGTAAGGGTTTTATCCATATTTAGTATTAGAGTGACACTGTCTTCATAAAAAATGTTAGGAAATATTCTTGTTTTTTTCTACTTCCTGACAGAGGTTGTGGAAAATTTGTACAATTTCTTCTTAAACAATTGGTGTATTTCAGCAGTGCAACCATTCAAATATTGTGGTTTCTTATTTGAAAAGTTATTAGTTATTGATTGTCATATTTTGTTTTATGTGTTAACTTTCCTGGATCACGGGATCCAGACATCTGTTTAGACAACATTTCTCAGTGTCTCTGTCATGGTATTTATGGGAGAAATTAACATTTTTATCAATAGACATAGTAAACTTGATTGCCCTTCTCTATGTGTGATATCAACTAATTCAGTGAGCATCTGAATAGAAGAAAATGGTGAAGGACAGGAGAATTCACTCTTTCTCTGCCTGATTGATTGAGCTGGAATATCTATTCCTCTCCTTTCTTTGAAATGCCAGGCCTACAAACTGGGACTAAAATTACACCATTGAATCTTTGACTTTCAGGCCTTCAGACTACACCAGCTGGGTCTCCAGGTTTCAGAGGACAGATTTTATTGATTTTATTTCTCTGGATAACCCTGACTAAGACATATATTGGTACTGGGAGTGGTTTTACAGAAACAGAATTTTATAAATAACTTTCCCAAATTGATGCTGTAGATTTTGGAATAAATTGTCTAATCTGATTAGATGTAAAGGTTTGGATGACTCTATTTCCGGTAGTAAAGAGAGCACTAACATCCATGACATAATCTGGTAATAGAGATATACAAAATATCTGCCTTGGATGCCACTTATAAAAAGCAAGGAACTGAATGACTGTGTAGATGATGCTTTTGAACAGTTTTGGAAAACTAACAAATATAACAAGGTTGGCCGTTTGCTCCTAATGTCACTGGACAAAGTGGTGAAAGAAAAGGATGAGCTTAGGATTTAAATTCCCACAAGCATAAGTGACCTGAGGACTTATTGTCATCTGAAGATAACTCTTATTTTTGGTGTCCACAGAGTTGAGATTGCAGAAAGTGAAATGCAGAATCTCATCCTGTGAATGGCTGAATTGTAACGGAAATTAAACTCCAAGTCTTTCAGCATGTTCTTGTTAAAGCAAGAACATTTGTTGAGATAGAATGGGGAAAGGGTTTCCAGAAGGCTGTGTATGTTCTGTATCAGCATCTGATATATGATCCTGTTTCTCCTACAGCCAGCATTCGTGGGTCTAGGAATTAAGGAGTAGAAATGGGAGTGAAAACCCTCACTACTACCACTACTAACTCACTAGCAAAATATTTATTTTCTTTTCCCAAACCCTGTGCTGTGCTGGGCTGGAGGTCTTAGTTGCAAAGGGAGGAGTCCTTCCATTAGGAGACACAATAATGATTCCATTGAAATGGAAGCTAAGACTCACCTGGCCACTTTGAACTCCTCATGCTTCTCAATCAATAGGCAAATAAGGGAGTTAAAGTACTATCTGGGGTGATCCTGACTACCAAGGGGAAATTGGACTGCTAGTTCATAATGTAGGTAAGGTAAAATACATTTAGAGTGTGGGTGATCCCTTATAGTTTTCCTTAGTATTACCATGCCCTGTGATTAAGGTTAATAGGAAACAACAGCCCAATGAGGACAAGGTTGTTAGTGATCACAGCCCTTCAGGAATAAAAAATTGGGTAACCACAAAAGACAAAAAACCACTACCAGCTGAGGTGCTTCCTGAAGACAAAGGGAATACAGAATGGTTAGTTGAATAAAGTAGTTATAAATACTAGCTATGACTACATGACCAGTTACAGCAATGATAATTTTGATTGTCATAAATATGATCTCCCCATTTTGTTATAAATGCATTTTTGATTGTGTATATATTGTGTATATAATACCGTTGTTTTCTTCTTTCTCCTATTCTCTTATCATGTAACATAAGATATATTGGCTTTATATCATAGTATTTAAGTATGTAAGGAGATGAATATAAGTGCCACATTGACAATTAGTGTATTTGTGAAAGTTAATTTTGTTAACTTGACTGGATCACAGGATGCCCAGATAGCTGATTAAACGCTATTTCTGGGTGTGTCCATGAGAGTGTTTATAGAAGAGATTGGCATTTTAATCAGCAGACTGAATAAACTGAGTTGGCTTCCCCATTGTGGATGGGTAAGATTTAGTCCCTTGATAATTGAATAGAGCAAAAAGATGAAAGAGAGAGGATTCATTCTCTTTCTGCCTACTTGAACTGAGACATCAATCTTTTCTTGCCCTTGGTCCTTCTGTTTCTCAAGCTTTCAAACTCAGACTGAAATCTATACCATTGGCTCTCTGGCTTTCAGGCTTTTGAACTACACCACTGACTGTCCAGTGTCTCCATCTTGCACAGATGGGATTTCTCAGACTTTATAATTCCATAAGCCTATACCTCATAATAAATCATATATATATATATAAATCATAATATATATTATATATATAATATATATATATAGCTATAGCCAGATCATAGATAGATAGATAGATAGATAGATAGATAGATAGATAGATAGATAATTAGTTTGTTCTTAGGCTGCTGTAGAGAAATACCTGAGGCTAGGTAATTTATAAAGAAAAGAGGTTTAATTGACTCACAGTTCCACATGGCTGGAAAGTCCTCAGGAAATTTACAAGCATGGCAAAAGGCACCTCTTCACAGGGTTTCGGGAGACAGAATGAGTGCAAGCAGGGGAAATGTCAAATTGTTATAAGACCATCAGATCCCACGAGACTCACTCATTATCATGAGAACGACATGAGGGAACTGCCTCCATGCTACAATTACCTCTACTTGGTTCTGCCCTTGACACATGGGATTATTACAATTCAAGGTGAGATTTGGTTAGAGACACAGAGCCAAACCATATAATTTCACCCATGGCCCTCTCAATTCTAATGTCCTCACATTTCAAAACACAATTATTCCCTTCCAACAGTCCCACAAAGTTTTAATTCATTCCAGCATTAACTCAAAAGTCCAAGTACAAAGTCTCATCTGAGAAAAGGCAGTCCCTTCTGCCTATGAACCTGTAAAATCAAAAGCAAGTTAGTTACCTCCCAGATACAATGGAGTATAGTCATTGGGTAAATATGCACATTCTAAGTGGAAGATACTGGCCAAAACAAAGAAGCTACAGTGTAACGGTTAATATTAAGTGTCAACTGGATTGGATTGAAGGATGCAAAGTATCGATCTTGGGTGGGTCTGTAAGGGTCTTGCCAAAGGAGATTAACATTTGAGTCAGTGGGCTGGGAAAGGCAAGCCCACCCTTAATCTGGGTGGACACAGTCTGATCAACTGCCAGTGTGGCCAGGATATGAAGCAGGCAGAAAAACGTAAAAAGCCTAGACTGGCTTAGCCTCCTAGCATACATCTTTCCCCTGTGCTGGATGCTTCCTGCCCTGGAACATCGAACTCCAAGTTCTTCAGCTTTGGGACTTGGACTGGCTTCCTTTCTCCTCAGCTTGTAGATGGCCTATTGTGGGACCTTGTGATCATGTGAGTTACTACAACATAATAAACTCCCTCCCTTTCTATATATAGATCCTATTAGTTCTGTCTCTCTAGAGAACCTTGACTAACACAGAGTTTGGTATCAGGAGTGGTTCTAGAGGAACAGAATATTAATAATGGAGTTCTTCTGTTGTTTTTAGCATTTCTAGAATGGCTGTTTAATATGATTAGACCCCAAAATGCTAAGGACTCTACTCTAATAGTATGGAGAACACTGATAGTCCTTGGCATGAACAGTTTAGATAGTTATGAAAAATAAACCCATTTGACACTCGTGATTCACTGCTCATGACAGTCAAGGAGTTTAGTGACTCTATACATAATACCTTTGACTATATATGGAGAATGAAGGAACAAAATGAAGTTGGTTGGGTGCTCCTAAGTTCACTTGACAAAAGGATGAAAGAAAATGATGAACTCAGGGATTCTAACTCCCAGGTTCAGAAGCAGATACTAACTATCAAATCTGCTAAGATTACCCTGAGTGGGAGTCTTATCTCCTGTAGAGACAGAGCTGAAATTGTGGAAAAACAGATACAAGCTCTTATCATGCGAGTGGCAATACTGCGATGAAAGTGCATGCACAGCCTCACCAGGTGTCTACTGTTAAAGTGAGGGCATTAATTGGAAAAGAATAAGACCCTGCAACTTGGAAGGGGAAGGTGTGGGAGGACTCTGATGAAGGTGGGCACACTGAGCTTGTCAACTCTGATGAACCCTTTTTGCCAGAAGAAACAGCTTCTCCATGCCCAATAGTGGCAACATCCCCTCCCCAGTCCATGCTGCCATCAGCCTTTCCACCTTTGTCTGAGGAGATAAACCCTGCGCTGCCTGAGGCAACAGTGATGACCTCCCCTGAGGCAGTCGTCAGGCAAGATAATGTTGATTCTCCTCAGGAGCCACCCCCAACACTCCTGTTTGCTTCTAGGCCTATAACTAGACTAAAGTCCCAGTGGACCCCTAAGGGGAGATTGAGAGTGTGACCTATGAGGAGGTGCACTACACTCAAAAGAACTGCTTGAGCTTTCCATTTATATAAGCAAAAATATGGAGAACAGGAATGGGAATGGATATTAAGGGTATGGGATAATAGTGGAAGGAACATACAGTTGGATCAGGCTGAATGTATCGATTTAAGCCCACTAGGTAGGGACTCTGCATTTAATGTTACAGCTTGGGAAGTTAAAAAAAGGTTCTGATAGTTTATTTGCTTGGTTGGCTGAAATATGGATTAAAAGATAGGCTACTGTGAGCGAGCTGGAAATGCCTAATTTCCTCCCTTGGGTTAATGTAGAGGAAAGAATCAAAAGGCTTAGAAAGATTGGGATGATGGAGGAGATTAGTCATTTTACACTTACTTATCCGAGCTGAGTGGGTCCAGAAGATATACCCTTGACCAATGTTTTGTGAAATAGACTTGTGAGGCAGCACCTGCATCTTTGAAGAGTGCTGTAATTGCTCTTCTCTGTATATCAGATCTAACAGTGGGAACTGCAGTCACTCAACTACAAAATTGAAATACAATGGGAATAATTGGATCCTGAGGTGGCAGGGGCCAAGTGGCAGCACTAAACCATCACAGGCAAGGTGGGCATCGCTATTATAATGAACAGCAGAGGCAATGCAGCAATTAAATAGTGCAAACTCATGTAGAACTCTGGTATTGGCTAATCATGATGTTCCTAGAAATGAAATTGATAGGAAGCCAACTGAATTCCTGCTTAATTTATATAGGCAGAAAACGCCCAGGTCAAATGGACAAAAGACTAACTTGAATGATAAAAACAGAGAACCATGGCCCCTCAATGAATTTCCAGATTGAAGCCAGAACCAGAACCCCTTGAATAAAGGGGAGGTCAGGTCCCTTTGATCAAGAACCCCACTATACTACTGACAATTTATGCTGTTATTCTTTCTCCCATTCTTCCCCAAGGAGACTTCTGACCTGTTACCAGGGTAACTGTGCATTGATGAAAGGGAAATGATTAGACGTTTCAGAGACTACTAGACATTGACTCTAAGCTGACCTTGATTCCAGGGGGCCAAAAATGTCACTGTGGTCCTCCGGTTAAAGTAGGGACTTATGGAGGCAGTAATTGATAGTTTTAGCTCAGTCCCTACTTACACAACTCCAGGAGGTTCCCAGAGTCATCCTGTGGTCATTTCTTCAGTGCCAGAATGCATAATTGGCATAGACATACTTCACAGCTGGCAGAACCCCCGCATTGGCTTTCTGACTGGCAGGGTGAGGGCTATTATGGTGAGAAGGGCCAAATGGAAGCCATTAGAGCTGCCTCTACCTAGAAAAATCATAAATCAAAAACAATATTGCATCCGTGGAAAGATTACGGAGATTAGTGACACCCTTAAGGACTTGAAAGACGCAGGGGTGGTGATTCCCACTACATCCCTGTTCAACTGTCCTATTTGGCCTGTGGGGAAGACAGATGGATCTAGGAGAATGATAGTGGATTATTGTAAGCTTAACCAAATGGTGACTCCAATTGCAGCAGCTCTACCAGATGTGGTTTCATTACTTGAGCAAATTAACACGTCTGCTGGTATCTTGCATGCAGCCATTAACTTGGCAAACTCCTTTTTCTCCATTCATGTCCATTGGAAGCAATTTGCCTTCAGCTGGCAATGTAAATATACCTTTACAGGAAATATACCTTTACTGTTCTATCTCAGGGGTATATGAACTCTCTGACTTTGGATCATAATCTTATTCAAAGAGACTTTGATCACTTTTCACTTCCACGAACATATCACACTGGTTTGTTACATTAATGACATTATGCTGATTGGACCCAGTGAGCAAGAAGTAGCAAACATCCTGGACTTATTGGTAAGATATTTGCATACCAGAGGATGGGAAATAAATCTGACTAAAATTCAGGGACCTTCTACCTCAGTAAAATTTCTAGGGGTCTAGTTGTCTAGTGGTGTTGGACATATTGAGACATTCCTTCTATGGTAAAGGATAAGTTGCTGCACTTGGCCCTTTCTACAAGCAAGAAAAAGGCACAATGCTTAGTGGTTTTGTGCCTATTTGGATTTTGGAGGCAACACATTCCTCATTTGGGTGTGTTATTCTTGCCAATTTACTGACTGACCCAAAAGGTTTCCAGTTTTGAGTGGGAACCAGAACAGAAAAAGGCTCTGCAACAGGTCCAGGCTGCTATGCAAGCTGCTCTGCCACTTGGGCCATATGACCCAGCAGATACAAAGGTGCTTGAGGTGCCAGTGGCAGATAGGAATGCTGTTTGGAGCCTTTGGCAGGCCCCCATAGGTCAATCATAGCAGGGGCCTCTAGGATTTTCTAGCAAGGCCCTGCCATCTTCTGCAGATAACTACTCTCCTTTTGAGAGACAGCTCTTGGCCTGTTACTGGGCTTTGGTGGAAACTGAACTTTTGACTATGGCTCATCAAGTCACCATGTGACCTGAATTGCTTATTATGAACTGGGTGCTTTCTGAGCCATCATCCCATCAAGGGGACCATGCACAGCAGCATTCAGCATCCAGTCATCAAATTGAAGTGGTGTATATGTGATCTGGCTTAAGCAGGTCCTGAAGACACAAGTAAATTACCTGAGAAAGTAGCTCAAATGCCCATGGTCTCCACTCCTGCCACCTTGCCTTCTTTCCCTTAGCCTGCACTGATGGCCTCATGGGGAGTTCCCTATGATCAGTTGACAGAGGAAGAGAAGACTAGGGCTTGGTTCACAGATGGTTATGCACGATATGCAGGCACCACCTGAAAGTGGACAGCTGCAGCTCTATAGCCCCTACCCCTGAAGGACAGTGGTGAAGGCAAATCTTCCCAGTGGGCAGAACTTTGAAGAGTATACCTGATTGTGCACTTTGCATGGAAAGAGAAATGCCCAGTAGTGCCACTGTATACTGATTCATAGGCTGTAGCCAATGGTTTGGCTGGATGGTCAGGCACTTGGAAGAAGCATAATTGGAAAATTGATGACAAGGGAATTTGGGGAAGAGATATGTGTATATACCTCTCAGAGTGGCCAAAAACTGTGAAGATATTTGTATCCAAAGTGAGTGCTCACCAACGTGTGATCTCAGCAGAAGAGAATTTTAATGATCAATTGGACAGGATGACCTTTTCTGTGGACACTACTCAGTCTCTTTCCACAGCCACACCTGTCATCGCCCCATGGGCCCATGAACAAAGTGGCCATGGTGGCAGTGAAGGAGGTTATGCATGAGCTCAGCAACACGGACTTCCACTGCCCCAAGCTGACCTGGCTATGGCCACTGCTGAGTGCCCAGTTTACCAGCAGCAGAGATCAACACTGAGCCCTCAATATGGCAACATTTCTCGGGGTGATCAACAAGCTACCTGGTAGCAGGTTGATTATATTGGATCTCTTCCCTCATGGAAAGAGCAGAGGTTTGTCCTCACTGGAATAGACACTTATTCCAGATATAGGTTTGCTTATCCCGCACCCAATGCTTCTGCCAAAACTACCATCCATGGACTCACAGAATGCCTTATCCACCGTTGTGGTATTCCACACAGCATTGCCTCTGACCAAGGCACTCATTTGCGACAGTGGGCACATGCTCATGAAATTCACTGGTCTTACCATGTTGCCCATTATCCTGAAGCAGCTGGATTGATAGAATGGTGGAATGGCCTTTTGAAGTTACAATTACAATGCCAACTAGATGACCATACTTTGCAGGGCTGAGGCAAAGTTCTCCAGAAGGCTGTGTATGCTCTGAATCAGCATCCAACATATGGTACTATTTCTCTCATAGCCAGAATTCATGGGTCCAGGAATCAAGGGGTGGATGTGGAAGTGGCATCACTTGCCATCACCCCTAGTGGTCCACTAGCAAATTTTTTGCTTCCTGTTACCATGACATTACATTCTGCTGGCCTAGATCTCTTAATTTCAGAGGGAGGAATGCTGCTACCAGGAGACACAACAAAGATTTCATTAAATTGGAAGTTAAGAATGCCACTTGGACACTTTGGGCTCCTCCTACCTTTCAGCCAAGAGGGTAAGAAGGGAGTTACAGTGTTGGCTGGGGTGACTGAACTGGGCTATCAAGATGAAATCTACCTACTACTTTACAACAGAGGTAAAGAAAAGTATGCTTGGAATACAGGAGATCCATTAGGGCATCTCTTAGTATTACCATGCTCTGTGATTAAGGTCAATGAGAAACTGTAAAAGCCCAACCCAGGCAGGACTACAAATGGCCCAGACCCTTCAGGAATGGAGATTTATGTCACTCCACCAGGAAAAAACCCACAACCTGCTGAGGTGCTTGCTGAAGGCAAAGGGAATACGGAATGGGTAGTAGAAGGTAGTCATCAATACCAGCTATGACCACGTGACCAGTTGCAGAGACAAGGACTGTAATTGTTATAAGTATTTCCTCCTTCTTTTGTTAAAAACTATTTGTGCCTGTATGCACTTGTACTAAGAAAATATCTCCATTTTATTCCTTTTTTCCTTTATCATGTTACATAGGATTTATTGACTTCATGCTAGCATTTAAGTATTGTTAACTTTATGTAATAGCATTTGGGTTGGGAATTGATATAGTTCTGGTTGTACCAATGATAGTTGTATTATGTTAGGTGTAATTATGATCTTATTATTGCCTTTATTTGAAGATTATGTTTGATCTCAGGTGATGTGGGTGGGTTCAAGTTGACAAAGGTGGACTTGTGATGGTTAATACTGAGTGTCAACTTGATTGGATTGAAGGATGCAAAGTATTGATCCTGGGTGTGTTTGTGAGGGTGTTGCCAAAGGAGATTAACATTTGATTCAGTGGGCTGGGAAAGGCAGACCCACCCTTAATCTGGGTGGGCACCATCTAGTCAGCTGCCCGTGTGGTCAGGATATGAAACAGGCAGAAAAACATGAAAAGTCTAGATGGGCTTAGCCTCCAACCTACGTCTTTCTCCTGTTCTGGATGCTTCCTTCCTTTGAACATCAGACACCAAGTTCTTTAGCTTTGAGACTTGGACTGGCTTAGTGATGGAGGACTTGCAGATGGCCTATTCTGGGACCTTGTGATTGTGTGAGTTAATACTACATAATAAACTCATATATATATATATATACACACACACATATATATATCTCCTATTAGTTCTGTTCCTCTGGAGAACCCTGACTAATACACACAGGCTCTATGCAAGTCTGAAATCTAATAGGGCAGACATTAAACCTTAAATTTCCAAAATTATCTCCTTTGACTCCATGTCTCACATCCAGGTCATGCTAATGCCGGAGGTGGGTGCCAATGACCTTGGGCAGCTTCGCCCCACTGCCTTTGCAGGGTACATCCCCCTTCCCTGTCTCTATCACAGGCTGGCATTAAGTGTCTGTAGCTTTTCCAGGCATACAGTGAAAGCTGAAGGTATATCTACCATTCTGGGGTCTGGAAGATGGTGGCCCTCTTCTCACATCTCCATTAGGCAGTGCCCTGGTGAGGACTCTGTGTGAGAGCTCTGACCCCACAATTCCCTTCCATACTGCCCTAGCAGAGGTTCTCCATGAGGGCCCCATCCCTGCAGCAAACTTCTGCCTGGACATCCAGGTGTTTCCATACATCCTCTGAAATCTAGGCAAAGGTTCCCAAACCTCAGTTCTTGACTTCTGGGCATCCACAGGGTCAACACACATGGAAGCTAACAAAGACTTGGGGCTTGCATGCTTTGAAATCATGGCCTGAGCTGTACCTTGGCTCCTTTTAGCCATGGCTGAAGCAGCTGGGATACAGGGTACCAAGACCCTAGGCTGCACACAGCAGGTGGGCCCTGATGGCCCATAAAACAATTCTTTTTCTCTCTTAGGCCTCCAAGCCTGTGATGGTGGGGGCTACCATGAAGGTCTCTGACATGACCTGGAGACATTTTCCACATTGTCTTGGTGATTAACATTTAGCTCCTTGTTACTTATGTAAATTTCTGCAACAGGCTTGAATTTATCCCCAGAAAAAATATATATCTTTTTTCCTATCACATTACCAGGCTGCAAACTTTCCAAGCTTTTGTTCTCTGCTTCTTCTTGAATGTTTAGCCCCTAGGAACTTTCTTCTGCCAGATACCCTAAATCATCTTTCTCAAATTCAAAGCTCCACAGATCTCTAGGGCAGGGGCAAAATTCCACCAATCTCTTTGTTAAGCATAGCAAGAGTGACCTTTACTACAGTTCCCAAGAAGTTCCTCATCTCCATCTGAGACCACCTCAGCCTGGACTTCATTGTCCAAATCACTAACAGCATTTTGATAAAAGCCATTCACCAAGTCTATAGGAAGTTTGAAACTTTCCCACATCTTTCTGTCTTATGAACCCTTCAAGTTCCTAAGAAGTCTCAAACTTTACCATAGTTTCCTGTGTTTTTCTGAGCCCTCTAAACTGTTCCAACCTCTGCCTGTTACCTAGTTCCAAAGTTGCTTCCACATTTTTGGTTATCTTTACAGAAGCACCCCTCTCCTGATACCAACTTACTACATTAGTTTGTTCTCATGCTCCTGTGAAGAAATACCTGAGGCTGGATGACTTATAAAGAAAAGAGGTTTAATTGACTCACAGTTCTGCATGGCTTGGAGGTCTCAGGAAACTTACAATCATGGAGGAAGACACCTCTTCGCAGGGTGGTGGGAGAGAAAAATGAGTTCAAGCAAGGGAAATACCAGGTGTTTATAAACCTTTATAGACCTTGCGAGACTCACTGATTTTCATGAGAACAGCATGGGGGAAATAGCCCCCATGATCCAAATACCTCTACCTGGTCCCACCCTTGACACAGGGAGATTATTACAATTCAAGGTGAGATTTGGGTAGGGACACAGAGCCAAACCATCAGATAGATAGGTGGATTATTCTTTTGATTTTTGTTTTGATTCTGTTTCTCTAGTGTATTGTGACTAATAAATTGATTCAATGTATTTAATAGATATAGACCTATTTAGATGGTCTAATGACTCTTGTTTGCATTTCAGAAGCTTTTGTATTTTGAGAAATTGTTTTATTTTATCTAAGTTATAATATTTTTATCATAGTTATTAATATTATCCCTTTAATGTGCTTTTAATGTCTATAGACTTGTTAGTGATGTTCCAACTTTCATTTCTAATATTGGTAATTTTTTCTTTGGTTGTCATGCTAGCATGCAAGTCATGCAAGCATGCAAAATACTACATTAAAAATAAAGACAGATGTAAAGCACAAAAAAAGCCTAAGTTATTCTTACAAAACTGAGAAAAAACAGAAGAACGTTTTCACAAAAGAAAAATGAAAGGGAATGTAATCTTTAATTTAAAAAGACATCAAATATAAGCAATGTGAATAAACTCAACAGACAATTGTAAAGTTAATTGAGCAGAGAACCAAAATGACAACATTATGGAGATAATTAAATGGAAACCACAGAAAACAGATTAGACAGTGTGGATGATAAAATTAGTAACAGAAAAAGCCATGAAGTAGTCTCAGTGAAATAAAGGGGTAAAAAAAAGTAATCAGAAAGAAGTTAATGTTAATGGTATACAGGAAATGTGGATCCAAAATGAAGGTAAATGATTCACCAGCAAAAAAGCCCAACAAGTGAAATTAAAAAGAATAATTATGTAATAGAAGAAAATATTTCTAAAATGTAAAATAATACTCATAGACTTAAAGAGGCATACTGTTCTCAAGAAATTCATTAGAAGAACCAATTTTATGACACTCTGGTAAAGTGATTGAATTTCAAGGATAAAGACAGAATTCATCAGGTATCCAAGAACTTACAAAGGGGATAAATCTGGCTGGGCTCAAATGCCTCCATGGAAAAATAAAGTGCCAGAAGATAATAGAACAATATTTACAAAATTCTAAGGGAACAAGTGTGTCTCAAGAATATTATAACCAGGCAAGTTGTTATCCAAGTACAAAATGGCAGTACTGGCATACCTAATCATGCAAAAACTCACAGAATATGTCATTCCTTATTCTGTCTTAGAATGAAACTATGTAAGAGATAAAAGAAGAAACCATTGTAAAAGAACTGAATGGAGCCTTGTTGCTGCTTCCTCAGAAGGGAGGGGACACCATGTCCTCACATGTAGCAGGTACAGAAGGGAACAAACCCACACCCTCAAACCCATTTATAAGGGCCCGAATCCCTTCATCACCTTCTAAATACCCCATCTCTTAGTATTATTACATTGTCTATTCAGTCTCAATAAAAAATTTGGGGCACACCCAATTTGGTCATTGTTTGGATATTAGAAGACAAAATTTAATTACTCAGTTTCTTGCTATACATAAGACATTATTATCACCACATTGATTTTATTTGTTATTTTTATTACAATTGTAACAAAACCTAGGAACATCTGTATACAGAACTTAAACACAAACAAAGACTTTTCTGATTTTGTCATTTAATCCCCAAATCTTACCACTTAAGGTAAGGTATCTTAATTACGGTTATCCCCAAACTTATGCAAATGCAGAGATTGGAAGAGCTAAGTAACCACTAAGTTGTGGAGCTAAGACTGAATTCTGGGTTTCAGACTACAACTTTCAAAACATTTCTGTTGCATAATGAGGTAAAAAATATAGTGCCTAAACTGAAAGGTTAAATGATTCCTTCATAGAGGAAATTCAAAAAACAATATAAAATAGAAGAAAACAATTCCTAGTTATTTTGGAAATTGTATTATGTGTTGCAAAACAATGACAATAAATGTACTTAAATAAATCACCAACTTAATAAATCATCTTCAGTTGAATCCTTAGTTTTCTCATGCAAAGTCTAGTGTTCTTACAGAGCCAGAACAGTGCACAAGGAACAAGACAGGGAGATAAAATAAATGCTAGCTTAGTTTTATATGAAGCAGCAATTGGGAATATTAACTGTTCTCATGTTTAAATATTTGCTTTTGGCAAAATCCAAACAAGCTCACTATTTGTTAGATTAGTAGGTATAGAGTCAATGTGGCAGTAGGTCTGGAGTGGGGCACATGTATTTTGTAGATTCAAAGATGTTGTCAATTTTAAAACATTAATTTTATATTAAATTTGGAGAGAATACCACCTTATTGAGTGCATGCCAACATTTTAAGATGTCTTCCATTTTCAGAGCAATTTTATAAATAGGATATATTGAAGTTTATTCTACTACAGGCATGAAAGTTACCACGCAAACCAGAGATAGATTTGCTCTTTGTGAAGAAGCTTCTGCCCATTTGTCCATTTTAGTATATCATTTAAACAGTACAGCCAGTGCTCAACAGAGGCATCAGCTGAAGTCACCATCATGGCTACACAAATTGATTCCTTTTGTGGGGAAAAAAAAATCCTCAAATGGCAGATGGACAATTAAATATCTTGGTTCCCACGTTATCTCCCTGGAACCTCAAGTAGTTTTAGTCAGACCCTTGTTAATTGATAAATATGATTGAGGACTTTGCTCTATCTTTTTTTCATTAAATGAGTACGTTACTCAGAAACGTAAGTAACCCATTGTAGTGATCATTGCCTACATGGGGAGATTTTTAGCTTCAAGTAATGGATACACAACCCAAAGTGAACATTTATTCTATGAGAGAACACAAAGTACAGATGGAGCATGGTTCCGTGATTGATTCAGTAGCTCAGTGACACGATCCATGTGCTAGGTGTTTTTTCATCTTTGCACTCTCCCAGACTCAGCCTATCAGCCAAGTGTAAGTCCGTATTTCCAAAACGGCTGCAGCCTTTCCAGGTCTTTGCAGGGAGAAATGATCATGACCACATTCTCTGAAGGAGAAGAAGGGAACTTCCTCCCCTGAGTCCCATTTTTTTAAGGAAAAAAAAAAACTTTTTACATGCTCAGCCCTCACCCTGAAGACATTCACAATTCTTATTTTTCAATAGCAATTAATTTTATTAGTTTGGCAATTTATGATAATAAAACATTGCAATTCAAGAAATGACTAAAATGTGTTAAAGAAAATATCAGAATTATTCCTGGCAGTTATATCTAATATTTCAAAACAGACTATTTCAGCAACTGATTTATAAAGTGCTAATATAAAAATAATCTCAAATATGTTTAATTTCATCCATAAACTGTAACTTATGAATTGCTATAAATTTTTGGTTCACAAAAAAAGCCAAAATATTTTTCCTCATGAGACTGAATTATAGTGATAATTAATTTCAAGAGCACTTATATAGACTGAATGTTGACACAAGAAGTAGTTTTTGCATGAACATTTTGAACATTATCTTGGAATTAGAAGTAGTTTTAAGTCATTTTCCCCTCTGTATTGGTTTCCTGCTGCCTCTGTAACAAATTACTGGAAACTTGGTGGCTTAAACAATAGAAATTTATTCTTTTACAGTTCTGGATGTCATAAATCTGAAATCAGTATCGGGGGTTTGGAGGGTGTGGCCATCAGGAAAGTTCTAAACAGATAATTCCTAATCCTTTAGATAATATTTCTAGTGGCCACCAACATTCATTGGCTTGTGGTACATCAGTCTAACCTCTGCCTGTGTGATCACATCCCCTCTCCTTTTCTGTCTGTGTGGTCAAATTTCTTTCTGCTTCCCTCTTATACAGATACATGTGATTGTATTTAGAGTCCATCTGGCTAATACTGGATAATCTTTTAGGTCAAGATCTTTAACTTAATCACATGCAATGATTGATTTTTGTTTGTCTGATTTTTCATGTAAGGCAATATTCAGAGGTTCAAGAAATTTAGATATGAATTTTTTTTCTGGAACATTTTTGGCTTGCTGCACACTCATTCACTTATTCAATTATGCATTTAACAAATATTATATGAATACCTGCAATGGACCAGAGACTGTTCTAATGCTGGGTATATAACAGCAAACTAAAGAGACAAAGGTTTTACATTCTTGGAGTTTACATTCTAGTACAAACATTGGCAAACTGTTTCTGTAAAGGGCCAGATAGTAAATATTGTTTGTAGATCATACAGTTTCTCTGTTGCAACTACTGAACTCTCCTGTTGTAGCATAGACACAGCTCCTCTCTAAATACAGAAATGAATAGCTGTGGCTATATTCCAATAAATAATTACATATGAAAACAGGAAGCAAGCTAGATTTGGCTCTTGGGTTATAGTTGGCCAACACTTTCTCTGGACAGAAGACACAGGAGAAAAAGTGACAGGCAAATACAGAATATGTCAGATGGTGATAAGTGATGTGGTTTTAAATAAAGCACATTCAGAGACATAGGACATTGAATTGGGAAGGCTATAACTAACTGCTATAACAGATAAATAAAAAAATTTTAGTGGCTTCCCAAAGAGCCATTTTCTCAGTGTTTATGTGAAGTCCAATACTAAGATTTCTTATTAGTGGGAAGCCTTCCATGTGGTCATTCAGGAACCCATCCTCCTGCTCTCTTGTATCTGCCCTCCTGAGAACTCTAGAACCCTGTGTTCAGTTGGTGGTTGAAGAAAGGGAGTAGAGAACAGCACACAGGCATTTTAAGGAAGCAGGATTACAAGGTTTGATCAATTCCACTCAGTTTATATGCATTTTCTTGTCTAAAAGCTCCATTGCCTGACTTCACCTAACTTTAAGAAAAGCAAAACATGCAGTTGAGCTGGGTGTCCAGGGACATTAAAAAAACAGGATTGGGCCGGGCCCAGTGGGTCACACCTGTAATCCCAGCACTTTGGGAGGCCGAGGCAGATGGATCACTTGAGGTCAGGAGTTTGAGACTAGCCTGGCCAACATGGTGAAACCCCGTCTCAACTAAAAATACAAAAATTAGCCAGGCGTAGTGCTGGGCACCTGTAATCCCAGCTACTTGGGAGGCTGAGGCAGGATAATCACTTGAACCCATGAGGTGGAGCTTAGAGTGAGCCAAGATCACACCACTGCACTCCAGCCTGGGTGACAGAGCATGACTCTGTCTCAAACCAGCAAACAAACAAGCAGGATTGGAGATCACTGAGCAACATTTAATTTAGGAAGTGTTGCTCTTGTAAGCAGGGTAGCCAGAAAAAGTTTCCCTTGTCTTCCTGAGGAAAGCAGGGGACTAATGTGGCAGAGATCTGGGGGGGGGGGGCATTCTAATATTTAGGCTAGCTTTGTGCTTCTGAATTTATCTCTTTGCAGATAGATTAGTCATGAGACTGAGCAGTAGTTGTTGAAATGTGGGAAGGAAAAATGTAGGCCATTTACAGGTCAGACTCTTAAAACTCACTGTACTCTTCTCCTTGCTTTTTCTTTCTCTCTTTAGGACCAAAATCAAGGACTTAATCTCTGCTTAGAAGAGAGCTAACCAGAGGTGCTGTCATATTCTCACTGGACTGTAATATTAGCCAAAAAAAAAAAAAAAAAGATATTGTATTAAACCACTTAGGTTTGTAGTATATTTTTCAAATCAGCAAGTGTTATTTACCTTATATTCTAGTTCTAGAGCTATCAGAGAGTAGAATGTTCCAGGAAGAGGTCCTGAGTCTGGATCAAGTTCAAGGATTCCAGGGTATAAGGAAAAGAGCTAGAGAAGGAGAGAGGTAAGAAATGAGGTCAGGAGATAAGATGGACAATTATGAGGTGCCATTGTTAGACCTGGCTTTTACTCTGAGAAAGAGCGTTTATACTGAGAGAGAGAGAGGATCTAACTTTTATTTTAAAATGGTCATTTTGGCTGCTGTGTTACGAGCTGATGTTGGAGGTGGTGAAAAAAAAGAGCAGCTTCTTAGGAGGATATTGCAATAATGCAGGTGTAAAGTGATGATGGCTTGAAACAGGTGGTACAGGGGTGGGTGAGATATGTGATGTAAGAGAAAAATATTAATCAAGGATGAACATTAGGTTTTCCACATCAGCATCTGGAAGAAAGTATTTGCCATTGTTAATGAGATTGTGCATGTTCAGGATGATATGGCCGTAGAGAGTATTTACCATTACTGAGAAGAAGACTTGAAAATTTTATTGGAAGAGGGAAGTATGAGGGAGATCAAATATGGGCATGTTACATTTGAGATGCTTTTTAGATAGCCATGCAAATATTTAGAGTAGGCATTTAAATGTGGAAATATAAATTGGGAAATCATCCATGTGTAGATGATACGAGACTAGATGTGTTCAGTAGGGCAATGGGCATTTTTAAAAGGAAATATCAATGGACTGAGTTTTAGTGCATCCCAAATTTCAAAGGCTGGAGAGTTGAGAAAGATCAAACAAAGAAATCTGAGCAGAATCTCATGAGAAGAATCAAGAAAATGGCATCCTGGAAATAAACTGGACAATGTGTTTCAAGAAGGAAAGGGATCAGCTAATTTAAGCACCACAGAGGTCAAGTAAGACAAGTACCAGGAATTTACCTGAACTTAGCAACTTTGAGATCAATAATGGTCTGGGTGGAGGATCTCATTTTGAAGTCATAGGCCTGAGAGTCTTCCAGGGCTAGATTAAGGAGAGAATTCTGTGGGAGAAACTGGAAACAGTTGGAAAAACTTTAATGTAAAGAAAAAGAGATAAATGGGGTGGGAAACGGAAGGAGACCTTGGATCAAGAGAGGCTTTTTTCTGTTATCTATTATAGCTGTAAATTTATAAGAATTATCCTTTTAAAAGGGAAAAATTGGAAAGCCAGTGATATGCGAGAAAATAAGCGCCAATGCTAGAATGATACAACTGGGATCTAGTGAAGAGATGCCCTCCTTGGACAGAAGCATGGAAAAAATCTTCAGCAGTACTGAGAACAAAAATGCACAGAAAAATTTCTCCACAGTGGTAGGAAGGATGATCAAGAGTCGGGAGAGATACAGGTAGAGTGATGATTTTCATGGTGGTAGTTTGTATAAGTACTCTTCTGATTTTTACTATTGTCTTTGTATAATAAGAATCAAAGTCATTAGGTGAGATAAGAATTGGCCAGGAGTTGCTGGAAGGAGACAGAGAAAAATGGAAAATCTTTTAGGAATGTGAAAGAGTCAAAGGAGCAGACAACTATTAAAGCGTTGGTACTGATCACTAATAGACCACTTGAAGTTCATGGTTAGTAATTTATGGTAAAATCCGGCAAGCACAGTTGTGGGTTTTACCAAGCGAGGGTGAGAAACATGAAGCACAGAATTAGATTCAATTGGATTGGGGATTTTGTAAGGCTTCTATGATGAAAGGAGTGCATGGCAAGGAAATTGAAATCAGATGTTGGGAAATAAATATAAGCTTGATGAGGATGAGGATCTTGTTTATTTTTTTTTTTCACTGATGTGACTTGGGCACCTAGAAGAGAGCCAAGCACCTATAAGCATGTGATAAATATTTCTGGAGTGAATGAATTAAATCCAATGCCTTGACACATCAATTGGGCTGGGAGGTACATGAAGACAGAATGGAGTTGACAGACAGAGTGAATAATGGTAGAATTCATGGGTTGTATATCTCAGAGGTGTAACAGACATTTAAATGTGGGTGGGTGAACTGCTTGCCATTTTTGAGGCTTATCTTCTTCAAAGGTAAAATTATAATACATAATTACATGGAATCATGGCAATAACTTACAAAATATGCTCAGCACAGTGCCTTGTATATAAAGAGCACGACTACCTATTCTCAGTCATTGTTGTACAGAGAGCACTATGTATTGTTTTCATTTTAATTCCTTAGCTTTAAACTAAAAACTTGCTTGCATCATACATGCCTGGATATCACTATATATTATTACCAAGAGATTGATTATATGACTAAAGTAAAAGGCAACTTGTTGAACTGAGAGGTAAGATTAATTAAATGTACTGTCTAGGGACTTCCAGGAAAATCAGAGTTCTTTCAATACACAAAGATTAAACTAGCATAAAACATTATCTAAAATATTAGCATCATATAGTATATAAAACCTTCTTAGAAGTTTCTCTTCTAGATAATGTATTTTCTCAAAATGTGTCTACAAGCATAATGAATGAGAGCTAAGCATGGCAGCTGACAGCATCAGCTTTAGTAGAACAGATTAGATTCCATGTAACTAGTACAGATCTCTCTGTAAGATGTGAAGAGTGATTAGCGTTGTGCAAATACATAAGGGAGCTGTGTTCCTCAGCTTCTCCTGCTCACTTGCCATCTCTCCATCATTCACTTTTAATTAAAAGATTAGTGGGTAGTTTTGAAAAAGAAAAAAGAAACAAGGGAGGAAGTTCCTGTCTCCTTCTATGGTTTCAAGTAGTAGGGTTATTGAAAGAAAGATTTGGATTGAAACGCAGATCTCATCTTTTCATATATGTAGCTTTTTTCTTGACCCATTATTTGAAGTTATAAATCAGTAAGAAACAGGACGACAGGAGCTCTATATTTAGTGTTTAAAGGTAGGTAGCAGGTTAGTTTTTTCTGTTTACTTGGGTTCTTTACTTGTATGTTTGCATTTAATGTCAGGTTGTTGACTGCAACTGAGTTAAGTTTATATTTTGAATCTCTAAGTTAAAGTGGGTCAGGTTTGTTCACCCCACTTCTCAGCCATATCTAAATAATCTTCAATAGTGTTTTGATTTCCTTTATTCACATTTACCAACTACTGAATTTAATTGAATAGATAAGCAAAAGGTACTTCTGTTCTCAGGCCAGGAATGTAGAAAAATTTTACAGTGACTTAGAAAAACCACTGAACAATAAGACATGGGACTTAGGTCCTTATTGTGGTTCTGCAGCTGACACATTGGGGTCTTGTTTTCTTACGGTTTAAATGGGAAGTCAATCTTGAAGGTCTCCAATGATCTTTATTCTGCAGGGGTTACATGAATGTGGATTGATTACTGGAGTTGATCTAAGAATGTTTACAGGTGTGCAATCTGTCCTGATGAGAGTGGAATTAGAAAGGCTAAGGCCAAATGTGTGTACATGCGTGTAGGTTTATATTTGAGAAATAGGCAAACCAGTGGCATAAACTACATTACAATCAGAAGGCATTGCTGGGAGATGTAAGAATCATTTTTATCAGATAAGGCAGCTCAGGAAAGTGAAAAAGAATGTGTTTTCCCCTGGGGAATAAGGCTGAGATGATTCCACTAGTGGGCCCTGCTCTTGCCTCTCTCTCCTGTACTTCACATTGGCAGAGCCTTTGAAGATAAAGGCAAGAAGGAGACATTTCTCAGCCACTCCACAAAGACAGTAACATCAAGCCATATGAAAGGAAAATAATTTAGTGGGAATCACACACATTTTCAATTCCTCTTTGATTTGTGTAGTAAGCGGGAATGAGTTTTGAATATATTTAATTGAAGAAACCACTTCCAGAATCCCTTTTAAGAATCATCCCCACATTATTATTTTCCATAAATGGATATGAAAATAATTAATATGTGTTGAATTTGATAATTCCTATATTAGATATTTATTTATTTGGATACAGGATCTCGCTCTGTCACCCAAGCTGGAGTGCAGTGTCACTCTCATAACTTTTTTTGTTTTATTTTTAGTAGAGATGAGGTCTCACTATGTTGCCCAAGCTGGTCTCTAACTCCTGAGCTCAAGCAATCCTCCTGCCTTGGCCTTCCAAAATGTTTGTATTATAGGCGTTAAGTGCCATACCTGGCCCATAATTCTTATCTTGCAGAAGGCAGAATAATAATGATTTACACGGATCATTGTCAAGCATATTTTAAGGTCATCAACATTATTAGAATGTTAAATAACAGAATGCATAGACCAAAGTGTATACATAGACCAAATGTATGTATTGCCTTGCCCAAAGGCAAATGTGTCTCTTTTTCAGGGAGAGAGGGACATGACAGTGTGGCCAGGCAACCTCCATCCATACAGTCTTCCAGGCTGACTGAGGCACTTCCATCACTGCAATCTTCAACATTCCTCAGTCATCTGGTTAT
Source organism: Homo sapiens (assembly GCF_000001405.40). Lineage (NCBI taxonomy): Eukaryota > Metazoa > Chordata > Mammalia > Primates > Hominidae > Homo > Homo sapiens. Next base: position 15,057,367 of record NC_000018.10, read on the forward strand.
CCTGGAACCTGTGAACTAGAAGTAGAAAGAGCATGAGGAACATTTGCAGGACTTTTTTGTCCTGCAAATTTTATACATTAAAGTGTGTAACATAGTGTTTTGATATACATATGCATAGTTAAAACACTACTGTCAAGACAATTAACATATCGTTCATCTCATATTGTTAACTTTTTTGTGGCATACACTATTACCAGGTAGAGTCCTCATGCTCTATATTAGATCCTAAATACAGTTATCCTAAGTAATTGCAATTTTATACCCTTTGTCCTATATCTTCTTATCTCCAACCCACTTTGTCTCTGGTAACTGCTGTTCCTACTCTCTGTATCTGTTTATTGAACATATTTTTAGATTCCACACGAGAGAGATCACGCAGTATTTTTTGTATGTGCCTGGTTTATTTCACATAGCATAATGTTCTCCAGGTTATCTATGTCGTCTCAAATGGTAGGATCACCTTCTTTTGTTTAAAGGATGAATAATATTCCATTATATGATGTGCATATGTATATGTATCATGATATCTTTCTCTGGCCATTCATATACAGATACGTTGTTTCTATATCTTGGCTATCAGGAATAATGCTGCAATGAACATAGGAGTGCAGATATCTTTATGAAGTACTGATTTCATTTCCTTTTGGTATATGCCCAGAAGAACGATTGTGGGGTCATATAGTAGTTCTATTTTTAATTAAAAAAATTAATTTCTTATTTTGAGATGGAGTCTTGCCCTCACCCTGGCTGGAGTACCCTGGCGTGATCTTGGCTCACTACAACCCCCGTCTCCCGGGTTCAAGTGATTTTCATGCCTCAGCCTCCCAAGTAGCTGGGATTACAGACAAACACCACCATGCCCAGCCAATTTTTGTATTTTTAATAGAGATGGGGTTTCACCATGTTGGCCAGGTGGGTCTTGAACTCCTGGGCTCAAGTGATTCCCCCACCTTGGCCACCCAGAGTTTGGGGATTACAGGCATGAGCCACTGCGCCCAGCCCTCTATTTTTAATTTTTCGAGAAACCTCCATACTTCTTTCCATTATGGCTGTACCAATTTACGTTCCTACCAACAATACACAAGGGTTTCCTGAGAAAATCTTTTTTTTTTCGGATGAAGATAGTGGGCTTTACTCGAAAAGAATGGAGGGATCTATTAGCAAAAAGTTGTATAAAATTCAAATTCCTAAAACGTCTATAGGTCAGACATATAACATTCTTCATAATTAGTGATTAAAGACCCTAGAATTTCATTTTAATTTTACTAAGACACTAATTTGAGAAATTGTGATACTCTTGTAAGAGCTTCTGGGAATTAACTCAAGGCCTGTGCACACAATCTGCCAAGCTTCTACATCTTGACCTGATTTTGTGGCACTTTGTTATGTCTTGTCCATATTTTAGGGAGAAAATTACATGCTTTGTGAATTTAAGATTTTATAGAGGTCTCAGGATTCCTTCTGAATGCCCAAAGCCTACTGTATTACAGGTTTTGATATTTGAGGTAATTTTATGAATAGCAATATATTTAATCTTTTTTGGGGGGAGGCAGGGATGGAGTTTTGCTCTTGTTGGCCAGGCTGGGGTGCAGTGGTGCAATCTCGGCTCACTGCAACCTCTGCCTACTGGGTTCAAGTCATTCTGCTGCCTCACCCTCCCCAGTAGCTGGGATTACAGGCGCCTGCCACCATGCCCAGCTAATTTTTTGTATTTTTAGTAGAGACTGGATTTCATCATGTTGGCCAGGCCGGTCTCAAACTCCTGACCTCAGGTGATCCATCCACCTTGGCCTCCCAAAGTGCAGGGATTACAGGCATGAGCCACTGTGCCTGGCCGATATATTTAATCTTGAATGGAATTGAAATTATAGAAAAAATATGTCACTGAGAGTATATTGCTGAACATTTTGCAAAGGGGGATGGGCAGTGAAAAGAAGGCACCATGAGAAAACAGTGTGTTAACTTGAGTCCAGGAGTCTGAAGCTGTAGTGCACTATGACTGCATCTGTGTGTGTGTGTGTGTGTCTGTGTGTGTGTGTCTGTGTGTCTCTCTCTCTCTGTGTGTGTGTGTCTGTGTGTGTCTCTGTGTGTGTGTTTAGAACTATATATGTGGCCAGGTGTGGTGGCTCATGCCTGTAATCCCAGCCCTTTGGGAGGCCAAGGCAGGCAGCTCACGAGGTCAGGAGATCGAGACCATCCTGGCTAACACAGTGAAACCCCATCTCTACTAAAAAATACAAAAGAAATTAGCCGGGTGTGGTGGGCACTTGTAGTCCCAGCTACGTGGGAGGCTGAGGCAGGAGAATGGCGTGAACCTGGGAGGCGGAGCTTGCAGTGAGCCGAGATCGTGCCACTGCACTCCAGGCTGGGCAAAAGAGCGAGACTCCAACTCAAAAAAAAAAAAAAAAAAAGAACTATATATGTTATGTAGCATTTGTAGTGTCACATTATATCTTTATTAAGTATATTTAAATGTGGTGGATACAGAAGTCCCACCAAACTTTATAGTACAGTTTCTTAGGGTTGAAAAATATACTTGCTGTTTTCTATTGTCTACAAAATACACTGTACTAACTGCACTCCTGTTTATGGTACCAAAATATCTAAAGGATTAAAACTTAAGACACAAATCAAACATATCTGGGAAAGAAAACAAATTTCTATCCACATAAAATGTTTAGGATAGTGTTGTTTCATTTTTAAATACAGATTCCAGAAGGATTTTAAAGAGGAAGCTGAAGTCAACATTTTCTACAGTGACCTGCACAGTTGCTGACCCACTTGACGGAGATACTGGGTACTCCACACCTAACTTATGTCTTGGCCCCTTGTTTCCTACTGTCTTGTTTCTTCTCTCCTACTTACTGATTTATTTTACTCAGATCTTCAGGCTCAGCTGCTATCTTCTAGGGCATACATTTTTTCAATTCATACAATAACTAGTTAAATCAAGACATGACAGTCTATCTTTGACCTTATGCCTCCATCTTTTTGTAATTTGGCTTCTGTCCTGTCTGAAACCGTTCTAAGCACTGTGGCTTACTTTTACTTTCATTTGGTTCCCGTGATGGTAGCAGCCCTCCAGACAACCTGCCACTGCCATCACCCGGCTGGAGCAGGGAGGCGTGGTTGGGGCTGCCTACTGTGTGGAGCCAGGGGACCGTGGACAAGCTGGAGCCCCACCCCTTCTGAGTTGGGGTGGTAGCTCCCCGGGTGCTGCTGCAGCTGCCCAAACCAGGGCTGCATACCCAGCCTCGCTCCGTGGAGCAGGCAGGAGTCCTGCCCCACTCCCGGGTGCAGCTGCAGCTGCCCAAACAGCGGCTGCAGACTCAGGCATCCTTACACTCTTGGAGGCCTGGGAAAACCTCCCTGCACTCTCGCTCAGGAAGGCCCCTGTCCTTGCAGGCTCGGAGGTGCCTGTTCTTGATGTCTGGTTTCTCTCTTTTTTTGTGCCAGGAGATAGGAGCAAAGTCAGGCAGCCTGGTTGCCTTGAACAGCAGTAGAAGGATGGCAGGTTCATGGGCAGAAGGGGGCAGGTCCCCGTGAAGCCCCGCCTTTAGGCCGGGGAAGGTCTGAAGCCTGGGGCAGGCTGCCAGTCTGAGGGGGATCTTGTGGTGCTTTTACGTGGGCCTGCCATGGCTGCCCATGTAACAATCAGCATGCCCTTCCCCGCTCTGAGGCCCACAGAAGCCCTGGGCTCAGCCACAGCAGAGCAGAGAAGCAGATAACCAGCTGCAGAGAGGAGCTAGGAGCTACTTTGCTGATAGCTGGAGAATGTAGGGACAACCAGCGGCAGAGAGGAGCTTCCACTCCAGGGAGACCTGTCTGTAGAGAGGAGCAACCTAACCCAGGGCTTTCTACGCTCTGCTGAGAGCTGAACACTCGTCCAGACACCCTGGCTACAGAAAAGAGCTATCTACAGCAGGTCTCTGAGCTATTCTACTGCTCAATAAAGCTCTTCTTCCTCTTGCTCATCCTCCGCTTGTCTCTGTGCCTCATCTTTCTGGTTGCAGGACGAGAACTTGGGGCCTGTCAAATGGCAAGTCTAGAAGAGCTGTACCACAAACCCACAAACAGGACTGAAACATGCCCTTTGCTCACCTCGTTGTGGGCGAACAGAGGGAGAGAAGAGCTACAGCCCTTGTAGGAGCCCAGACCTGGGAGCTCTCCTAACCAGGGCTGTTAGTCCCTCTTTAAGGCCCTGCGGTTCCTGGCATCTCAGAGCTTCTGGGTGCCACCACATTCTCCAGTGCCAGCTGCTTGTGGGGTGCCTGTCCAGCTGCAGCCTTGCAGAGAGCTGGCACCCATGCCAGCACCTGGTGCTGCCTGCATTGCAGTAGCTGAAGGGTCTGACTGCGTAGAAGCTGGACCTCACGCTTGCTGACACACCCCTCGCCACTCCATGCCTAACTCACCCTTGGGAGGCATGGGATACAGGCTAGTAGCTTGAGCCAAGCATAGCCTGCCAGGCTGAGTGGGTGGAACTAGCCCAGCAGGCCGAGCAAAACTCAGGAAAAGGCACCACTGGACAGAGGTTTTAGGCCAGAAAATCTACACCCCCAAGGATCCCATAACACTATTGTGCCTGAAATCCTGACTTGGTTGTCTGACGCAGTTTTCCTTGGCCAATCCCCCTACTTGAGACTAGACACACGTCCTCCATCTGTAATAGTGCTGGACCTGGACCTCAGCTCCAGCTATGTTAGAAGGCGTACATTTCCTGAAGACTTCATACCTCTATTCTATCAGTCCTAGAGCCGCTGAGTGGTTCTGATTGTTTTACAAACTGAAAAATTAAGCCAAAAATAATATCTAGGAACGTCTCTCACTCTCTCACAGATTCCAGTATCAAGATAAATTAAGTTTATCATAGCTTTTACTTAAGCAAACAAGCTATATCAAGACCCCCATACATGCTTTGAAGTTCATCCTAAGTGTTATGGATTATGAAAAATTTGCTGTAATAAATGTTCAGTGGATGAACATCTAGTACCTTTTACCCAAGTGTGATTATATTTGGCCTCAGAATAAATAATACAGTCTTTTCCAACCTCTCAACAGTTGCCAAAGTGCAGGAAAGGATAAGATTATGGCGTGAAATAATTCACGTGAAGCAGTTCATTAGGAAATACATACTGAGCTTCAAAAACACTTTGTGTATGCGTGTGTTTGTGTGTGAAAAAGAAAAATAAGACAAGAATAAAATTGTGTAAGGTGATTGAAGAAAAAGCACACTAATGTTCCTTTAGGTATCGTGCATATATACACAAGATATAGAGAAAAGGGAGGGTTAGAAGCATTATGGCATTTTTCAAAGAACTAGATATCAGTTTCTTTGAAATTTTTATTACATTTTACTCTGCTCTCTTGTCTAGAATACATTCAAGTGCACGTGTTTGCTGCTGCTAGAAGTTTGCCTATGAAATTCAGATTTATGGTTACCCTGGAATAAATTATAAAGCTGCTTTTCAAATCTCACACACAAAAAAACATGATTACATAATTGAGTTTCTGATCCTGCAGGCCCCTGAACTTCTGTTTGTGAAATGTTATTATGAAATCTTATTTCTCTATACTACGGTTTTCTCATCAGTCCTGTCCTAGTAGTGTCATTTCATGTTAAGCTGACTGATGAGATACAATAACACTCCATAAGGATACATTGCCTTAATTTTAATCTCAGATTATTTTGACTTGTAAAATGAATTTTCTTTATGTATTACCAGGTATTATGGTTAATTTTATGTGTGCATTTGGCTAGGCATCAGTACCCAGATATTTGGGCAAACATGATTCTGCATGTATTATGAAGGTATTTTTTAGGTAAGATTAACATTTAAAACAGCTGAATTTGAGCAATTACATTCCAAAGCAGATTACATTCCATTATGCTGGTAGGCCTCATCCAATTAGTTGAAGGCCTTAATAGAAAACTGCCTTCAAACTCAAACTGAAGCATCAACTCTTACCTGGGTCTTCAGCCTGCTAGCCTATCCTTCAGATTTTGGAATTGCTAGCTCCCACAATTTTGTAACCTAATTCCTTAAAATCTCTCTCTCTCTTTCTCTCTCCAGAATTATCAATAGGCTATATGTGCCTATATATATACATATACATACACATATGTATATATACATCTGTGTATATATAAACACGTGTATATACATACACATACACATCTGTATATATATGTGTGTGTGTATATATATGTTTCTGTTTCTCTGGATGATATTAATACACCAGTCAAAATGTTAGCTGCATTATAAATATAAATGGTTCTAAATGCCTCTTCTAGGCAAAATTATTATCACTCAATGATTGTACTTTCTTCAATTTTTGTATAAGCACACTGAATTCTTATATATTTTGGGAGAATGATGCTATATTTTCTTTATATTCATTAGCAGGTTAGTGTGAATTAATTTGTCCTATCACTTTGATTCAAGTGTTGGCCAGGAGAATTGGTTAAATTACTACTAAGTGGTTAGAAAAAGCTGGATATACAAAATGATTCCTTAGGAGAAAGAGGATCTCATATGAATGTTTTTCTCAGGTAATAGATTAGGATCAGGTTAGGATTAGGGATGGGAAGAAAAGAAGACAGATTCCCTGTGTGCTCAAGTAAGCCACAGTGGAGAATTAAACCAACAAGCAAATAAAACCTTGACCAAAACTTTAGGAGAAAGGGGGAGTGTTAGGCTTGAATCTAGAATAATATCTCCTGAGAAAGTGATAAACATAATTAAACAAAAAAGTATTTCCATGGAAGGCAATTGTAGTATAGTAAAAGGTAGTATTGACCCCAAACTCCAGATGTGAGTTATAATTCAATAAACTTAGGCAAGTTTTATTATTTACTCCAAGTCGTAGTTTACTCATGTTTCATGCTAATATTAAGGCCCCAAGATTTTAAGAAAATGTGTCATGTAAAATATTCATTAGTTCTAAAATCTTGCTGTGAAACAGGCTTTAAAAAAAGTATGTAGAGTTCTTTAAAAGTTTAGTCTACTGGGACTCTACCTCAGAAATACTGGTTTAGAATCTCTGAGCACTGGTACCTCTAAACTATCTCTGGAAAACTGTCTTCAGCTAATACTGATCCAGTTGTTGAATGTATATGCCTTTGAAATTTATTGAGCTCTGAAATGTCTTGTTCACTAAATGGCCTAGAGATAATTCTCCATGAAAAGATGATCCTGAATGGGTGCTATGAATGAATGGGTCTTCATGCCTTCCTGTTTCTCTTGCCATCATATGGCAAATTTCCACTATGTGAAGGATTCTATGTGTGACACTATGTGAGATACAAACCCAATATATAGCAAGAGACAGCTTTCAAGAAGGTACTATTTTTTAGTAAGGCAATATAAATTCACAAATACCTATAAAACATGATGAAATACAGAAAATTGCATAATAGACACACATGACTGATTTCTAAGTTATGGGGATAGATACCAAGGAATGAAAAAGAAATGTCAATTTCCATGAATTTTTAAAATATGTGCAGCAAGTAAATTGAGAGGATTCTGTCAATTGAAGAATGATGAGGTTCATAAATTTGGAAAGGAGAGACTTATTTCTTATAAAGAGTTGCAGCCTGCCTGGTGGATATTCTTTTTCTGTTTTCCTTTTGACACAGGGTCTCACTTTATTGTGCAGGCTGGAGTGCAGTTGTACCATCATGGCTCACTGCAGCCTCAATCTCCCAGGCCCAGGAAATTCTCCCACTTCAGCCTCCTGAGTAGCTGGGACAGCAGGAATGCACCACCATGCCTGGTTAAATTTTTAAATTTGTGTAGAGATGGAGTCTCACTATGTTGCCCAGGCTTGTCTTGAACTCCTGGGCTCAAGCGATCCTCCTTTATCAGCCTCTCAAAAGGCTGGGCTGGAATTACAAGAAGATACATTCCTTCTTGTATTAGTAAGGAAAGCGTATTAAGAGCAAAATTTCCAGAGAATAATTTCATTTTAGGTAATGGGAAAAAAATAGTGATGAATGTAGAGATATTTTTATTTGTAGGTAAGATCTTCAAGAGCTGAGAGAATTTTTTTATAGAGAAGCTGTAGTATATAGACTGTGAAGTAGAAGAAATTTTACATAGGGCAATATCACAAAGTTGATTATTTTTTCATAATTTAGTTTTGTTTTCTTAAATAAATTACAATATGGGTATATCTCATACTTTAACAGTCTTTCCTATATACAAAGTATAAGATTTGTAGTTTTCTTGGTAAATATATAAGTGATTGAATAAAGTGATTGGACTATTAAGAGAGGATTCATTCCTACCTTAGTAATAATTTCTACATAAGATACAGAAGTAAACTTTTTATTTATTTTATTGATTCATATTCTGAAAAAGTTTCCTGTAGAAAGAGTTAAAGTGAATGTACTATATCAACCTTCAAATTTATAAGACATTTTGCATTTTCTAAATTCCTTGTAGATACTTAAAAAGATAACTTTTTCAAAATCAACCTATTCGTTTATAAATTGATAAAAACCTAGTCTTATGTGGGTGATTTTTGCCAGGATATTCATAGCCCAAATAATATTTTAGTGAAAAAAATTCAAATTTATTAATGCTGAATTCAATCAAGATAAAAATTGATGTAAACATCCTAAGTGTTATGGATTATGAAAATTTGCTGTAATAAATGTTCAGTGGATGAACATCTAGTATCTTTTACCCAAGTATGATTATATTTTGGCCTCAGAATAAATAATACAGTCTTTTCCAGCCTCTCAACAGTTGCCAAAGTATAGGAGAGGATAAGATTATGTCATGAAATAATTCACATGAAGCAGTTCATTAGGAAATACATACTGAGCTTCTATAATATATGTACTTCCAATAATTGAGAACAATACTTAGAGCATGATAGCATTGTGTGGGCTTTTAGCCTTCATTTAACTTTTCTACTTTATTTAACTGGTATTACTAGAAAATACTTTTACAATCTTTGTCTAATTAATAGTCTTAAAAATATAATGGTGGATTCCACTGGATATTCTAAATAATTTTCTGCTTGTTCTCTGCCTATATCAAGTCTACAGCAACAAAAACAGCCATGCAACTCCCCCTGCATATTAAATTAACATTAATTTTAGGAATTGAATAGATCTAGTGAATGATTAATATGTGCTAACCGACTTACCATTTTAGGGCAATATTTGCACATGGCTAAACAAATAGATCTTTGCAGAAGATAATGAGATACGTGTCTGTTCTTTGCTTTCTACATTTATTTGGATCACTGTACAATCATTAAGCTGAAGTCTATCTTAAAGAGGAGAGAGGGCTGCTGGCAGGAAGCCACTTTGGCAGGCTCTTCTATGTTGTGGTCTGTTTGGTTCATCCACAGAGACATGGATTAATATAGAATTATAAGAAATCCTATTGAGTAAAGGCCTACTGGATGAGAAAAGGGAAAATTAATTTAAGCCTCTTTACTCCTTCAACATAACCTTTTAAAATACTAGGTTACAGCATGTTCATTTCACTTGTGATTCTGATGTAAGATACTAATGGAAATGACATTTGAAAAGGGACTGATGTGTGTATAAACTGTCACTGGCAGGTCCTAAAAGTACCTTTTCATGTGCGCATTCAGTATGATGACATTTTCCAGGTTATGGGAGTAGATTAGAAGTTATGAAATTCAAAGCCTATAAAGGCATGTTCAATCTCTATCTCTTAGAGGGTAAAGAGTTCTGAAATCTTGATTTATGGAATAAAACATTAACCCAGGACATTGTTAAGGATATCATAATTTTTTGTCTATTGTTTTAATCTGAGGATGGAGGCTTAGAAACATTTTTGTTTTTTCTTAGCCTGTATGAAATCCACTGCGATGCAACCCTGGGATAGTGAATTGGATTCCTTTAGCTCGTGTACCCAACATCTTGGTCAGTCATAGATGAGGGTCCATCTGACCTAATAGTAATACTAATACAATGCATATGCGAGAGTGCAGAATGTTCAAAGCTCTTCCATCTATATCAACTATTTTCTCCTCTCACACAATTCTATAACTGGTCTCATTTTGTAGTTAAGTCGACAGGGGATGAGAGATTTAAGTGACTTCTACAACATTATAGAGTCAGAGATGGAGCTGGGAGATGCATTAAGGCCTTTGAAATCTACTCTTACCCATATGTTTCCTAGTAGTGTCAGCTGTTGACCATCAAATGTATGTGTAGCTTATATTGTTCTCAGAAATTTTTTTAAAAAAAAGGAAAAGAGAAAAGAAAAAGGAGGAAAAAAAGAGAAGAAAAGAAAAGAAAGAAACAACTTTTGGAGTTTTGGCAGAAATATTTCTAGTGCCCTAAAATGAAGACAAGGCCTCAGATTCCAAGGGCACAGATGTGTGGCATGCAGTGAAGTGGCCACTAGCCAGACAGCCAAATCCCCATCCAGGGAATGCTCGGCGCTGGTGCCAGAGGAATAGAGTGGGGGAGGGGCAATAAATGACCAGTGTGCCCAATAAGATGAAAAGGCCAAAATGTTGCTTGCTCAGCTTAGCTTACTATTTTAACCAAAAGTTTGGAAGCCATAGCTAATGAAGGTATCCAAAAAACGTTTGAATAGTTGCTATATGCAATAGCCTGGAAAATGAGAATGCAAAGACAAACAGAAGGAATGATACTGTGGGTCTATGTGTCCTTCGTGCTGCAATGAGAATAACTCAGCTCACTGGAAACTTCCAGGGAAGATGGCAACTTTTCAGGAGTGATTGTTTTGAGATTCTTTTCCCAAGTGTTTCTATATTTTAACAGGTTTAACAATTTTAGTCATGAATGAGAAATCAAGCAACAGAAATCTAGTGTAGAAAAATCACAATTAATATTTTTAAAGACTTAATATGTCCTCTATTGGCTTAGTAGTAGCTTGTGTTTAATTAACTCAAAAAGACTTTAGACTTGGCCATGAAAAAAACTTGTATCTTTTCCACTTACTGCTCACTGCTAATTCATTTCTCTTTCTCTTTTCTTTATTGATATATATGGTTGGGGACGTTAAGGGCAGGAGAGGAATGAAAGGGCCTGTAATGTAAATGTGAAAGGTACATTTTATGTGCTTTATTCATGATAAAAAGAACAAATGAAAAGAGCAAGTTTTCATTTGTCATGAATAAAGCATATAAATGTATCATGAATAAAGCACATTTCATTTATCATGAATAAAACACATAAAATGTAAAAAATCAATTTTTTGTAATGAAGCATTGTTAAACGCCATGAATAGTTGAGAATGTTCAAGTCATTAATGACAAAACATATCTTTAGTTGGTGTATTAGGCTGTTCTTGCATTGCTATAAATACATAACTGAGACTGAGTAATTTATAAAGAAAAGAGGTTGAATAGGTTCATGGTTCTGCAGGCTGTATAGGAAGCACAATGACTTCTGTTTCTGGGGAAGCCTCAGGAAGCTTCCAATCACAATGGAAGGCAAATAGGGAGCAAGCACATTACATGGTGAGAACAGGAGCAAGAGAGAAAGAGAGTGGGGGTGGGGGCGGGGGAGAGGTGCCACATAATTCTAAACAACCAGACCTCACAAGAACTCACTCACTATCACAAGGACACCACCAAGGGGATGGTGATAAAACATTTATGAGAAATCCATCCGCATGATCCAAACACCTCCAACCAGGCTCCACCTCCAACAATTAGATATGAGATTTGGGCAGATCCAAGTCATATCAGTTGGCAAAAGTATTTGGAATATATCTGTGCATATGTACCTATAATCTGTATATCTACATATCTATGTATCTATCTATTTATATGTGTAGATTGCTATATCTACCTATTTTTCTGTCTAATGGGTGGTTACAATGGATATTATCCATTATTTTCACTCTCAGGCAAAAACTAGATTTTATGCATATATTTTATACAGAAGTACTAGAATATCGTCTGCTAGATTTGCTGAATTTGTAAGTACTGTTTTCCGTGAAGATAGTTGTCTGCCTAACAGGAGGTGGAAAGAACTGGATGCTTTCTACTTCCTAACCCACCCCTGGTAGAAGGATGATGTCAGAGAATGCTTTGGGGACCACAGTGAGAGGATGCTTTGGAGAACTGAGTGTGGGTCCCTGGGTCCAGGAGATAGAAACCAGCATCAATCTATTCAGGTGTCTGAATATAACTTACAATTCTGGCAGGATATAGGCTCGGGAGTACATAGAAGAAAAGGCAGAGCCTTCACTATGAACCCAACTAAAGGTGGCCACCAGGTAGGACTAAGCAAGTCCGAGTCGGGGGCTGCATGTTGATATGCACATGGAGCACAGGCTGAGTAGCAGGATGTTTGCTGTGGAGGGAATGCCTCAGAAAACTGCAGGACGGTGATGTTCAGAGGAGAGGTTGTCAAGGAGCCTGGGAGGCACCAACAGGAGATAGTCAGCTGGAGGAACTGACCCCCAAGAGCAGTGACATTTGACTGCTCCAGTGTCAATGTACAAGTGAGGTAGGTTGTGCCCCCTTTCCCTCCCAGCCCACCTCTCCTGCAGCTCATTGAGTGGGTAAGAAATAGAAAAGTAATGAGGAAAAAAAAAGTAACAAACATGCAAACACACACACACACAACACACACACACACACACAAACAGCCCAGGCAGGCTGACCCAAGTAGTGGCTAAGGCTGGAACTTGTAAGTGCATTTCTGCGTGTGTGTGTGTGTATGTGTGTGTGTGTGTTTATGTGTGTATGTGTGTGGGTATCTAGAATGTGTGTGTGTGTGTGCATGTAGAATCTTTGAAATGGATGTAAGATTAAAGTTTAGATTTGAAGTTTGACCTTGGCTAACTTCAATGCCATTTGAGAAACCTCAGCAAACATTACCAACTATAAAATTTATGTTGTGACACATACATATCACTTGCTTATGAATAAGCCATCTAGATACTTATGCTTATTTGTGCTCTGAATATATATCATAAGAAATATGTGCATAAAACAAATTTTCATGCAATAAAATTGTGCGGCTTTTTTTGTAACTTGTTGATATTTATGATTAATGCTTGCCCATAAATGTCTACATTTAAAATGTAGTGAGAATTTTCAAATTGCATTCCTTTTTTTAAATTACTAAAAACCCATTTGATGAAATTTGCTTAGTAATTACCAAAGAATTTTTATTCAACTGTAATACTGATATACTAATATACTGACTTTTAAACAAGTTTTGCTGCTTGGCATTTGTACTTTCATAGTATATATAAGTTTTAAACAAATCTCTCATCTATGCCATTTCTAGTTTGAAATATTTCCCACTATATTAAATATGATTTTTATGTTTCTTAAATATAATGTTTAGTGGTTTTATCCTTTGACCATAATGGCTATTAGATTTTTTTAAAGGTAGAATAATAATTTTTAAATCATTTTTCACTAAACTAAACTAATGAGCAATTAGGATGTGAATTTTAGAGCTAGCTGGATAATGGACATGACTAATCAGGGAAGACAGAAGAAAATGAAAGGCTTCAAAATACACACACAATCTCTTCACCATTATGCAACTATTCATTCATAGGTATCCCATCAATGAATCATGAGGCAAGAGTTATTCCAGAAATGAGGAAAAAAATATATGTCAAGACCATTGCCTACAGTCAAAGCTTGTATTTTCCTCATTAACCAAAGTTTGTTTGAATTCAAAGCTCATTCACTTATTAATCATTATTTCCTGGGGAGAAATATGGAATGAATTTGATTTTCATCTACATTTGATTAATGTTTCCTAGTAAAACCACATTTTGCTAAATTCAAAATGTATCATGTGAAACTTCTTGGTTTTCTTTGATCCTTTTTATCTACCTCAATGATGTCATTAACATATTTTACAACTTAATTTTTTTATAGAGGGAAACATATGCCAAAGGAGCATGTATGCAAGTCCATATTACATCCATATTACACCCCCTTGCACCTTATTTTCAGTCTGAGTAGTTCTGATTCCTTTGTCTACTGACAGAGTGTGGACAGTACCTCTAAGATTTCATTTTAGGCAATGTGTCTGCTCTCTGAGAAATAGGACAGCTTGAAGCACTACACTAGAAGCAGGCGGAAGTGCTATTAGACAGGCACTGGCTGCTGATTGCCAAGAATCACCAGGGGCAGGGGATGAGACATGTGGAATTGACAGATGGTGAGAGATTATTGTTGTTCTGCAAAGCAAGATGTCAAAAGATATTCCTAGCTGTTTGCCAGATGACAGACCCGTTGGGGATATTTTGTGTGAAATGATTATTCTCAGTCACATTCAGAACTTTAAGCAATGATGTCAGCATTATCCTAGAGATTAAGAAAAAAAAAGAAAAAAGGAAAGAAAAGAAAAGGGCATGCAGAAGCAGACACCCAGTCTGTCTTCTAGAGAGCCATAAAATGTTTTCTTATTTCCTGGCTACATATAGTTCTTTTTAATGATTTGCATTCAATGATCTGGAAAGTGTCAACCCATATACATTGTGTCTGAATTGAAAACCCTGAGGTACACTGCTAAAAGATGGACTTTGGAGTTCTACTTTGCTGGTTTCTCCAAACAAGCAAACAAATCAACAATAACAACAACAACAAAAACAAACAAACAACAACAAAAAAAACCACCTTCTTCTCAAAAACTACCTACTTTAAAATGACTATGCCATGGAATAAACTCTACCCGACTTTTCTACATGCTTTTTTCTTTCTTTTTTCTTTTCTTTCTTTCTTTCTTTTTTAATATTTAGGGTACTGCTGTCATCATTGCTTAAGAACTTGTGTGTAAATGCACAAAAAGAGACTTTCAAACAGATCGATGTTAGCAGCTCAACATAGGAATCAGCTGCACTAATTAGAGTGGCTCTTTCTTATGTAGCTGACTCCACGATAATCAATTGTGAAAGCAATTAGGAATAGATTCCAAGTGTCTGCACAAAGGTTTGTGGTGTGACTAACAGGTAGCTGAATGTGTCCTATAAGTAAACGGATATAAATTAAAGACTAACATAACCTAAGATACTATATGAAAAGGCCAAGGAATTATACAGAAAGTTAAGAAGACATTAGTATGTGTGGGTGGAAGCTTAATGGAAATGAAAATCACATCTTGGATTAAAGAGTGATTTCTAAGTGCACCATAAGAACCTTCATTTAACAATTTTCATAACTGCTATCAAGATGTAATAATGTTCAAACTTCTCAATGTGTATCATTCTTAGACCTTGGTGTGCTTAGCAAATATGTGTTGCATGCCTGCTTTTTCACAGGAAAGCAGAATGGGCTGCTCAGATACTTACCTCTACTCTAACTTACTACTAGCGTCCTGTACCCGCAGGTCCCTCATAGTAATAGTTCCTTTCTCTATGATTACTACAGATAACCACCACTTATGAATTAACTTGAGAATTCGATAACATCATAATTTTAGTAGCATTAGATATATATAATACTCTGGTCAACAAACCTAAGATACAAAGACTTCATTTAAGTGTTATAGTTGTTTTTTCCCTTTTTCCCCCACTCTAAGTCCTAGACTAAAGATTTGTGTTCCATTTGTTGATACAGAAGCTATATCTGGCTTGAAAAAATGGCACAATTTCTTTACGTAAAGCCCAAGTACGTCACTACTTACACACTGCTTCTTTCTAACATCTAGGAGAAGCCAAATCATAATGTTTACATAAACCTGTTGATTTACTTCAAAAGACCCACAAAAAGAAATGTGACAAAATTTGAACAGCAATACTACTATTTAGGTATTTTTTCCATGAAAATTGAACTAAGTTATTTATCCCAAAAATATTCCCCAAAGAAAGCACAGCGTTTTTTTATTATGGAAACTTGAGAATTTTCCATAAAAGATTTTAAAGTCCATGTAGAGTTTAAAAGGTATATTACAGTATATTACTTATCAAAAATTGCCAATAAACCTGTTTTAAAATTCCAGTGCTGCACCCAAAAGCCCTGTGTAACACCCTTAATTGCCTTACAACTCCTCTATAATTCTGGATGGGAAATAAAGGCAATGGCGTAACAGGAAAGTGAAAAATTCATTCCTTCATGTTATAATCCATAAGTATAAGTTCACAATTAAATCAACACAATTTGTTGTTTGATTTCATTGGGGAAAATTGGACTCAAACTGCTTTTATCATATGCTGTACCTTCAATTTGACAGTTTGCTATTCAGCAAAATGTCTCCATTTGGGAAAATTATGTGCTAAATGACACACTTGTAATTTCTGCATTAATATGATCCCAGGATTTAAATTCAAATACAGTGTAAGACCTAGTTTTCATGGAAAATACATCTTATTTGGATTTAATAGAAAATAAATAGAATCTACAACACAATCTTCAATAATCTTCTGTTCTAAAATATTAATAAATCACTGTTAATATTTTTTAATATTTCCTGAAGTGTAACCAAGTAATAGTATACTTTTGTGCTCACAAATTATTATTATCCACAACACATTCAATAGTCTTCTATTCTAAAATATTAATAAATCACTGTTAATCAATATTTTTTTAATATTTCCTGAAATGTAACCAAATACTAGTATAATTTTGTGCTCACAAATTATTTAGGGTCATGAGAAATGTGTAGATATTTGAGCTGCAATCCATTCTTATCATTGTTTTCTCTTTACTAAATTTAAGTGTATGAGTGTGTGTATTTGCATTTCGAGTTGGTGACAAAAAAAGAAAATAAAAACATATAGTTTCTTTCATGGTTACAAATAACAGATTTAATTCATCTTATGTGGATATACTGTACACTCATGGTCTTAATCTTCCAACAGATCATCTATGTAATGTTTTCAAGGGCAAGTAATAAATAATACTCAAAATAGAATAAGTTTTGGAATTTCAACAAAAGAAATAAAATAAAAAAACCAAAGTAGGAAAACTTTATCCTTTTTTCTTGCTTTTTTCTTTGTTTATCCACTTATAATAGGTCTTTAAAAACATCCTGTTTTATTTTCATCTTTTCTACTGTTGCCTGCTGTCTGGTCTCTCTCTACAAAGTAGACTGTGGAATGGAATGCTGTTTCCCTATTCCCTACTTCCTAGTTGCCCTAAAGGAAAACTACCTAGTCTCTTTTTATTGTAAGGTTTTACTGCTCAATATCATGGGGAAACACATAAAAAATAAAAATATTTTAAATAAGGTTAAACATGCTCATAGTATATGCCTGAGAGCTAAGTCAGATTGACAAGATTATTGTTTTGGTTTCACCACTTATTATTAGCTTAGTCAAGATATTTAACTGCTTCTTTTTCTCTTCACTATGACCTTAGTCAAGATATTTAACTGCTTCTTTTTCTCTTCACTATGACCTTAGTCAAGATATTTAACTGCTTCTTTTTCTCTTCACTATGAAGAGGATAATGGATCCCTACCTCACTTGGCATTATAATGATTGAATGAAGTACCTGTAGAATGCTTAATACGGTGCCTGACATATAGTAGTGATTCAATGCTCATTAGCTCATTAGTTATCTACATCCTTGAAATATCTACACTTCCCCTCTTTTTTTTTCTTCCTGACTTCTATTGTCGATCCTTCATTTGTATTTCAGGAAAATGAATAAATAAATGAATTCCTTCTTATCCTTATTTACCACCCTTCATTATTTTCTTAGGTGAAGGCAAAGACAGGAACGAGTGTTCCCTTGCCTAATGGGAGCATGATAATCTTTAAGAAATCCTCAGATTTCATGACATGTATTCCCCTAAAATTCAGATCCTGCAAATAATTTTTTCTGTAATGAATTATTGCAAGTAAAATAATTAGATCAGTGGCCATAGTAGTTCTCATTTAGTGTCATCTATTACTATTTGCTATCATTACTATATATTTTTGCTATTATTACTGACATTATTATTCTTTAGAGGATGATATGCTTTGGTTGTGTTCCCACCCAAATCTCATCTTGACTTGTAACCCCCACAATTCCCACATGTCCTGGAAGGAACCCGGTGGGAGGTGATTGACTTATAGGGGCGGGTCTTTTCTGCACTGTTCTCCTGATAGTAAATGAGTCTCACAAAATCTGATGGTTTTTGAAAATGGGAGTTTCCTTGCACAAGCTCTCCTCTTTTTTGCTTGCTGCCATCCACGTAAGATGTGACTTGATCCTCCTTGCCTTCCACCATAATTGTGAGGCTTCCCCAGTCACGTGGAACTGTAAGTCCAATTAAACCTTTTTCTTTTGTAAGTTGCCTAGTCTTGGGTGTGTCTTTATCAGCAGCATGAAAATAGACAAATACAGGGGATATTACTTTACAACTGTTGAAACTGCAGTGAGCAGTTTAATTTCAAATTTTGCTTAGTACATATTGGATTCTCTTGAAGTAATTCATAGCTCTTGAGCATATGTAGCTCCAGACACTCTGCTTCTTCTGTACGTGTAAGGGTCCCTTATCATCTCTGTTAACTTACGTTTTCACCCCCGAGGGTGCATGATGATAGGTTGCTAAAAATAATAGCAATACCAATAACTTCTCAATGTACAGACACTGTCCCCCTTATGCTGAGAAGAGATAATAGTAGGGGAAGCTTTTCAGCAGCATACTCAATATATAATTAAGCCTAGATTGGGAAAAATAATTTTTACTCTTGACTAATTGTGTAATATGCTGAGCTATATGATACATCAGGGATATGAGGTGGTGGGCCATATAATAAATCCATAATTATACTATAATCGTGCCTCAAAACAGGGTTTTACTGTATTATTGTTATTCTATTTTTTAACATAATAAAATGAGATGAAAACTGTGTGTCAAAGAATTACTCAGTTAGCAAGCAAGCTTTTTCTAATCAATTGTCCATTGTTTAATTGTAATCAATTGTCCATTGTTTAATAATTGTCCATTGTGTTTGTTTCTTCTTTTATTGTTAAAAAGAAAACAGTCACAGAGGCTAGCCATTTATGTCTACTAAAAGCAGACATGCTCATACAGAAGATGACTTTTTGAGTATTCAGGGTAAAGATTTCATTAAAAGGTAGCGTGATAGAAATGTACTGTATTGCAGTGAAATTCCAGGATAGTAGAAACCACTAGTTGTCTGGAAAGATCTGTTTAACTTATTTTTGTGAGCCTTGCATTGGACAGAATTCAAGCAAGGAATTTTATTAGGAGGTAGCATAGGGTGGAGAAAAGCAAAAGTGGAGGAGTGACAAAAAAGAAGGAGAAGCCAAGAAAAAGATTCTGTTGGGCAGTATGGAGTTCATGAGTTCTTCCCTGGGGGTTGTTATCAGTCTTGCTAAAGCTTTCTGGATGAGCCAAATAAATTATCATTGCCTTATATATAGCAATAGAATGAGTAATGGCGATTAGGCTTTCCTGACATTCATGCATTCACCTAACAAGTACTCACTGAGTATCCTTTTTTGTTTTTTGGAGACGAAGTCTCGCTCTGTCACCAGGCTGGAGCACAGTGGCATGACTCGGCTCACTGCAACATCAGACTCCCAGGTTCAAGTGATTCTCCTGCCTCAGCCTCCTGAGTAGCTGAGACTACAGGCGCATGCCACCACGCCCAACTAATTTTTGTATTTTCAGTAGAGACGGGGTTTCACCATGTTGACCAGGATGGTCTCGATCTCTTGACCTTGTGATCCACCCACCTCAGCCTCCCAAAGTGCAAGGATTACAGGTGTGAGCCACTGCACCCAGCCTCATTGAGTGTCTCTTATGTGTTAGGCATTGTTCTAGGTTCTGGAGGTATAGTAGTAAACAAAATTCACAAACATACCTGTCTTCCTGTAGTTTTCTTTCTGTTATGGGCTAGGGGAGATGTATATTAAAATCCACTAGATGGTTGTAAGTGCTATAGAAACAAAGCAGGAAAAGAAGATAAGGAATGCTAGAAAATGGGAAAACTTGAGTAGTAAGTCAAATAAGTCTTCTCTAAGCAGGTGACATTTGATTCCAGTCCTGAAAGAAACGAGGAAATGAGCCATGGAAATAATTATGGGAAGAATGTTTCAAGGCAAAAGAAAACAGCAAGTTCAAAAGCCTGGGTTGGAAGCAAACCTGGCATGGTTAAGAAATGGTTCACAAGCCAGTGTGTTTCTAGAATGAGCAAAGGGAGGAGTAGTAAGAGGTAGGCTGAGCAGAAGAAAAAGGATATCCAAGTTAACAGAATACAATTTTCTCATTGTATTTCAATCAAAATCTAATTATATTGAGAGCAGTTGAGTTACAGAGTATCCTGCCTCTTTTCATTTCTCTCATCTTAACTTTGCTTGATGGATATTTGATAATGTTACTTAGTCATCTAGCTCAAGAGTAAATCATCTATGGCATTGAAGGCCATTGTAAGGCAGCCAATGGAGGCTTAGAAGAGAGGAAAGCCATGATCTGAATTAGGTTTTTTGAGGATCACACTGGGTGGCTATGCCAAAAGTAGATGGCACAGGATGGAAGTAAAGGCCAGCCAAGAAACTATGGAAATAATCTAAGTGAGAGGTGATGGAGACTTGGATCACAATGGTAACAACAGTGCAGGTGGTGAGAAGGAACTGGTTCCATAAATATCTATTTTGAAGGTAGAACCTGAGAAACAGAGAGGATAGAGATGTTGATGATTGAAATGGGAAAGTCTGCAGGAGGAAAATATTATGGTTGGGAAAAAATGGAAATCAGTTTTGGACATGTGAAATTTGAAATACCTATTATTAGGCTACCAGCATTTATGAAAGTGAATATGCTATTGATTGATGTGTAATTGCCACAACATTGCAGCTGATTTGTACCACTCAGTTACTCATTCAACAGATATTTGTTAAAAGTTTATTACATGAGTGACACCATGGTTGGCACGGGGTATGTCTCAAGAGCAATACAGATACTTTTATGCCCTCTCTAGTTCCATTCGTCAAAATCAATATCAAAGACATAATTAGAGGAGCAATGAAAATATATTCACAGTGTCATTCGTTGTAGCTTGATGTTTAGTAGGTTTGAATGACATATATTATTCAACTTGATTAACATATATTGTAGTAACTGAGTAACATGTAGAAAGGGGTCACCATCCACTCCTAGACCTGTTTCTGATATCTTGCATTTACATATATCTTGCATTTACATATATCTTGCTCAGTTTGCAGGCTCTTCTGCATCTAGGATGGGAATTTCTTTGCCTCCTATAACCTTTGACCACAATGATCCTCTAACACAAGCAAGTCGTGTACAGCTTTTTCAAAATAAATTCCTACCGAAGACATAAGAAAAAAGAAAACAAAGATGAATTAATGCAGTACAATGTTCTTATTACAGGTTAACCAAAATCTAATTATATTGAGAGCTGATGAGTTATAAGCATGTTTGTCTTCCTATCTCTCATCCTAAGTGTACCTGATAGATGTTTGATAATATCATTCCAGTAGGTTGCTTAAGAGTGATTTAAAATTTATTTATTTGGGCCAGGCACGGTAGCTCATGCCTGTAATCCCAGCACTTTGGGAGGTGAAGGCAGGCAGATCACCTGAGGTCGGGAGTCTGAAACCAGCTTGGCCAACAGTGAGAAACCCAGTCTCTACTAAAAATATAAAAATTAGCTGGGTGGTATGGCAGGCTCCCATAATCCCAGCTACTCAGGAGGCTGAGGCAGGAGAATCGCTTGAATCCAGGAGGCAGAGGTTGCAGTGTGCTGAGACCATGCCATTGCACTCCAGCCTGGGTAACAGAGGGAAACTCTGTCCCTCCCCGCAAAAAAAAATTAAAAATTTTTTTAAATAAAATTCACTTATTTGGACTTTAGAGAGATTTCTGTTTCTGCCACGTTCTGATTCTGTCTTCTCTCTAGATACAGATTAGCTCTTAGGAAAAGCATCTATTTATACCCATTTTAAAAAATTTGGAATAGTCTTTTTCATTTGTCAAGAACACATTCAATAGCCACATTTAAACAGAATCATTAACTTTGGGGAAACTTGGCTTTGACACCTAATCTTCTATGCTGATTTACATGCTTATTTTCATTTTGGGGGGCATTCATGAAGGCTGAGGCCATCTTGTTCTGGAATAAAGCTGTATTGCTCAAGCCTTTGTCAACAGCTATGTCAGAAACTTGTGGTTTAGATGCTCTCCTTTTCCACCTTGATAGGATACCCTATCAATAACCTGTTTTCTAACTGAGGAACACTTGTGATACTCAGGTCATTTGCAGGTAGACGTGATTCAGCTTTTCCTGGTTCATGTTAGTACCACTACTTGCTTTTCCACTTTCTCTCCCCATTTTCCTCCAAGCAATAGTTTCACTTAGCTCAATATCTCTTTTAGGAATCTAATATTTTAAACATGAAACACGCTTAACAGACTACATTAAAAGATAAATGCTATTTTAAGAAATAATAAATATTGTTGTTCTTAAAAAATAATAAGCATTTTTTATTTTTAGAAATAAACAAATGATTATGGTTGTATTAATCTAAAATTATAAAATAGATGCACCATTTTATACAACTTATGAATTAATAGATTAAAAAAGTGTATTTCAGCAGGTATTGCTGTGTTTTGATAAGTTGCTTCTGATGGTAAAAAAAATTCAATGAAATGTAAAAAATTTGGTAATAATCATAAACAATGACCTACTTTATTGCCACTGACAAGAGTCACTTTACTGAAGTATATTTTAGATTACTATTTGAAGGAATTTCCCAGTGGCCATCTAGGGCTCTATAAATGTTAGGAACAACAAAAATCTTATTAATTTGTTAACAGCAATATATAATTCTTATACATTCCTTAAAGGGAAACTACTATACTACTACATAAACAAGTAGTCTAGTTAGAGTGATATTTTACAGAAATGTTATAAAAACATGTGAGCTCATGGTAAAACTGGAAAATTTTTGTGTGCTTTTACCCAAAGAGAAAGAATTAGGAAGTAATCCTACAAAAATGCATTTTGAAATCTTTCAATTTAAGATTAAAAGTAGCTATAGTAATAATATTAATATAATAGTTTTGATATTAAAATTATATTTCTTGTATATTAAATACATAGTTCAACATGGGCACACAAAAATAATCATTCACTTATATATTTATCCATCTAACAGACTTGTTTCCTCTTCTATCCAGGTCACTAGGATTACAAAGGATTGTGAATAAGTCACTCTACTGGCACTTAGATATTTATGATATACTGAAAACCAAATAATAATATTAGGGACATTGTAGAGCTATCTATTGCTTCCATGGGATTAAATAGAAAGATTATATAATTTTAAGAGAGATGAGTACAGGAAGTCTTTATCACAATAGTTGTTTTGACTGAGGGACAGTGGGAAAATTGGAAGGTTGAAGGGTACAAGAAAAGGCAGAGAGATTCAGTGAGTTCCATAGAGCAGAGAAACTTGTGAAAGAAACATTTTCAGAGACCTGGAAATGAGAGTGCACACATCAAGGAGCTATGAATGTTTCTTGGAATTAGAACTC
Source organism: Homo sapiens (assembly GCF_000001405.40). Taxonomy (NCBI): domain Eukaryota; kingdom Metazoa; phylum Chordata; class Mammalia; order Primates; family Hominidae; genus Homo; species Homo sapiens. The sequence goes on from NC_000018.10 coordinate 15,080,828, forward strand.
CCATTGAGTTTAGGGTAATGGTGAGAGAGTAATAAGAGTGAAGCGAAAATCAAAGACAAATTTTAAGGACTATGTAAAATATTTTAAAGAATTTAGTCTCTTTTCTAAAGAGTGTGTGTGTGTGTGTGCACGTGTGTGTGTATGTGTTATACATGATGTGTGAAGGGGAGGGTTACAAAGCAGATTAGTGTTAATAGTTATATTTCAGGAAAGACTCCTGGATGCAATGTAGAGAATGGCCTGGGTGAATTTAGGATAAACAGATGTGATCTAGTAATTATCTATTTCAGAACTGATGTAGAGATAGTGAGAACAGAAAATGATATTTGCAGAAGCAAGAAGTAATCCTAAAATAAATAACCAAGTAGGAATGACCAGTCACAACTAAAAATGGATGAAATTAGATACATTTAAAATTATACTTTCTAATAGGGTTTATTTGGAAAAAGCAGTGAGAAGCAGTCCATGGGGAGCTTTGGGTCTCTGTTAAACTGCTCAGTTGGTAGGAAATGCCATAAGTGGAGAATGTACATATATGTATGTATATATATGCATACATACAGAGAGAAAGAGAGAGAGAGAGAGATTTAAAATAGAGGGCATAAAAGACAAGTTTTACCTGCTTCAAAATTCAGCTTTGTGATGGCTCCAACTATATTACTACATAGGAAAGATTTGATAAGGAAACTCTCCAACAATTTTCATAATTTCAAACTCATATAATCAATAATAATGGAAGATGTTCCGGTTAGCCATTGCTGAGTAACACTTCTCCCCTGAGAAATAAAACCTTAATGGATTAATATAACAGCAATCATTGATTTTGCTTATGAATCTACAATTTGGGCAGAGCTCAGTAAAGATAACACGTAGCTGATCCCAACATTTGGAACCTCAGCTAGGATGACTCAAATCTTTAGGGCCTGAAACAGCTGAGGCTTGTTGGACGACTATGTCTCTCTCTCACTTCGGGTCATCTCAGGGTCTTCCTGTAGTTTCTTAGGATAGTCTAACTTCTTATATGGCATCTCAATGATCTGAGAACCAACATTCTAATAAATCTAGTGGAAGCTATGAGACTTCTTCTCAGCTAGCCTGAGAAGTCTAAGAATGTTATCCCTCGTGCCTTCTGTTGGACAAATCATTAAGGCCAGCACAAATTCAAGGAGAGGGGAATTAGACTTCACCTCTCAATATAAAACATAGGAAAATATTTGTGGCCATCTTTAATTTACCACAGAGGGCCACATTTCACTATGGCAGGGTGCTTGAAGTTTCTATTTCTAATCATTTCCCCTTAAAGGGAGTTGTTTACCATTGCCAACCTTGGAAAATAGTGTCTATTATAACACAACTACAAATTATTTATTTTAATCCCTGAACCAGTAACTGACCTGGCTGATTTTACTAAGGGAACGGGCAGATTTCTTTACAAATAATGACCAACTCCTTTCTTTTAAAAACCTAAATATTTGGCCAGGTGTGGTGGCTCATGCCTGTAATCCTAGCACTTTGGGAAGCTGAAATGGAAGAATAGCTTGAGGCCAGGAGGTCTAGACTGCAGTAATCTATGATCATGCCACTGCTCTCCAGCTTGTGTGACAAGTGAGACAGTGCTGCTAAAAAGAAGATAAAATAAAATTAATTAATTAAAAACAACAACAAAAACCCAGAAACAAACAAAAAAAACCCCATTAATAGTTGCTATCCATAAGCTATCATTTATGTTGAAGAAATTTAAACTTCTGTTAGTTACTTTAACGTGATTGGTAGAAATAGCCATCCTAGGCAGAGAGAGAAACATGCAGAAAGGTTAAAGACCCATGAGTGGAAGCGCAAGAGTGGTGTTTATCTGGAATGTGCCTCTGACAAAAAGAGGAGCTAAAAGGACACAGGGTCTCTGTTTTGAAGAAATGGTGGTGATAAGGCAAGGACCTCAGTGACTGATTATCTGGAGTCAGGGTTCTTCTTTAGCAGTGGAATGCAGTTAGTTAGGACTATGTCGTTTTAAACAGCATAGCAGAAGCCAAAAGGACGTAAAGTTTTTGGGAGTCCTGGTGCAAGTAATTGGCGAGGAGTTTAGACAATTGTGCAACCTGGATGTCTTTGCCATGCATGTGTCAGGGTTGAACACTTCCTGCATTAAAGAAGAAAGAATTTTCCCAGTCGTAAGCAGTGTTCCATAGTGGAATGTTCTACAACAGGACTTTAAATAAAATAAATGTTAAGTGTCAATCGTTATCCTGTTTGGAAACTAGAATGAGAGACACTTTATTTTTATTCTAGAGTTTTGATTACAGAATACAATAGAGACATATCAAGGAATAAATATTCTTAAATCATAATTTTAATTTACAGAAATAAAAGTGTATTTAGATTTTACCATGTTGGTTTTGAAACTTCTAAGTTTCTTCACACAAAGAAAATGCTTTCAAGATGCTCATTGAAGAGAAAATCAATCGCTCTAAACTAATTGTTATATGATTTTTGAAGACCCTTGTAATTAGATTCAAATATCTTATTTAGGGAATATTAATGATACGTAGTGTTTCTTTTTTTAACATTTTCAAGAAAGTAAAATGTAATGGAGTCTGTTTCCACTATCACTGCTGGAGTAAAAATAATAATGATTTTTTTTCTGTAAGGCAATTTTATTAAACCTATTATCAAGAGTGTTCTACACAAAAGGTCTTTAGAAAATTATAAAAATTATGTTGGATATTAAAATACTTGTTGCAAATATTCTGCAATATGGTAGGTACAGATTGAGAGAATTGTTTCAGCTCCTGTGTTAAATTACTTCAGTAGATAGAAAGTTTCACTGCCTTGAGGCCATATCAAATCAGTTCACTAATTCAACATTTTATAAATCCTTGTTTATTCTTCACCTGATTCTTAAAGATTAAGCAAAGAACATACATCAGGCCTAGGCTTAATGTCAACATTAAAAAGTTGCAGGAAGATTGTATTGAAAAATAAAAGGAAATATTTAGAAGTAAGAGAGGTAACAGTATAATGGAAGGGAAGGATGTCAAGAAAGAAAGCAAAATCCAAAATGGAAACATTACATAAAACTTACATTTCCTTACCTGTCACTTCGGTGCAGATATATTAACTACTCATTAAGCTCCAGTGAACCTGTGAGAATGTCCTTTTGTGAATTTTAAAGTGTACATATTCATGCGATGGCTCCAGCTTGAAAGAAAAGACCAAACTCTTTACCAAGGCATCATAAATTAATGCAAACTTATCCTTTCGAGTTGCTATATGTTGATAATTTAAGGAGTAGCACATGGATTAAATAAAAAGTAAATTTAAGCCAACCTAAGTCTAAATTGGCTTCACAAGAACAAATCCAGTTTTCTCTCATTCATAGAACGACTGGATGTAACTTCATTTGAAGCACCTAAATATTAAAAAATATATTTTTATATAAATCTATAGCTATGCCATTATATTCTATCAGTTTCCTCATTATGATTAATTTCCTCATTGATTGAATACTTCTGCAATGAGAACAGAAAGGAAATATACAATTGGAAGTATTTTCAGTTCACCAATTTAAAAAAAGTTGAATGAATCTTGTTGAATGATAGAAATCAAGTGCAGACAACATCAAGTGCACAGAATTCCCAGCCCATGGAACATTTTAATCATCAAGGGGAAACACAGCCTGTGTCTTCTTACTTAGCTAGACTGCAAGGGACTTGAGGCTAGAAACTGAGTCTTATGTGGAAAGATCTTTATCCCCACATAACTATCTGACACAGAGCAGATGCTGATTACTGTGTATTAAATTGAATGAAATCTTGATAGAAAGTTTGGTTTTATGAAAGCAACATCATGTCATTACATTCATAACCCAGAAGAAGATTTGCTTCTGAAGGAAAATACGTGAAGTAGTATTTGTAAAATAGTAATCTTGCACTATCAGACACTAGCATTCAAGTACAGAAAATAAAATGACACAGACATTTGGAAGGGATTGCTCTGGGTCTTCAAACAGCACGTTCAAGCTTCAGGATTGGTTTAAAAAGATATAGGGAACCTCAAAATTGATTGATTTTTCAAATGTTATTAGAATCAACCAAGTTTTATTAAAAAGAAGTGTTATATGATGGAGGTTTTTTTGCTAGATTCTATGGAATAGAAGAGAAGGGGTGGGGTTGTTAATATGTTCTCTTGCCATGAATCTTCCAAAACCCGGCTAAAGAAAAATTTGTCTACCCAACTTCCTTTTATTTCTGGCAAAAAATTGTTTTTCACTAATTATCCCCAGCTATACCAGATTCTGTAGTTTTTATTTTTAACTTTTCTCTACATGGTCTTACATCTGTGTACCCTTTGTGTTGGAATATTGGGTCTTAAAGTGGGAAATTCTTTAGGAGAGGTAGGTACAATGTGATTGTCCAAAGAGAAAAAAAGCATTTTAAACATTACTTGAAAGCTATTGTATTGGTATCTGCCTATAAGAAAAGTGGAGTGTACTTAATCAGATATCAGGAATTTTGATGGAACTTAATATTTAAAAACTCATATTTTCCTCCCTCTTCATTTACTTTTAAAGGAAGTCAGTGTGTCACCCTATAATTTTAAATGTACCTACTGCCCTCATTATGCATATTTTGTCTGATGTATACAAGGCTGTTCAGAAGATTCTTCACTTTTCCTGGTGAAAAATGGCCCATACATTTTAATAAATAAGATCTGGGCTTATTATTTTAAACTGCTTATTTTATGGTGATAATAAAACTCAAAAACAGGTACACAGGGAAATTAGTGTTAAACTGGGCAGAGACTCTTCTAGGAAAAAGCAAACATTTTCATTATAGGTATTGAAACAAAGTAAACCATGGAGGGTTTTAACATATTATATACCTGCTCATTTTGTGTTTGCCCTGGTTGACATTATCCTTTTCTTGCTTTTGCAATGACTTCATCATTGATACTGAAGTAAAAATAGTGGAGATAAAACTAACAATAATCCCTTTGACTTTTAGCTGGTGCATTTCCTAGTAATTTCCAAAACTTGAAAGTCACAGTTTGGGTAAATGTTAAAACAATATGTATTTCCATAAGCTGTAATACAATTCTTTGTAAATGGCAAAAGCACATTTGCCTTTTAATCAGAAAACAACTTGCTGAATCCAGACAACATGGCCTTCTCCAAGATGCTTGACATGAACAACAATAATAAAATTCAGTGGTATTTGATATTTTGCAGATGTTCTTAGATTGAAAATGGTAGCTTTACACATATTTGCACATGATCATTATAAAGCTATATTGGTCAATGTAGAAGAATAGAATATATTTAATGGGTTTTTAGGTTGATTTATAACTTTTAAGTATTTAGACATATGGTATGCAGGCTTACATTTGATTTCCTGTCCCGAGCCCCACAAATGCTAGGGACATGAATTTCTGAATAAACTATTACTGTAGTTACAGACAAATGTGGTTCATCTTGTTAAAGGGAACATTTTGCAAGCATCTAGATTTCTTACATCAGGGTAAAGAAATGGATGAAAGAGACATTTGATTGATGCCACTGTCACCCAGGTGTTTCAGATCTCACCAGGCCCCTTTTGTGTATTTAAAAGAAACAACCGTTGCAGCCAATAAGGGAATTTTAAAAGCTAGTCATGTTTTATGAATCGTGTGTATCTTGGTTTGAATGCTCATCAAAGATAATAAGTTTTGTTTACACTCATCATGAATGACTCCCCAAAGTTTGCAAATCCACCTGTAAGTCTTATTCTTATCAGAACACATCAATGAACTGTTCCCTACCTTTGATTTGAACGTAGATGTGAAGGATATGTTGATCATATTTGACAGTTCATAGAATAGAATTGGTTTCTGCAAAGGATAACTCTTGTTAATTCTATTCATATTTTTTCACTTATTTTTAGTTGACACATAATAATTGTATTATGTTGGTGCAAATGTAATTGCGGCTTTTTCACTGTTGGAATTTGCCATTTGATACTGGAATACATTCTTAAATTAATGTGCTTATGTTATATAGTGTTTTAATGGGCATTTTTTGCTTTATGTTTTCTTGCTAATGACTTATTACTTGCTGTTTGTTTGATATTTATTTTAGACTGTGGAAATGATGTTAGACAAAATGCAAATTCCAGTAGTTTTCTTATTCGAGTTCAAAGTGGGTCATAAAGCAGCGGAGACAACTTGCAAACTCAACAATGCATTTGGCCCAGAAACTGCTAACGAACATACAGTGCAGTGGTGGTTCAAGAGATTTTGCAAAGGAGACAAGAGCCTTGATGAGGATCACAGTGGCTGGCCATCCCAAGTTGACAATGACCAATTCAGAGCAATCATCGAAGCTGTTCCTTTTACAACTACATGAGAAGTTGCCAAGGAAATCAGTGTCGACCATTCTACAGTGATTCGGTATTTGAAGCAAATAGGAAAGGCAAAAAAGCTCGATAAGTGGGTGCCTCATGAGCTGAGTGAAAATCCAAAAATTTGACTTTTTGTAGTGTCATCTTATTCTATGCAACAACAACAAACCATTTCTCGATCAGATTGTGATGTCCGATGAAAACTGGATTTGATACGACAACCGGTGATGACCAGCTCAGTGGTTGGACTGAGAAGTTCCAAAGTCCTTCCCATAGCCAAATTTGCACCAAAAAAAAGGTCATGTTCACTGTTTGGTGGTCTGCTGCTGGTCTAATTTACCACAACGGTCTGAATCCTGGCGAAACCATTATACCTGAGAAGTATGCACAGCAAATCAATGAGATACACCAAAAACTGCAAAGCCTGCAGTCGGCACTGGTCAACATGAGGGGCCTGGTTCTTCTCCACAACAATGCCTGACCACATGTTGCACAACCAACGCTTCAAAAGTTGAACGAATTGGGCTACAAAGCTTTGACTTTTCTGCCATATTCACCTTACCTCCCTCCAGCCAACTACCACTTCTTCAAGCATCTCGACAACTTTTTGCAGGGAAAATGCTTCCACAACCAGCAGGATGCAGAAAATGCTTTCCAAGAGTTTGTCAAATCCCGAAGCACATACTTTTATGCTACAGGAATAAGCAAACTTATTTCTTGTTGGCAAAAAAGTGTTGATTATAATGACTCCTATTTTGATTAATAAAGATGTGTTTGAGCCTAGTTATAATGATTTGAAATTCACAGCCCAAAACCACAATTATTTTGCACCAACCTAAATCATATTTATGGCATCTAGTGATATTTCAATACATGGGTACAATGTGTAATGATCCAATTAAGGTAATCAAGATAAATAAAGATAATTAGCATACTCATAACAGTTTGGGGAACATTCGAAATTCTCTCTTCTAGCTTCTCAAAAATATATAATAAACTACTTTTAACTATATTCTCCCTACAGTGCTATAGAGCACTAGAACTTTTTCCTCATATCTAGCTGTAATTTTGTATGACTTAGCCAACTTCTCCCTACCCACCCATACCCCCTATACTTCCAAGCCTCTAATAAACACAATTCTCTCCACTTCTATGTGTTCAACTTCTTTCACTTCTTACATATGAGAACATTCAGTATAAATCTTTCTGTGCCTGAGTTACTTTACTCAACATAATGTCCTTTAGGCTTATCCCTGTTGCCACAAATGAAAGTATTTCATTCTTTTTATGGCTGAATAGTATTCCATTGTGTATATATATATATATATACCACATTTTCTTCATTCATCTGTTGATAGACATTTAGGTTGATTCTGTATCTTGTTCATTGTGAATAGCACTTCAATAAACATGGGAGTTCAGATATATCTTTGATAAGCTGATTTTCTTTTCTTTGGATAAATATTCAATAGTAAGATTGCTGGATAATATGGAAATTTTATACATAGTGTTTTGAGAAAACTCTACTGTTTTCCATTATGGCTGTATGAATTTATATCCCATTAACAGTATATAAGAATTCCCTTTTCTCTGCACAAATTTTTTGGGGGGTCTTTTTGATAGTAGCCATTCTAACTGGGGTGAGATGTTATCTCATTGTGGCTTTAATCTGCATTTCCCTGATGATTTGTGACGGATTTTTTATATACTTGTTGATCATTTGTATGTCTTTTTTTTGAGAAATGTCTACTCAGAAATGCCTGTGTTTTAATGGATTGTTTTTTGTTGTTGTTGTTGTTGTTGAGTTGTTTGAGTTCCTCATATATTCTGGGCATTAGTCCCTTGTCAGATGCATAGTTTGCAAATATTTTCTCCTAATCTACAGATAGTTTCCTCACGTTGTTGTTTCCTTTGTTATTTATGCAGGGAGTTTTAGTTCGATATATTCTTGTTTGTCTGTTTTAACTTTTGTTGCCTGTGCATTTGAGGTCTCATCAGTGAGACTAGATAGACTAGTCCTTATGCTTGACCCATTCTTTAGATGTTTAGAAAGATAATTTAGATGGAAATGTTCTTTCAAATAAAACTTGTAATTCTTAATATGATCCAGTAAACTCTACATTTTTTAGCCTCTGCTGACATTCAGCTCCTCTGAAGTAAGCATTAATGTGGTCTCGATTTTTATGAATGAAGACCAAGAATTATAGAAGTGAAAACCCTGCCTATAGCTTGTTTTGGATGTTATGATATCTAGATCTTCTAAGTCCTATAATCTTCACTCAAATATGACACTATATTTATTCAACACTCAGAAATGAAATAACTGTATTCCTACCACTCAGCTAAAACATGGGTCCACAAATACGAATACTGGAAAGCCTTTCCCATTGGACTCACCAAATTCTAGGTGGATGGTTACAGGGGTATGTGTGTTCCAAGACAGTGTTTTTTTTCTTTTTTCAATTGCCTTTTATATAATTTTCAAAAACTAGGAACTCACTTGTAAATGTTTTAGGTTGACATTTAAATGTTTTCATTGTAATAGTTGTAAATGGTGTATAATCTTTGGTACATTATAAACAGAAATATTTTGAAATAAAATCTATCAATTTTAACAACATATTTGATGAAATTGAAAATATATTGGCAATTTGATCCCTGCCATCATCCATATAGAAATATTCATGAACATGTTCATTCGTAGCATCTGGAAATCTTTGACTGTTCTTTTTTTTCTTTGAACATATAGTTCTATTTCACTTCCACAAAAAATTTATTCTACTGCATAGAATTATTTTATTGAACACTTTATCATTTTCTGCAACAAATATAGATGTATGAGTAGGCCGGGCGCCATGGCTTATGCCTGTAATCCCAGCATTTTGGGAGACCAAGGCAGGTGTATCACCTGAGGTCAGGAGTTCGAGACCAGCCTGACCAACATGGAGAAACCCCATCTCTACTAAAACTACAAAATTAGCCGGGCGTGGTGGCGCGTGCCTGTAATCCCAGCTACTCGGGAGACTGATGCAGGAGAATCGCTGGAACCCGTGAGGTAGAGGTTGCCGTGAGCTGAGGTCGCGCCATTACATTCCAGCCTGGGCAGTAAGAGTGAAAAAAAAAGAAGTATAGGAAGTATTAATTAATTAATTAATTATTATTGTAGGCAGAGTTTCGCTCTTGTTGCCCAGGCTGGAGTGCAATGTGGCGATCTCGGCTCATCACAACTTCCGCCTCCTGGTTTCAAGCGATTCTGCTGCCTCAGCCTCCCGAGGAGCTGGGATTACAGGCACGTGCCACCACGCCTGGCTAATTTTGTAACATTCAATGAAATGTTTATCTTGTATATTTAAATGGAAATAGCAGCTTGATTATTATTTTATGTGGAAAGTCATGATATAAGTATCCTTCATAGGTATTGGTACAGGTGTGTACATAACTATAAGTTATATGTGTGTGTATATATATATATATATATACACACAGACACACACACACGTATACACATGTGTGAAACACTTCATTAAATCAAAACCATCCGAATTATCAATCAATAAATGTTTAGTATCAATTAATAATAAATTCTATATGTACAATTATTCTTTCATAAAATAAATATTAACTCATTTTAGCATCACTATGCCATAAACTACATGAGTAAACTGTTTTATTTTCATATATATTTGCATTACCAAGTTGATATATTTTAAAATATATTTAATGCAAGGTTAACTTTGAATGAAGCCATTTACTACAATCAGAAATTTTAGAGGAAAAAGCAGAAGGGCAAAGTCACTATTCCCTTCTCCCTTAAGGTGTCCCTGGTTCTCACACAAATGCTTGAAAAGAGGTGGAACATGGAAAACACAGAAAGACCCTATTTGGCTTTAATACCTTCACTCATAAGTCACTGGAAACCAGTCATAAGGAGGGGTTTCTCTTTCCCTCAGTCTTCTCTCTCTAGGACTCCCAGGACTATCAGCTAGAAAACTGGAATTAGACTATATTGGACATTATGTTACACTGAATATTTTTTAGTGTCTGTCATTCTATTTATTCAACTGAATGTATAATATATTCCTAAGAAAGGTAGTTAATTAAATTATCAACCGACAAAAGGGAGATCTAATTCTTTCTTCTGTGTTCCTTCTCTTCCTCTTCCTACCTGCACACGCTCCCTCTCTCTCTCTGTCTCTCTCACTTCTTTTTTCCTTCACATATATACTCATTCACTCTTAAAAACAAAATTGCCACCATTTCAGGTTTCTTTCCCTATTGTATTTTTCTTCCACAACACAACTGCAGGATGTATCTTTCTATTATAGAATATTTATTATATAAAATATATTTTTATTCTTCAAAATTATTTTAATAAGTATTTTTATGCATTAAAAATATTATTAAAGATAATTTCTGGTGTTAGAGTGGGCATGGTAAAATGTGTACAATTATACATTGCTGATGGGGATCATTCCAAAAGATTCTTAGGTGGTCACAGAGGTTGAAGCCGCCCTGTGAGACTCAGATTCCCTGCTTCAGCAGGTCCTAGTCTGTGCCCACTTTGGCTTTAGAGTTATAAATACCAGGTGCCAATGTATGAAAATGTGTTGGTGTAAACACAACTTTATTTTTTAAAATTGACATGTCATAAAAGAATACCAAAGAGAATATTTTCATAAAAGCACAATAGGAAAAGAGAGGTATACTTACATATTTTGCAGCCTAAGGAAATGTAATGAGATGGTTGACATTCCTCAATTAAGGAATGTTAAGGGCTTAGTTTTAGGCTGAAGTAAAAATATATTTCTTATGCTTATACTACTTTTCTTTGAGTTCATTGCTAACACATTTTCCCCAACTGTTGATATCTCAGAACAGTATTTTTAGTAAAATAAAAAAACAATTTTATTTTATAAAAATGAGTAAATTTCTAATAGCATAATGTAAACAAAAAAAGTACATGTAACTCCATTTGGATAATATAATCTAAAATATTTTGTGTATTTCTTACTTGTCTTTTTATAAATACATATATAATTTGGATATAAATTCCTTAAATATACTTTTAAACTAACAATTCGTAGATGTGATTATTTATAATAATTTTTAGTTTTACTCTACACCTGTGTCATTAAATATTCTTCTATTGCATGATTTTTCATGGCTGCACACATTTTATTTCATGAATATTCCATGAGTTTCACCATTCCCTTACTACTAACAATTAAAATTATTGGAATGTTTTATTATTATAAATAAAATGTCAATAAACAGTATGGTAATAAGTACTCATATTCACTCTAATGATATCTTTAATATAAATTAGTAAGAATTGAAATAATGTGTAAAATGATATGAATTTTAAGCCTTTTGAAACATGCTATCAAAGTATCTTCTATTACAATTAAGATACTATTTTCTGTTCTTACAGCAGAACATCCATTCACACACACACATCCATTCACACACACACATCTTTTTAACATAGATAAATTGTTCCCAGTACCTGATTTGATACATAATTCTAACCCTGGACCAGAAGTGGACATCTGGCTCAGACATGCCCAGGCAGGCCAGCTGTTTCAGATGGTTGCCTTGGCTCCCACACTGACCCCTTCTTCAAATACTTCTCAAGGTCTAGTCATCCTCTGGTCATGAACTCCATGGAAGATTATTGCAAAATTGTACAACTGAAAAATAATTCAGGTTAATTAGCTTTCATTTTCATTCTGCCCACTGTGTGATGCTTTAAAAGGTTTGCTGCTTTAATTTAAAATCCCTTACAAAAGCAACTGGGCATTTGCCATTTTTTTTTATATCCTCCAACATTCTGATCCTTTAAACTCTGTCCAACAGCTTTACGTAGCACATGATTCTAATTAAAAGCCTCCACGAATGCTTGATGGCATTACTTTCACCACTGATTATATCAAAATAAATTGGTTGCTTCATACACTTAAAAATATATTAAAACTTTAAGACATTGGCTTTTTTGCCTCTCCATGTCTTTTCACCAGCATGAGTTACCTTTAAAAGTAACTATGTGATTTATTCACATATACCTTATAAACACTTAATAATGACAATACTTTATTATCAAAGAAAGTAATGTTTCCAAGATCAATTTAGCCTCTGACAGTAAAGGGAAATAATTCTACACTATTTCAGACCTTTATCATTTCTTACTAGGATAATTTCAAATGCCAAAATACCTCTACCTTCCTTGTTGTTGGATGTGTGTGTGTGTGTATGTGTGTCTGTGTGATTGTAGCTTTTAGCTATTTTAAATGCTCAAATGACTTGCTACTGTTGTCTAAAAATTTATTTTCTTAACATACAGTGCAGCGTTTTGGAAAAAACAAAGCTTAGATAGGTAAATTTCCCATTCTCTGACTTGTCAGTTACATAATCCTGGGAAAATTATCTTGACCATCGAAATTTAGTTTTTTCATTTATCAATAAGGGTGATGATTACCTTCTATAACTGTGGTACTTACCACTCTCTGAAGTTTCATACTATTCAAGTTAATTTCTCATTCTATTCCTCAATGTATCTCTTTATTTTCATGTGAATATGATGCATCTCCTACTCGTATAATCCCACTCTCAATCTTAAACTAAATTTGATACTCCAAGACATAGTGCCTTGGAGTGCCATTTGAAATCCGTATGTCAACCATTATTATTAATTATTATTTTATTTCATACAAGATTTTTGAAATTTGGCCCTCACTTTCAAAGCCTACCCTTTGCTTTTATTGTCTCACATCCCATTTACAATTTATGTGTCAGCTACACGAGAATGTTCAACACTCTCACCACTGCTTAGCCCTTCTATGCTACTGAACCTGCAGCCCTTTGCATGGCACACTGCCCTTCACCACCTTGGGAAAATTTCTCCTCTATGAAAGTTCTACTCTGTCCTCGAATATTTTGGATAAACATATATAATAACATTTATTTAAACGTTTATCTTTTAAAATTCAAATACCCTTGTGGAATAAAATACATCAGGTCAGTTTTTTACATCTCAGCATAAATTAAAATCTTAGCTCCCGCAAGATACTGAAGTTCATGTCTTTAACTCCTTTAGTCCTGTTTTTAGTCTCCGTAGGGTAACTTGGTATTGGTATTTCCACCTACTGTGGGCTCTGAGTCACAAAGAAAAAAATAACTGAGAGGATCTAACATTTATCAAGTGTGCTTACCACATGAGATTCACACACTAAGGCAATCATATTCTTTTATATTCATCCTTTAACTCTTTATGAAGTCACAGATAAATATTATTAATTATCAATAAAAATTTATAGACATTAGCTTTAACTCTCAGAAAGATGAATTTACTTTATTTATTTATTTATTTTATCTTACTTTTTTTTTTTTTGAGATGGAGTCTCGCTCTGTTTCCCAGGCTGGAGTGCAGTGGCATGATCTGAGCTCACTGCAATCTCTGCCTCCCATGTTCAAGTGATCCTCCTGCCTCAGCCTCCCAAGTAGCTGGGATTACAGGCACGTGCCACTGTGCCCAGCTAATTTTTGCATTTTTAATAGAGACAGGGTTTCGCCATGTTGACCAGGTTGGTCTTGAATTCCTGACCTCAGGGGATCCACCCACCTGGGCTTCCTAAAGTGCTGGGATTACAGGCGTGAGCCACCACACCCAGCCTGAATTCAAATTTGCAGGGTCACATAAAGATTAGAATTAAAAAAAATTGAATATCATAAAGTTAAAGTTACTCTGTTCTTCTGCTTGTAATTAAAGTATGTACTCTGATTGTTCTTCCTTAAAGCCAGTTCCGGTAGAATATAAAAAAAGTGGTTAGGTGGCTGCCCATGAAGTTTTCCCAGGACTTCTCATATTTCAATTATAATCTATTCTTAATAACTCTAGAATACTAATAAAGATAAATAGAGAAGAATAATAGCAGGCAAAGGTACCATACTGGATAGTTTTTCTCATTGGCTCTAGCAACAATGAAACTTCTAAGATTTTCATTTATTCAGTTGAGCCAAATCAAGCTGTAAGTATTCCCAAATCGATTTTGAAGAGGACACTATTCTTAAATGAAGTATTATAGCATATGAGTTAATATATCTCATGTAATTATGTAATACATTCAGAGAAAGAATAAGCATGTAAAATTTATCAAATTATAAATTGTATAGATACACTTTATATATTAAATATCAGAAATTTGCATTTTTGTGCTTTGATTTCACAAACATTGATATGTTTGATATGGCTTAGAAAACTTTGTGAGTAGTATTCTGCTAATATTGCCTGGAAAAATATAGGAGATAAAAAAAGACATACAAATGTTTTCAATAGTTAATTTAGTATTCTTATAAATTATAAAAAGTTTTTCTGCACAAGTCTATTATTAAGAAAATCAAAAACACATATTATGTAAGTATTTTACTAAGATGGCTATTTACATTACTTAAACATAATCTGCTGTTTCCTCCCTATAGTTTTTGCTGGAAGTAGTAGTGATAATGTATAGTAACTTCAGTGAGCAACACAACATAATTTGAACGTCTTCAATACGAGCCAAATATCTTGATTATATGTGACAATTATGATATTTATTAGTAGCTATGGGATGTGTTCTCTTTCACCAGAATGAATTGATATATGTAAAGTACTTATAAATATAGCTGGCACATTGTAGGCTCTTTATAAAGGCCAATAGCTTGATAGCTATTATTATATTAATAAAAATGCATTTTCTAACACAGGAGACCCAACTGACAATTATTTAGTTTTTTTATTTGCTTAATAAAAATCCAGCTCTGTGGAGGTTACAGTGGCCCAGAAGTCTCACCCAAACCTTTGTGGCTTTCCATGATTTACTTTGCTATCTATAGACTGTCTATTTTGTTGCCACTTATGATGGCAACATGACCTTAGTAATTTCTGTCAATGCATGCAGGCATAGTGATGTTGTCATGAAGAATATTTTCTTCTGTGCAGTTTTTTTTTATTAGGGTGGAAAATGTGGATACATTTTCCTTGAAAAATCAAGAAGATTAAGTTTCTTGCTAACTTCTAAACTAACCACTGTGAAGGAAAATGCCATTTATATGGCTGGCTAAAACCAATAATCATTCTAATAGTTAAAAGTGCATAGTGTAAAGGTAAATGCTTTAATAATATCAGGCTAAATCAGCAAAGGGTAAGAGAGCTACAGGTGGTGGTGTCAGTAATGGGGTTGTAGCAGTGGTGAATGGTTCTGGGGTAGGTGGCTGGCAATATCTGCAACAATATTATGAGCAATTCTTAGAATTGCTAATTAAAATTCAACATGCTTCCTACAGTAGACAGTGTTAGTGCCTCATGTAAAAACCGTGGATCCCCCGTAGGAACTGTGTGACCGCTCCTTAGGCTCTCTGTGCTTTGCTGCTAAAGACTGGCATGGAAAGTTTAGAGGACAGATTATCTTTTTAGAGCTGAGTTGTCTGTGGACAGCTTATGGCCCATAGCTAATGAATGGTTAGTGGAATACAACAGCTCAGCACACCTGTTTCCCCATAGGACCAACTATAAAGTGCAATTTACCCTCCAGAGCTCCCCATCCAGTCAGACTGAGGCTGGTGCCTCACCTGAAATCATAGCCTTGCTTGACTTGTTTTTTCCAGTTGTGTTTCCTACACTTTCTGAGTGGTTTCTTTTGGCAGAACTTCTTTATTGCATCACTTGCTCTCAAATCTTGTGTTCAGATTCTACTTCTGAAGGGCCATTAACTAAGATGGCTTCAGAAAGGTTTATTAACACATTCAATATCTGTCATTTTAAAATAGTAACCAATTATATAAGAATCATGTTTAGAACAGTTCTGATTTAATATCAGCACAAAGAAAGCTGATACAATTTAAAAAAATTATCACTTCCTCAGTTTCTTAATTTAAACTTTCATAACTGTTATTTTTCATGACTGGAATATCTTTTATTTTTTTGAAATGGAGTTTTGCCCTTGTCGTCCAGGCTGGGGTGCATTGGCATGATCTCAGCTCACTGCAACCTCCACCTCCTGGGTTCAAGCGATTCTCCTGTCTCAGCCTCCTGAGTAGCTGGGATTACAGGCTCTACCACCCTGCCTGGCTAATTTTTGTATTTTTAGTAGAGACAGAGTTTCACCATGTTGGTCAGACTGGTCTCGAACTCCCGACCTCAGGTGATCCAACCGCCTTGGCCTCCTGAAGTGCTGGTATTATAGGCATGAGCCACCATGCCCAGCCATGACTAGAATATCTTATATCTTATCATTTATTTATATATTTATCTTTTTTGCTGTTCTGTATGACATAAATATAATTCACTAAATTCTCATCTTAAGTCTTGGACACCATAAATCAGATACAAATTATTTTAAAAAGTAAAATAATATAATAGAAATTTTAACACTGTAGCTACTTATATATAATCAGTATAAATTATTTTCTAAAACTTTCATATAAATTACAAACATATATAGATTTATAGAAAATAATTGTCTTTTGAATAAAGTGAAACCAGGTAGTCAATCAAATGGACATATTTTATTTGAGAAAAGTTTATAGTTTTTTCAGCTCAACATTTCTTCTATTTTTTTTAATAGTCTAAGTTCCTAAATCAGATATAGCCTTATCAATAAATGACAATCCTCAGTAGCTAAAGTATTATTTCAAGATACAGGCAATGTAAAATATGTTGACATGTTAGAATTTATATAGAGTCCAGCTCTATACTTTCAGAACACACACAAGTGCTTTGAAATTCATTGAAAAGTTATTTCTTTGGCAAAAAACTCTTGCTTACTCTTCCCCTTCAAGAGAACAGGATCTAACAAGGTCTATACTCTGAAATTGTTTAAGATCTTTAAAGTCTGTTGTTACTCTTGAAGTAAGACATTTCCTTTGGTGATGACCTCATTGGAAAGGTCAAGGAGTGAATAGGAAATTCTTAGAGATTGAGATGGCATTGCCAATAGAGGGGAGGAAATTACTTACTGCATTATTTTCAAAGGACTTTTTTGTTTGCAGGTCAGATTAGGGCTTTCCATCCTCTGTTTTTTCCTCCCATTAAGTCTTTCACAAGAACAAAATGTGTTTCTTGCTTGCTTCCCCTGTAATAGGGAGGAGAGATTCCTATGCCTCATGTGCATTTTCTTCAGATAAATGAGATAAAGAGTAATGATAACTGGTATCTAAAGAAACTGAAATAAAATTTTCTTAAAGTTATCCTGGCTTAATATATGTATATGTGATATCAAATATGCTATTTTTAAAAAATATAATTTTATTTGATAATATGCATATAAAATATCCATGTAATTGACTGTTTCTACTTCTCTTACCCAGCTGTGAGTTAGTACAGAAAAAAAATTCCAATGAATATTTCATTGTGGGATGATTTTACAAGCCATTCATTCATGATTTACAAGCAATTCAGTTCCATTAACATAAATTTTGAAGGAAATATGCATATCACAATGATTATAAGAGGGCAGCCTTGGTGGCTCACACCTGTAATCCCAGCACTTTGGGAGGCTGAGGCAGGCGGATCACCTGAGGTCAGGAGTTCGAGACCAGCCTAGCCTAAATGGCAAAACCCCATCTCTCTCTGTCTCTACTAAAATACATATATCAGACCAGAAATGGTGGCATGCTCCATAGTCCCCACTACTCGGGAGGCTGAGGCTAGGAGAATTGCTTGAACCCAGGAGGTGGAGGTAGCAGTGAGCCGAGATCTTACCACTGCACTCCAGCCTGGGCAACAGAGTTAGACCCTGTCTCGGAAAAAAAAAAATGATTATAACATATTGTTGTAAATCAGAAATGTAAATATCTTCAATGCAAGGAAAGAAGAAACACACAGACAGTTGATGGAAAAAGGAAGTAACTGATGGAATCAGGAAGATCTTGAAATTGGTGTGTCATTTGAAACAGAGGACAGTTTTCCTAGAGAACGCCATCCCATCTTCTAATCTTGATAGTCTCATATATTCAATGAGGTGGGCTTAAAAATTGATTAATAATAATAATCCAGTTGATCTATAGGCTATAGATATGTGGTAAAATTGAGGGGTTTTTTCCAGATAGTAGCATGTCTTAAATGCCAACCTGCTGTGTGAGCTTCATTCAGAAAGTGGGAAAAGTGGGGATTTTTGGGAAGAGGGATTGCAGTTTCAAAGCCAAACCAAACCAAATGCCCATCGATGATAGACTGGATAAAGAAATGTGGCACAAAAACACCATGGAATACTATGCAGTCATAAAAAAGAATGAGTTCATGTCCTTTGCCAGGGCAGGAATGAAGCTGGAAACCATCATTCTCAGCAAACAACACAAGAACAGAAAACCAAACACCGCACATTCTCACTCATAAGTGGGAGGTGAACAATGAGAACACATGGACACAGGGAGGGGAACATCACACACTGAGGCCTAACAGGTGTTGTGGGGCAAGAGAAGGGAGAGCATTAGGACAAATACCTAATACATGCAGGGCTTAAAACTTAGATGATGGGGTGATGGGTGCAGCAAACTACCATGGCACATGTATACCTATGTAACAAACCTGCACGTTCTGGACATGTATCCCAGAACTTAAAGTATATAAAAAAAAAAATCACCTGAGATCAGGAGTTCAAAACCAGCCTGGCCAACATGGTGAAACCCCATCTCTACAAAACTACAAAAATTAGCCGGGCGCGATGGTGGGCCCCTGTAATCCCAGCTACTCAGGAGGCTGAGGCGGGAGGATCGCTTGAACCCGGGAGGTGGAGGTTGCAGTGAGCTGAGATTACACCACTGCACTCCAGCTTGGGTGACAGAGCCAGGCTCCATCTAAAAAAAAAAAAAAATCAATGACAAAAGACAGTATAAATTTGTGCATCTATTTGTGCATAGTGATATATATTAAACACATTTCTGTGGAATCTTCTTAAAACAGGTATTTCCTATTTTCTACAAATATGATGGTAGTAGGAAACATCCAGAAAAGTTACTATTCTTAAATTACCATGAGTGATTATCTCAGTTTTCAGTGGAAACTCCTAGGCTCTAGTTGTAAACTGTAGCAATGAATCAGATATGTAATTCCAAATGTGTTCTTATTGCATGAAAGCTTTAACAGTGCATTTCCATTTGGAAGATACACCAAGAAGGAATTTTTCAAGACCTCAACTTCAGAGAGACCTTTAGGTGAGGATTAAATACTTAATCAGGGAGAAATGGTGCAGTTCAAAAAGAATTTTTGATTTGGGATTTGACCACTCCTCTTATTTGACAATTTCAAATCATAATGGAGGAAAAATGTTTTTAATAAGGAATATGTAGTTTTCATTCCTTCAACAAATATTGTAAATAGGAGAAGCTATCAGGAGATGACTTTATTCTGAATTTTTGCGTATGTGTGTGTGTGTGTGTAAATTTAAATACATTCTTTTTATTGCCAATAAACTTTCTTGCAAGTACCAGTTTTTCCCCAAATGAGATGCAGATGTATAAGTTTCATATGGTAATTTGGTTATAAATGAAGATTAAATGCAAAAAAATGCTGTGTTCCTATCTGTGGAAATAATTTTATATGCATGAGGAAAATATAGAGCACAGAAAGCCTTGAGTCAATAGAAAGTTAGGGAAATAATCACTGTTAAGTAGACACAGCAGGTATAAACTCTGCCGGGAGAATCTTTTTACTTCTACAACTCAGATAAATTGTTTTCAATTAAAATTAATTTTCCAAGTAATAATTCTATATAATGAAGCTATTACTATAGTAGGCAACTTGTCACTGCCAATCTTATTGCAGATAATCTTTATTAGTACCATACATAAGTGTGAACCTCTGCTCAGAAAATCTATTTCTTGGGTGACTCCCAAGAAAATCCTATTTCATTGGAGCTTTCAGTGTAATTTCTACTAGAATTGGTTCATATTGCTTTGGCCAATGGATAATAATGTAATTAAAGGAAGAAGAGACAGAAAATGGATTTGTTTATATTTACTTCAGAAAAATCTGAGAAGGTGAAAACCATTTTCTAAGGTCTGGGATATGTACTCCTGGCTACATTAGACTATCTCTAATGCTTTTCTTACTTTCTGAATGTTTATTTCTTTTACTACCTTCTCTTTCTTCTCCTCCCACTGGATTGGAGTAATTCCTCAAGCATTAGTTTTTAGTTTTGTTTTTCTCTGCATTTATTCCGCACAAATTTAATCTGAATGAATGGTTTCAATGTCTCCTTTATTTGCTGGTATTTTCTCCTGACTGTCCTCAATTTTTTTTTACAAGGAATTTCCAGACTTAATTCTTAAAAGTTCCTTTAAACAATTTCCTCAGATTTCTCACTATCATTAAAAATATATACTTGGCTCTAAACCCTTCTTCAACTCCATCAGTGACATAGCAGGTCTCACACCAACGTGATCCAAAGAAAATTTTAGGGTCACAAACTGCATGTTTCCCACTGACTCCCTACACAATCACTTCAAAACAAACTCAATTTCCTCCTTTGTTTCAATCTTTATTAATTGTTTCTGTACAACTTTTGGTGTGTTAAAAATATCTCAGACATTGACAGTTTGTATTTCCTTTATACTTGTACCAAAACTATTTCATACTCAAAGCTTTTGTATTTGCCCCCCTTGATATGAGTTTTAATTCACTAAAATTCACAGCTGACAGCATTAATCACTTATTATAAAGTGACAGTAAAAGTTACCTCTCCATCGTATATAAACAGAGTATGATAGTCACAGTTCTCCAGTAAGACACAACTAATAGGGTGTGTGTTGGAGGGGAAAGAGGTTGGGTCACACACATGCAAAGAGATTTATAGTAAGGAATTGGCTCATGTCATATGAAGGCTAGTAAGTCCAAAATCTGCAAGGTGAGCTGGCAGAGGAGACTCAGGAAAGCCAGTGGTACAATTCCAGTCTGAAGGTAGTCTGCTTTAGAGTTCTCTCTTGCTTTGAAGAAACTAGTGATTTCATTCCCTTCAGCCCTTCAACTGATTGAATGAGGCCCACCTACATTAACGAGGGCAATCTACTTAACTCAAAGTCTACCAAGTTAAATATTAAACTTATTCAAAAACTCCCCCACACAAATGCTCAGAATAATATTTGACCAAATTTCTGGGCACCCCATGGCCCAGTAAAATTGACACAAAAATTAATCATTGCAATAAGCTATGTAGACAGCTTCAGACAAACACTTCCTAAAAGGTTTCACGTCAAGCATAAGTTTCTGGTTATAGACTTAATGAAACAAATCATTGTATATATCAGGAATTTATGAATGAGAAAAAGGGAGAGAGGAGATAGTTCAAGACTCTAATACTATAGATATTTCAATTTCCAGTGTAAAGAACATGTGTTACATTCTCCTTATAAAAGAATACTGAGGTGAATAAAGTTACCTTTAAATTAAAAACCAGTTTACAAATGAGGTTTTGATATAATAAAACTTTTTATTTTACCAGCAAAAGACCTCTCATTAATCTTTATTGCAAAGAAGTTTATAAAATATGTGCTTTTGTCATTCATTATTGTATTAGTCCATTTTCATGCTACTGTGAAGTAATACCTGAGACTGGGCAATCTATAAAGAAAAGAGATTTAATGGATTCACGGTTCCACATGGCTGAGGAGGCCTCCCAATCATGGTGGAAGGTGAAGGAGGAGCAAGGCACGTCTTACATGGTGGCAGGCAAGAGAGCATGTGTAGGGGAACTGCCCTTTATAAAACCATCAGATCTCATGAGACTTATTCACTACCACGAGAACAGCATGGGAAAAACCTGCCCTCCTGATTAAATTACCTTTCACTCGTTCCCTTCCATGGCATGTGGGATTTATGGGAGCTGCAATTCAAGATGAGTTTTGGGTGCGGACACAGCCAAACCATATCAATTATATATAGGACACATAACTTCCTTTAAATAAATAAATCATGTGCTATTTCTATTTTAAGCAGAAAGAAGGATACTAATGTAACATGAATCTGCAATCTTTCTTGTAGTGATAGCCATAATAACTTGCTGGGAAAAATTATGTATGTAATAACATGAGATTTTATGATCTCTCTCTCTCTCTCTCTCTCTGTCTCACTCCCTCCACCCCCCCACTTTGTAGTAATCTGTGAAGAAAAAATGTGGGTGACAAGATCTTTATAAGGTTCCATCCAAACCTTAGGTTATGTAAGTCTAGCTAAGTTCATTTAATAAATGGTTACATTTAGTATTTGAAACATCAGATGGCTCATTCAAGTATATAGAAGTGCAAAGCAACAGTGTCACCAACTGTCATCAACTCATCTACTCTAATTCAACTTGCTCATTTGTCAACAGAAATGTGGAAATCACCAATGCAAAATCCAGCCAATTTACAACTACTTCAAAAGTAAACACCAAGTTCTCCTTGAACAGTGGTGCTCAAGGAAATCAGAGAGAACACAAACAAATGTAAAAACATTCCATGCTCATGAATAGGCAGAATCAATATCATAAAAATGGTCATTCTGCCCAAAGTAATGGACAGATTCAATGTTATTTCCATTAAACTACTGTTGACATTCTTCACAGAATTAGATAAAAATTATTTTAAAATTCATATGGAACCAAAAAAGAGCACGTATAGCCAAGACAATCCTAAGGAAAAAGAACAAAGCTGGAGGCATCACTCTACCTGACTTCAAACTATACTACAAGGCTACAGTAACCAAAACAGCATAGTACAAAAACAGACACATAGACCAATGGAACAGAATAAAGAACTCAGAAATAAAACTGGATATTTACAACCATCTGATCTCCAAAAAACCTGACAAAAGCAAGCAATGGGGAAAATATTCCCTATTTAATAGATGGTGCTGGGAGAACTGGCTAGCCATAAGCAGAAAATTGAAACTGGACCCCTTGTTACACCACATACAAAAATGAATTCAAGATGGGTTAAATACTTAAATGTAAAACCCCAAACTACAAAAACCCTAGAAGAAAACCTGGGCAATGGCATTCAGGACATATGCATGGGCAGATTTCATGACGAGAAAATCAAAAGCAATTGCAACAAAAGCAAAAATTGACAAATGGTATCTGATTAAACTGAAGAGCTTCTGCACAGCAAAAGAAACTATCATCAGAGTGAACAGACAACCTACAGAATGGGAGAACATTTTTGAAATCTATTCATCTGACAAAGGTCTAATATCCAAAGTCTACAAGGAACTTAAACAAATTTACAAGAAAAAAAATAGCATTAAAAAGTGGGCAAAGGAGGCTGGGTTTGGTGGCTCATGCCTGTAATCCCAGCACTTTGGGAGGCTGAGGCAGGTGGATCACAAGGTCAGGAGTTTGAGACTAGCCTGGCCAAGATGGTGAAACCCCATCTCTACTAAAAATACAAAAATTAGCTGGGCAAGGTGGCAGGCACCTGTAAGCCCAGCTACTCGGGAGGCTGAGGCAGGGAATTGCTTGAACCCAGGAGTCAGAGTTTGCAGTGAGCCGAGGTGGCACCGCTGCACTCCAGCCTGGGCAACGGAGTGAGACTCTGTCTCAAAAAAAAAAAAAAGTGGGCAAAGGACATAAACAGATACTTCTCAGAAGAAGACATTTATGTGGCCAACAAACATGTAAAAAAAACCCTCAACATCACTGATCATTAGAGAAGTACAAATCAGAACGACAGTGAGATACCATCTCACACCAGTCAGAATGATGACTATGACAAAGTCAAGAAACAACAGATGCCGGTGGAGCTGCAGAGAGATACAAAAATTTTTTTACTGTTGGTGGGAAAGTAAATTAGTTCAACCATTGTGGAAGACAGTGTGGTGATTCCTCAAAGACCTAGAACCAGAAATACCATTTGACCCAGCAATCCCATTACTGGGTATATACCCAAAGGAATATAAATCATTTCTATTATAAAGATAAATGCACGCATATGTTCATTGCAGCACTATTCACAATAGCAGGGACATGGACTTAAATGAAATGCCCATCAATGACAGACTGAATAAAGAAAATGTGGTACATATACACCATGGAATACTATGCAGCCGTAAAAAGGAATGAGATAATCTCCTTTACAAGGACATGGATGGAGCTGGAAGCCATTATCCTCAGCAAACTAACACAGGAACAGAAAATCAGATACCACATGTTCTCAATTATAAGTGGAGCTGAACAATGTGAACGCATGGACACAGGGAGGGCAACAACACACAATGGGGCCTAGAGGCAGGTGGCAGGGGAAGAGAGAGCACCAGGAAAAATAACTAATCCATGTTGGGCTTAATACTTAGGTGATAGGTTGATAGGTGCAGCAAATCACCATGGCAGACGTTTACCTATGTAACAAACCTGCACATCCTGCACGTGTACCCTGGATCTTAAAAAAAAAAAAAAAGTGTGCACCAAAATGATACAGTCCTCAAAAAAGAAATATATAAGATATTTTCATAAAATTTTATGTCAAATTTCCCCTTTAGTTCGACTTTTTAAACTTTCTTAAGTATTTATTTAAAATGGGAAACTTCGTTTTTGTTTCATCTAGAGCTTCTATGGACTGGCACTATATATTTAAAATTAAAACAAAAGCCAGTATAGCAAATATACAGCTCTCAGAACTCCCACCTTATCTGGGTTTGTTCCAGACACTTCCTTATGGTATGGCACTGTGGGGAGCAGATATCCATTGCTAATTAATCACCACTGATATTCAAGATAAGACTAATTTGTCTTCCCTGATGTATAATAATCCAGCCAGTTTTATAAATATTTTATTAAAATAAAATGTTTTATTTCCTCAGGAAAAACATTAAAAGAGGTCTTTAGACTAATTTTGAAATCTAGACATGCCCCAAGGAATAATATCTTCTCGTATATATTTAGTTCCTATAAATTGATGGGGGTATACAAACCAGTAGCCTAAATAATTAAATTATCTTTTAATAGGTTTATGTCATTATTCATGTTATTTTTATTATATGTTGTACTTAAATATGTTAATAAATATACTTAATATTATATTTTAGTTGGAAAAACAATCCAAAGTACCGATATTTTAATGATATATTTTCTAATGCAGCTGCATATGGATGTGTTTGTGTATATACTGAGAGTTATTCCTTAGGCCTAAACTGTGCACCGTCAGTAATCAGACGTCTCTCAGCAAGTATAGTATAGCAGCTTGTCAGCTTGGTAGGATAGAAAATCCCTTTGGTAAGCTGTGACCACCGTTAAATTTCTTTCCCAGATCTCACCATTTGGGTAGATATTGTACAAACTAGGATAAATAGCCTATATTCATTAGTATTTACCATGTGCTAAATAATTAACATGTATTATATAATTTAATATCTTCAACAACTCTATACAGTACATATTACAGAAAGACCCATGTCACGGATGAGAAAATTTCAACTTGGAGCTGTTAAGTAGCTTGTCCAAGGTCAATGATCATGTTTTAATAGGGTAAAATTATATAAGGTATACAAGTTTGATATGGGTATTCAGCATAGTTGGACTAGCATCTGTATGTATCCTCATACCTGTGCCCTCTGATTTTCAAGTATGAAATTGAAAAACCAAGATCTTGAATAAGTATCTGCACTCCCCTGTTCACTGTAGCATTATTCACATGAGCCAAGATATAAAAACAACCTGAATCTCCATCAATAGATAAATGGATAAAGAAAATGTGTCTGCATGTGCAATGGAATATTATACAGACTTACAAAAGAAATAAATCCTGTTATAGGTGACAAAATGGATTAACCCGAAGGACATTATGCTAAGTGAAACAAGCCAGTCGCAGAAGGACAAATGCTGCTTGACTCCATTTATACGAAATATCTAAAATCGTCAAACTCAGAAACAGAGCAGAATAGTGGTTATCAAGGACTGTGGAGAAAGGAAATGAGAGGTTGCTACTTAATGTGTACAAAGTTTCAATTATGCAAGATAAATAAGACCTAGAGATCTACTGCATAACATCGTGCCTATAGTTAACAACACTATACTATGCATTTGAAAAGTTGACAGTATGTCTTAACACAATATAGACAAACAAAATATTTTCTTTGGCAGATTCACATTTTATTATTTGATTTTAATTGAAATATCTTAATTTCAAATATTTTATTAAGTGCTTTGCTTGTGTCAAAAAACTTTCTTTTTTCTTTTTTTTTTTGTTTTGAGATGGAGTCTGGCTCTGTCGCCCAGGCTGGAGTGCAGTGGCATGATCTCGGCTCACTGCAAGCTCTGCCTCCCGGGTTCACGCCATTCTCCTGCCTCAGCCTCCCGGGTAGCTGGGACTACAGGCGCCCGCCACCACGCCTGGCTAATTTTTTTGTATTTTTAGTAGAGATGGGTTTTCACAGTGTTAGCCAGGATGGTCTCGATCTTCTGACCTCGTTATCCGCCCGCCTCGGCCTCCCAAAGTGCTGGGATTACAGGCGTGAGCCACCGCGCCTGGCTAAAATCTTTCTTAATAGAGACAGAAAGATCCTGTGTAACATCCATTGATTATTCCTAATAGGCAAATTAATGACTTTCAAAAATGATTTACACTATTTAAGCAGTAAAAATACTGGCCAAAATTTTCATAATTTTGCATACTTTTTTCTTTTTAATTCAATAAGTATTTAAAATTAGCTTCTGCATGTAGAAACAAAACACAATTATTCTTAAAAACAATCATCTAACAAGCAAATCTCCATTTTTAGTTAAATTGAGGCTTCTTCTTTAATAACAAAAAAAAGAGTGCACTGTGGTTGAAAAGTATACAATTCTTTAGCCATATAGTGAAACCTTAATAAATGTTCAGGTTTCTTTCCAACAAATCAACAAATAGAAGTATAAAGGCATTCAAGAAATATAGCTCATCATGTACATTGACTTCAATCACTTCATTTTTGCGAAGCAAAGTTAACCTAGCTAACTAGTCTTTTACATACCGTGAATACATAATATTAATTATTCAAAGATATTTCATTGAAATCACTGTTAACAAATTGAGGTTAAGTCAGGCTGTCCATTTTAAAAACAGTAACTGCTGTAATAAAATATTAATCTGAGTTGGAGACTCCAAGAGGACAAAGAACATTAGAATATATACAAGTGATTTAAAAGTAACAAGCGTGCATTTGTTCCTGAGCACATCTGTACTTTGAAGCTTCTACTCAGTATTGTGTGGAACAAAAACATGCTTTCCACTTATAAATGGAATAGGAGACCTGACACAATCCTTATACACATTTTAGCCTGGAAATGTGCTAGTTTCATGTTTTCCATTTCCTCTGACCTTTTCCCTTCCATCAGAACTATAAATGGTGAATAGTATGCTTATTTGTATTTGTTTTACTGTTTGAGGCTTTTTGATTTTCAAGGAAACTCATTTTGTGCATAACTTTTTAAGACAAAATTAAGGAATATGTTTTGATGGGACAGGAAGGTATAATTAAAGGAAATAAATGAGTTTAATTAAGGGATTTTAGGATTTCAAAATCAAGAAGACAAGAAAGTAGAACATAAAAATAATAAATAAATCAGTAAATAAAAATTCCCAGACACTTCTTTGAGAGTGTTTACATATTTCAGTGAAAGTAGGTAAAATATAAAAATAGTATTTAGAAAAATATAATATATTTATGCAAGTAAATAAAGACCAGTTTATTTTTGAACATTTCAAGATAAGGAAAGCACAATATACAGAATTTCAAGTTATTTAGAGACAATAACTGCAATTATTTAGAGACAATAAGAATGCAAGTTATTTAGAGAAATTTTCAATGCACTAGCAAGACATTACGTTAATACCTGTTTGGGAAGTACATTTTCAGAAGACTATTAAAATAGTATTACTAGAATTTTGCTATAAATGACAACACTAAATAAGAAAATTAAAAGTAATTTGTGTTAATTAGCTCTATAATATCCATTCAAAGAAAATTATAATTTATGTATAGTTTCAAATAATAATGAAATAACGTTATACTATAGTGTTATATAAAAACATAAGGTTTTCTAATATATAGCATTCAACTCATTGGGGTGTGGGGAGGTGAGGGGAAGCAAATTTCAGAACAATGTGTGCTAAGTGCAAACATTTGTGTAAAAAGCTTCTGTTACATGTATAGAGTTTCTCTGGAAGAATTTATAAGTGCATATAACACATATTCAAACCTACAAACACAGAGTTGTTTCTATCGGTTGATTCCTTGGTTGGCTGGAGGAGAAAGGTAAAAGAATTTTGATTTTTACTTTGTATTCTCTTATGGTCTTTTACTTTTCTACTCAATGCACATATTACCATTTTTAAAAAATAAATTAAATTTTAATAATGTTGCTACCAACATACTTGTGTTTATTTCACTGTCAAAATTGTGAATAAATTTTCAAAAACTTAGCTTATATTTTATAATTATAGCAAACTACATATTATTAATAGTTTTACAGAACAAAAATTACAAAAATATATTAATTTCTATAAATTATATCCTCTAATATTAATTAGAAGAGCTATCTGATCAAAACACATCAGGTGATTTGTGGGGAGACAAATATATTTGCAAAATACAGCATCCTCATTAAACTGTGTATTAGGCCATTCTTGCATGCTGTAAAGAAACATCTGAGAATGGGTAGTTTATAAGAAAGGAGGTTGTATTGACTCACAGTTCTGCAGGTTGTACAGGCAGCATACTGGCATCTGCTTCTGGGAAGGCCTCAGGAAGCTCCCAAACATGGCAGAAGGTAAAGGGAGAGCTGGCACGTCACATGGTAAAAGCAGGAGCAAGAAAGAGAGTGAGCAGAGGAGGTGCCACACACTTTTAAAGGACTAGATCCCATGAGAACTCACTATCATGAAGTAAGTACCAAGTCATGAGAGATCTGCCTCCATGATCCAAACACCTCCCACAAGACCTCACCCCAGCATTGGGGATTACAATTCAACATGATATTTGGGGGATATCATTCTGAAAAGTATATCATTCTGCTCTGGCCCTTTGAAAATCTCATGCCCTTTTGACATTTCAAAATGGTATCATGCCTTCCCAACAGTCCCCTAAATTCTTAACTGATTCCAGCATTGACTCAAAAGTCCCAAGTCCTGTCTGAGACAAGGCAAGTCCCTTCCATCTATGATCCTGTAAAATAAAAATCAGGTTATTTACTTCCAAGATACAATGGAGGTATAGGAATTGGGTAAGCATTCCTGTTCAAAAAGGGAGAAATTGACCAAAAGAAAGAAGATACAGGCCCCAAGCAAGTTTGAATCCCAGCAAGGCAGTCATTAAAACTTAAAGCTCCAAAATAATCTCTTTTGATTTCGTGTCCAACATCCAAGGCATACTGGTACAAGGAGTGGACTCCCAAGGCCTTGGACAACGTGATTTCTTAGTTATAGTTAAAAATGGATTATGGATATTTACAAAGCTAACTCACATCTCCTTGTCTGACTCACTCTTTCTTCTTTCCTTCCCTCTGACCCTCCCCCTTCCTTCCTTTCTTTCTCTCTGTCTTTCTTTCTTTTCCTTTTTCTTCTCTTTCTTTCTTTCTTTCCTTTATTTATTTATTCTTTCCTTCCTTCCTTCCTTCCTTCCTTCCTTCCTTTCTTTCTTTCTTCCTTGCTTGCTTGCTTTCTCTTTCTTT